>NC_000018.10:16431856-16769759 GCF_000001405.40 Homo sapiens
TAAATAAAGCCCAAGAAGTGGCAAATTTAATTTATTGTGATGGAAATTGTTAGAACAGTGGTTGCCCCTGGAAGGCGACAGGGTTGTGTGAAAGGGCTATGAAAGAATTTTCCAGGGCCATAGAAACATTCTAAATTTTGTTTGGCATGATGGTTGTGTGGGTGTATACAAGTCAAAACCCATTAAATTGAATGCTTAAGATCTGTGCATTTTAATGTATATATTCTTTAAATCACATAGAACACACAAGTCCACCTATCTCAAACTCAGTCCCGTCTGCCCTATGCAAAATATTCAATTTGTCAACATTCTCATTACCATTTTTATTGCTTTTTTTCTGCCTCTTTTCCTTTGTTTCTCCCAACAAGCCAACCTCTAACATACCAGGCAGTCTTCATGAATGTTTTCAGCCAAGTTGTGAAGAATCAAACTCTACATAGAAGAGAAGTGAAATGAAAGAAATGAAAGAAAGGAAGGGAAGAAAGGAGGGAGGGATGGGGGAGGCGTGGGAGCGCCCCTTTTGTAGTATCTGGAACTGGACTTTTGGAGCGATTTCAGGGCTAAGGTGAAAAAGGAAATATCTTCCCATAAAAACTGGACAGAAGAGCATTCTCAGAAACTTGTTTATGCTGTATCTACTCAGCTAACAAAGTTGAACCTTTCTTTTGATAGAGCAGTTTTGAAATGCTCTTTTTGTGGAGTCTGCAAGTGGATATTTGGCTAGTTTTGAGGATTTCGTTGGAAGCGGGAATTCATACAAATTGCAGACTGCAGCGTTCTGAGAAACATCTTTGTGATGTTTGTATTCAGGACACAGAGTTGAACATTCCCTATCATAGAGCAGGTTGGAATCACTCCTTTCGTAGTATCTGGAAGTGGCCATTTCGAGCGCTTTCAGACCTAGGTTGAAAAAGGAAATATCTTCCCATAACAAGTAGACACAAGCATTCTCAGAAACTTGTTTGTGATGTGTGCCCTCTACTGACAGAGTTGAACCTTTCTTTTCATAGAGCAGTTTTGAAACACTCTTTTTGTAGAATCTGCAAGAGGATATTTGCATAGCTTTGAGGATTTCGTGGGAAACGGGATTGTCTTCAGGTAAAATCTAGACAGAAGCATTCTCAGAAAATTCTTCGGGATGTTTGCATTCAAGTCACAGAGTAGAACATTCCCTTTGGTAGAGCAGGTTTGAAACACTCTTTTTGTAGTATCTGGAAGTGGACATTTGGAGCGCTTTCAGGCCTATGTTGGAAAGGGAAATATCTTCCCGTAACAACTAGGCAGAAGCATTCTCAGAAACTTATTTGAGATGTGTGTACTCAACGAAGCACAATTGAACCACAGTTTTGAAGGAGCAGTTTTGAAACACTCTTTTTCTGGAATCTGAAAGAGTATATTTGCCTAGCCTTGAGGATTTCGTTGGAAACGGGATTGTCTTCAGATAAAATCTAGACAGAAGCATTCTCAGAAACTTCTTTGGGATGTTTGCATTCAAGTCACAGAGTAGAACATTCCCTTTGGTAGAGCAGGTTTGAAACACTCTTTTTTTAGTATATGGAAGTGGACATTTGGAGCGCTTTCAGGCCTACGTTGGAAAAGGAAATATCTTCCCATAACAACTAGACAGAAGCATTCTCAGAAACTAGTTTCTGATGTGTGTCCTCAACTAACACAGTTGAACATTTCTTTAGACAGAACAGTTTTGAAACACTCTCTTTGTGGAATCTGCAAGTGGATATTTGGCTAGATTTGAGGATTTCGTTGGAAACGGGATTACATATAAAAAGCAGACAGCAGCATTCTCAGAAACTTCTTTGTGATGATTGCATTCAAGTCACAGAATTGAACATTCCCTTTCACAGAGCAGGTTTGAAACACTCTTTTTGTAGTGTGTGTAAGTGGACATTTGGAGCGCTTTCCGGCCTAAGGTGAACAAGGAAATATCTTCCCATAAAAACTAGACAGAAGTATTCTCAGAAACTTACTCGTGATGTGTGTCCTCAACTAAAGGAGTAGAACCTTTCTTTTCATAGAGAAGTTTTGAAACGCTCTTTTTGTGGAATCTGCAAGTGGATATTTGGCTAGTTTTGAGGATTTCGTTGGAAGCGGGAATTCATACAAATTGCAGACTGCAGCGTTCTGAGAAACATCTTTGTGATGTTTGTATTCAGGACACAGAGTTGAACGTTCCCTATCATAGAGCAGGTTTGAATCACTCCTTTTGTAGTATCTGGAAGTGGACATTTGGAGCGCTTTCCGGCCTCAGGTGAAAAAGGAAATATCTTCCCATAAAAACTAGACAGAAGCATTCTCAGAAACTTACTCGTGATGTGTGTCCTCAACTAAAGGGGTAGAACCTTTCTTTTGATAGAGCAGTTTTGAAACACTCTTTTTGTAGAATCTGCAAGTGGATATTTCGATAGCTTTGTGGATTTCGTTGGAAACGGGAATATCTTCATATAAAATCTAGAGAGAAGCGTTCTGAGAAACTGCTTTCTGATGTTTGCATTCAAGTCAAAAGTTGAACACTCCCTTTCATAGCAGCAGTCTTGAAACACCCCTTTTGTAGTATCTGGAACTGGACTTTTGGAGCGCTTTCAGGGCTAAGGTGAAAAAGGAAATATCTTCCCATAAAAACTGGACAGAAGCATTCTCAGAAACTTGTTTATGCTGTATCTACTCAACTAACAAAGTTGAACCTTTCTTTTGATAGAGCAGTTTTGAAATGCTCTTTTTGTGGAATCTGCAAGTGGATATTTGGCTAGTTTTGAGGATTTCGTTGGAAGCGGGAATTCATACAAATTGCAGACTGCAGCGTTCTGAGAAACATCTTTGTGATGTTTGTATTCAGGACAGAGAGTTGAACATTCCCTATCATAGAGCAGGTTGGAATCACTCCTTTTGTAGTATCTGGAAGTGGACATTTGGAGCGCTTTCAGGCCTATGTTGAAAAAGGAAATATCTTCCCATAACAACTAGACACAAGCATTCTCAGAAACTTGTTTGTGATGTGTGCCCTCTACTGACAGAGTTGAACCTTTCTTTTCATAGAGCAGTTTTGAAACACTCTTTTTGTAGAATCTGCAAGAGGATATTTGCATAGCTTTGAGGATTTCGTGGGAAACGGGATTGTCTTCAGGTAAAATCTAGACAGAAGCATTCTCAGAAACTTCTTTGGGATGTTTGCATTCAAGTCACAGAGTAGAACATTCCCTTTGGTAGAGCAGGTTTGAAACACTCTTTTTTTAGTATATGGAAGTGGACATTTGGAGCGCTTTCAGGCCTACGTTGGAAAAGGAAATATCTTCCCATAACAACTAGACAGAAGCATTCTCAGAAACTAGTTTCTGATGTGTGTCCTCAACTAACACAGTTGAACATTTCTTTAGACAGAACAGTTTTGAAACACTCTTTTTGTGGTATCTGCAAGTGGCTATTTGGCTAGATTTGAGGATTTCGTTGGAAACGGGATTCCATATAAAAAGCAGACAGCAGCATTCTCAGAAACTTCTTTGTGATGATTGCATTCAAGTCACAGTATTGAACATTCCCTTTCACAGCGCAGGTTTGAAACACTCTTTGTATAGTGTGTGTAAGTGGACATTTGGAGCACTTTCCGGCCTAAGGTGAAAAAGGAAATATCTCTCCATAAAAACTAGACAGAAGCATTCTCAGGAACTTACTCGTGATGTGTGTCCTCAACTAAAGAAGTAGAACCTTTCTTTTCATAGATAAGTTTTGAAACGCTCTTTTTGTGGAATCTGCAAGTGGATGTTTGGCTAGTTTTGAGGATTTCGTTGGAAGCGGGAATTCATACAAATTGCAGACTGCAGCGTTCTGAGAAACATCTTTGTGATGTTTGTATTCAGGACACAGAGTTGAACATTCCCTATCATAGAGCAGGTTGGAATCACTCCTTTTGTAGTATCTGGAAGTGGACATTTGGAGCGCTTTCAGGCCTATGTTGAAAAAGGAAATATCTTCCCATAACAACTAGACACAAGCATTCTCAGAAACTTGTTTGTGATGTGTGCCCTCTACTGACAGAGTTGAACCTTTCTTTTCATAGAGCAGTTTTGAAACACTCTTTTTGTAGAATCTGCAAGAGGATATTTGCATAGCTTTGAGGATTTCGTGGGAAACGGGATTGTCTTCAGGTAAAATCTAGACAGAAGCATTCTCAGAAACTTCTTTGGGATGTTTGCATTCAAGTCACAGAGTAGAACATTCCCTTTGGTAGAGCAGGTTTGAAACCCTCTTTTTGTAGTATCTGGAAGTGGACATTTGGAGCGCTTTCAGGCCCATGTTGGAAAGGGAAATATCTTCCCGTAACAACTAGGCAGAAGCATTCTCAGAAACTTATTTGAGATGTGTGTACTCAACTAAGAGAATTGAACCACCGTTTTCAAGGAGCAGTTTTGAAACACTCTTTTTCTGGAATCTGCAAGAGTATATTTGCCTAGCCTTGAGGATTTCGTTGGAAACGGGATTGTCTTCAGATAAAATCTAGACAGAAGCATTCTCAGAAACTTCTTTGGGATGTTTGCATTCAAGTCACAGAGTAGAACATTCCCTTTGGTAGAGCAGGTTTGAAACACTCTTTTTTTAGTATATGGAAGTGGACATTTGGAGCGCTTTCAGGCCTACGTTGGAAAAGGAAATATCTTCCCATAACAACTAGACAGAAGCATTCTCAGAAACTAGTTTCTGATGTGTGTCCTCAACTAACACAGTTGAACATTTCTTTAGACAGAACAGTTTTGAAACACTCTTTTTGTGGTATCTGCAAGTGGCTATTTGGCTAGATTTGAGGATTTCGTTGGAAACGGGATTCCATATAAAAAGCAGACAGCAGCATTCTCAGAAACTTCTTTGTGATGATTGCATTCAAGTCACAGTATTGAACATTCCCTTTCACAGCGCAGGTTTGAAACACTCTTTGTATAGTGTGTGTAAGTGGACATTTGGAGCACTTTCCGGCCTAAGGTGAAAAAGGAAATATCTCTCCATAAAAACTAGACAGAAGCATTCTCAGAAACTTACTCGTGATGTGTGTCCTCAACTAAAGGAGTAGAACCTTTCTATTCATAGAGAAGTTTTGAAACGCTCTTTTTGTGGAATCTCCAAGTGGATATTTGGCTAGTTTTGAGGATTTCGTTGGAAGCGGGAATTCATCCAAATTGCAGACTGCAGCGTTCTGAGAAACATCTTTGTGATGTTTGTATTCAGGACACAGAGATGAACATTCCCTATCATAGAGCAGGTTGGAATCACTCCTTTTGTAGTATCTGGAAGTGGACATTTGGAGCGCTTTCAGGCCTATGTTGAAAAAGGAAATATTTTCCCATAACAACTAGACACAAGCATTCTCAGAAACTTGTTTGTGATGTGTGCCCTCTACTGACAGAGTTGAACCTTTCTTTTCATAGAGCAGTTTTGAAACACTCTTTTTGTAGAATCCGCAAGAGGATATTTGCATCGCTTTGAGGATTTCGTGGGAAACGGGATTGTCTTCAGGTAAAATCTAGACAGAAGCATTCTCAGAAACTTCTTTGGGATGTTTGCATTCAAGTCACAGAGTAGAACATTCCGTTTGGTAGAGCAGGTTTGAAACACTCTTTTTGTAGTATCTGGAAGTGGACATTTGGAGCGCTTTCAGGCCCATGTTGGAAAGGGAAATATCTTCCCGTAACAACTAGGCAGAAGCATTCTCAGAAACTTATTTGAGATGTGTGTACTCAACTAAGAGAATTGAACCACCGTTTTGAAGGAGCAGTTTTGAAACACTCTTTTTCTGGAATCTGCAAGAGTATATTTGCCTAGCCTTGAGGATTTCGTTGGAAACGGGATTGTCTTCAGATAAAATCTAGACAGAAGCATTCTCAGAAACTTCTTTGGGATGTTTGCATTCAAGTCACAGAGTAGAACATTCCCTTTGGTAGAGCAGGTTTGAAACACTCTTTTTTTAGTATATGGAAGTGGACATTTGGAGCGCTTTCAGGCCTACTTTGGAAAAGGAAATATCTTCCCATAACAACTAGACAGAAGCATTCTCAGAAACTAGTTTGTGATGTGTGTCCTCAACTAACACAGTTGTACATTTCTTTAGACAGAACAGTTTTGAAACACTCTTTTTGTGGAATCTGCAAGTGGATATTGGGCTAGATTTGAGTATTTCGTTGGAAACGGGATTACATATAAAAAGCAGACAGCAGCATTCTCAGAAAGTTCTTTGTGATGATTGCATTCAAGTCACAGAATTGAACATTCCCTTTCACAGAGCAGGTTTGAAACACTCTTTCTGTAGTGTGTGTAAGTGGACATTTGGAGCGCTTTCCGGCCTAAGGTGAAAAAGGACATATCTTCCCATAAAAACTAGACAGAAGCATTCTGAGAAACTTACTCGTGATGTGTGTCCTCAACTAAAGGAGTAGAACCTTTCTATTCATAGAGAAGTTTTGAAACGCTCTTTTTGTGGAATCTCCAAGTGGATATTTGGCTAGTGTTGAGGATTTCGTAGGAAGCGGGAATTCATACAAATTGCAGACTGCAGCGTTCTGAGAAACATCTTTGTGATGTTTGTATTCAGGACACAGACATGAACATTCCCTATCATAGAGCAGGTTGGAATCACTCCTTTTGTAGTATCTGGAAGTGGACATTTGGAGCGCTTTCAGGCCTATGTTGAAAAAGGAAATATCTTCCCATAACAACTAGACACAAGCATTCTCAGAAACTTGTTTGTGATGTGTGCCCTCTACTGACAGAGTTGAACCTTTCTTTTCATAGAGCAGTTTTGAAACACTCTTTTTGTAGAATCCGCAAGAGGATATTTGCATAGCTTTGAGGATTTCGTGGGAAACGGGATTGTCTTCAGGTAAAATCTAGACAGAAGCATTCTCAGAAACTTCTTTGGGATGTTTGCATTCAAGTCACAGAGTAGAACATTCCCTTTGGTAGAGTAGGTTTGAAACACTCTTTTTGTAGTATCTGGAAGTGGACATTTGGAGCGCTTTCAGGCCCATGTTGGAAAGGGAAATATCTTCCCGTAACAACTAGGCAGAAGCATTCTCAGAAACTTATTTGAGATGTGTGTACTCAACTAAGAGAATTGAACCACCGTTTTGAAGGAGCAGTTTTGAAACACTCTTTTTCTGGAATCTGCAAGAGTATATTTTCCTAGCCTTGAGGATTTCGTTGGAAACGGGATTGTCTTCAGATAAAATCTAGACCGAAGCATTCTCAGAAACTTCTTTGGGATGTTTGCATTCAAGTCACAGAGTAGAACATTCCCTTTGGTAGAGCAGGTTTGAAACACTCTTTTTTTAGTATATGGAAGTGGACATTTGGAGCGCTTTCAGGCCTACGTTGGAAAAGGAAATATCTTCCCATAACAACTAGACAGAAGCATTCTCAGAAACTAGTTTCTGATGTGTGTCCTCAACTAACACAGTTGTACATTTCCTTAGACAGAACAGTTTTGAAACAATCTTTTTGTGGAATCTGCAAGTGGATATTGGGCTAGATTTGAGGATTTCGTTGGAAACGGGATTACATATAAAAAGCAGTCAGCAGCATTCTCAGAAAGTTCTTTGTGATGATTGCATTCAAGTCACAGAATTGAACATTCCCTTTCACAGAGCAGGTTTGAAACACTCTTTTTGTAGTGTGTGTAAGTGGACATTTGGAGTGCTTTCCGGCCTAAGGTGAAAAAGGACATATCTTCCCATAAAAACTAGACAGAAGCATTCTCAGAAACTTACTCGTGATGTGTGTCCTCAACTAAAGGAGTAGAACCTTTCTATTCATAGAGAAGTTTTGAAACGCTCTTTTTGTGGAATCTCCAAGTGGTTATTTGGTTAGTTTTGAGGATTTCGTTGGAAGCGGGAATTCATACAAATTGCAGACTGCAGCGTTCTGAGAAACATCTTTGTGATGTTTGTATTCAAGACACAGAGATGAACATTCCCTATCATAGAGCATGTTGGAATCACTCCTTTTGTAGTATCTGGAAGTGGACATTTGGAGCGCTTTCAGGCCTATGTTGAAAAAGGAAATATCTTCCCATAACAACTAGACACAAGCGTTCTCAGAAACTTGTTTGTGATGTGTGCCCTCCACTGACAGAGTTGAACCTTTCTTTTCATAGAGCAGTTTTGAAACACTCTTTTTGTAGAATCTGCAAGAGGATATTTGCATAGCTTTGAGGATTTCGTGGGAAACGGGATTGTCTTCAGGTAAAATCTAGACAGAAGCATTCTCAGAAACTTCTTTGGGATGTTTGCATTCAAGTCACAGAGTAGAACATTCCCTTTGGTAGAGCAGGTTTGAAACACTCTTTTTGTAGTATCTGGAAGTGGACATTTGGAGCGCTTTCAGGCCCATGTTGGAAAGGGAAATATCTTCCCGTAACAACTAGGCAGAAGCATTCTCAGAAACTTATTTGAGATGTGTGTACTCAACTAAGAGAATTGAACCACCGTTTTGAAGGAGCAGTTTTGAAACACTCTTTTTCTGGAATCTGCAAGAGTATATTTTCCTAGCCTTGAGGATTTCGTTGGAAACGGGATTGTCTTCAGATAAAATCTAGACAGAAGCATTCTCAGAAACTTCTTTGGGATGTTTGCATTCAAGTCACAGAGTAGAACATTCCCTTTGGTAGAGCAGGTTTGAAACACTCTTTTTTTAGTATATGGAAGTGGACATTTGGAGCGCTTTCAGGCCTACGTTGGAAAAGGAAATATCTTCCCATAACAACTAGACAGAAGCATTCTCAGAAACTAGTTTGTGATGTGTGTCCTCAACTAACACAGTTGTACATTTCTTTATACAGAACAGTTTTGAAACACTCTTTTTGTGGAATCTGCAAGTGGATATTGGGCTAGATTTGAGGATTTCGTTGGAAACGGGATTACATATAAAAAGCAGACAGCAGCATTCTCAGAAAGTTCTTTGTGATGATTGCATTCAAGTCACAGAATTGAACATTCCCTTTCACAGAGCAGGTTTGAAACACTCTTTTTGTAGTGTGTGTAAGTGGACATTTGGAGCGCTTTCCGGCCTAAGGTGAAAAAGGACATATCTTCCCATAAAAACTAGACAGAAGCATTCTCAGAAACTTACTCGTGATGTGTGTCCTCAACTAAAGGAGTAGAACCTTTCTATTCATAGAGAAGTTTTGAAACGCTCTTTTTGTGGAATCTCCAAGTGGATATTTGGTTAGTTTTGAGGATTTCGTTGGAAGCGGGAATTCATACAAATTGCAGACTGCAGCGTTCTGAGAAACATCTTTGTGATGTTTGTATTCAGGACACAGAGATGAACATTCCCTATCATAGAGCAGGTTGGAATCACTCCTTTTGTAGTATCTGGAAGTGGACATTTGGAGCGCTTTCAGGCCTATGTTGAAAAAGGAAATATCTTCCCATAACAACTAGACACAAGCATTCTCAGAAACTTGTTTGTGATGTGTGCCCTCTACTGACAGAGTTGAACCTTTCTTTTCATAGAGCAGTTTTGAAACACTCTTTTTGTAGAATCTGCAAGAGGATATTTGCATAGCTTTGAGGATTTCGTGGGAAACGGGATTGTCTTCAGGTAAAATCTAGACAGAAGCATTCTCAGAAACTACTTTGGGATGTTTGCATTCAAGTCACAGAGTAGAACATTCCCTTTGGTAGAGCAGGTTTGAAACCCTCTTTTTGTAGTATCTGGAAGTGGACATTTGGAGCGCTTTCAGGCCCATGTTGGAAAGGGAAATATCTTCCCGTAACAACTAGGCAGAAGCATTCTCAGAAACTTATTTGAGATGTGTGTACTCAACTAAGAGAATTGAACCACCGTTTTGAAGGAGCAGTTTTGAAACACTCTTTTTCTGGAATCTGCAAGAGTATATTTGCCTAGCCTTGAGAATTTCGTTGGAAACGGGATTGTCTTCAGATAAAATCTAGACAGAAGCATTCTCAGAAACTTCTTTGGGATGTTTGCATTCAAGTCACAGAGTAGAACATTCCCTTTGGTAGAGCAGGTTTGAAACACTCTTTTTGTAGTATCTGGAAGTGGACATTTGGAGCGCTTTCAGGCTTATGTTGGAAAGGGAAATATCTTCCCTTAACAACTAGGCAGAAGCATTCTCAGAAACTTATTTGAGATGTGTGTACTCAACTAAGAGAATTGAACCACCGTTTTGAAGGAGCAGTTGTGAAACACTCTTTTTCTGGAATCTGCTAGAGTATATTTGCCTAGCTTTGAGGATTTCGTTGGAAACGGGATTGTCTTCAGCTCAAATCTAGACAGAAGCATTCTCAGAAACTTCTTTGGGATGTTTGCATTCAAGTCACAGAGTAGAACATTCCCTTTGGTAGAGCAGGTTTGAAACACTCTTTTTTTAGTATATGGAAGTGGACATTTGGAGCGCTTTCAGGCCTACGTTGGAAAAGGAAATATCTTCCCATAACAACTAGACAGAAGCATTCTCAGAAACTAGTTTCTGATGTGTGTCCTCAACTAACACAGTTGAACATTTCTTTAGACAGAGCAGATTTGAAACACTCTCTTTGTGGAATCTGCAAGTGGATATTTGGCTAGATTTGAGGATTTCGTTGGAAACGGGATTACATATAAAAAGCAGACAGCAGCATTCTCAGAAACTTCTTTGTGATGATTGCATTCAAGTCACAGAATTGAACATTCCCTTTCACAGAGCAGGTTTGAAACACTCTTTTTGTAGTGTGTGTAAGTGGACATTTGGAGCGCTTTCCGGCCTAAGGTGAACAAGGAAATATCTTCCTATAAAAACTAGACAGAAGTATTCTCAGAAACTTACTCGTGATGTGTGTCCTCAACTAAAGGAGTAGAACCTTTCTTTTCATAGAGAAGTTTTGAAACGCTCTTTTTGTGGAATCTGCAAGTGGATATTTGGCTAGTTTTGAGGATTTCGTTGGAAGCGGGAATTCATACAAATTGCAGACTGCAGCGTTCTGAGAAACATCTTTGTGATGTTTGTATTCAGGACACAGAGTTGAACGTTCCCTATCATAGAGCAGGTTTGAATCACTCCTTTTGTAGTATCTGGAAGTGGACATTTGGAGCGCTTTCCGGCCTCAGGTGAAAAAGGAAATATCTTCCCATAAAAACTAGACAGAAGCATTCTCAGAAACTTACTCGTGATGTGTGTCCTCAACTAAAGGGGTAGAACCTTTCTTTTGATAGAGCAGTTTTGAAACACTCTTTTTGTAGAATCTGCAAGTGGATATTTCGATAGCTTTGTGGATTTCGTTGGAAACGGGAATATCTTCATATAAAATCTAGAGAGAAGCGTTCTGAGAAACTGCTTTCTGATGTTTGCATTCAAGTCAAAAGTTGAACACTCCCTTTCATAGAGCAGTCCTGAAACACTCCTTTTGTAGTATCTGGAACTGGACTTTTGGAGCGCTTTCAGGGCTAAGGTGAAAAAGGAAATATCTTCCCATAAAAACTGGACAGAAGCATTCTCAGAAACTTGTTTATGCTGTATCTACTCAACTAACAAAGTTGAACCTTTCTTTTGATAGAGCAGTTTTGAAATGCTCTTTTTGTGGAATCTGCAAGTGGATATTTGGCTAGTTTTGAGGATTTCGTTGGAAGCGGGAATTCATACAAATTGCAGACTGCAGCGTTCTGAGAAACATCTTTGTGATGTTTGTATTCAGGACAGAGTGTTGAACATTCCCTATCATAGAGCAGGTTGGAATCACTCCTTTTGTAGTATCTGGAAGTGGACATTTGGAGCGCTTTCAGGCCTATTTTGGAAAGGGAAATATCTTCCCATAACAACTAGACACAAGCATTCTCAGAAACTTGTTTGTGATGTGTGCCCTCTACTGACAGAGTTGAACCTTTCTTTTCATAGAGCAGTTTTGAAACACTCTTTTTGTAGAATCTGCAAGAGGATATTTGCATAGCTTTGAGGATTTCGTGGGAAACGGGATTGTCTTCAGGTAAAATCTAGACAGAAGCATTCTCAGAAACTTCTTTGGGATGTTTGCATTCAAGTCACAGAGTAGAACATTCCCTTTGGTAGAGCAGGTTTGAAACACTCTTTTTGTAGTATCTGGAAGTGGACATTTGGAGCGCTTTCAGGCCTATGTTGGAAAGGGAAATATCTTCCGGTAACAACTAGGCAGAAGCATTCTCAGAAACTTATTTGAGATGTGTGTACTCAACTAAGAGAATTGAACCACCGTTTTGAAGGAGCAGTTTTGAAACACTCTTTTTCTGGAATCTGCAAGAGGATATTTGCCTAGCTTTGAGGATTTCGTTGGAAACGGGATTGTGTTCAGATCAAATCTAGACAGAAGCATTCTCAGAAACTTCTTTGGGATGTTTGCATTCAAGTCACAGAGTAGAACATTCCCTTTGGTAGAGCAGGTGTGAAACACTCTTTTTTTAGTATATGGAAGTGGACATTTGGAGCGCTTTCAGGCCTACGTTGGAAAAGGAAATATCTTCCCATAACAACTAGACAGAAGCATTCTCAGAAACTAGTTTCTGATGTGTGTCCTCAACTAACACAGTTGAACATTTCTTTAGACAGAACAGTTTTGAAACACTCTTTTTGTGGAATCTGCAAGTGGCTATTTGGCTAGATTTGAGGATTTCGTTGGAAACGGGATTACATATAAAAAGCAGACAGCAGCATTCTCAGAAAGTTCTTTGTGATGATTGCATTCAAGTCACAGAATTGAACATTCCCTTTCACAGAGCAGGTTTGAAACACTTTTTTGTAGTGTGTGTAAGTGGACATTTGGAGCACTTTCCGGCCTAAGGTGAGAAAGGAAATATCTTCCCATAAAAACTAGACAGAAGCATTCTCAGAAACTTACTCGTGATGTGTGTCCTCAACTAAAGGAGTAGAACCTTTCTTTCATAGAGAAGTTTTGAAACGCTCTTTTTGTGGAATCTGCAAGTGGATATTTGGCTAGTTTGGAGGATTTCGTTGGAAGCGGGAATTCATACAAATTGCAGACTGCAGCGTTCTGAGAAACATCTTTGTGATGTTTGTATTCAGGACACAGAGTTGAACATTCCCTATCATAGAGCAGGTTTGAATCACTCCTTTTGTAGTATCTGGAAGTGGACATTTGGAGCGCTTTCAGGCCTATGTTGGAAAAGGAAATATCTTCCCATAACAACTAGACAGAAGCATTCTCAGAAACTTATTTGAGATGTGTGTACTCAACTAAGAGAATTGAACCACCGTTTTGAAGGAGCAGTTTTGAAACACTCTTTTTCTGGAATCTGCAAGTGGATATTTGGCTAGCTTTGGGGATTTCGCTGGAAGCGGGAATACATATAAAAAGCACACAGCAGCGTTCTGAGAAACTGCTTTCTGATGTTTGCATTCAAGTCAAAAGTTGAACACTCCCTTTCATAGAGCAGTCTTGAAACACCCCTTTTGTAGTATCTGGAACTGGACTTTTGGAGCGATTTCAGGGCTAAGGTGAAAAAGGAAATATCTTCCCATAAAAACTGGACAGAAGCATTCTCAGAAACTTGGTTATGCTGTATCTACTCAACTAACAAAGTTGAACCTTTCTTTTGATAGAGCAGTTTTGAAATGGTCTTTTTGTGGAATCTGCAAGTGGATATTTGGCTAGTTTTGAGGATTTCGTTGGAAGCGGGAATTCATACAAATTGCAGACTGCAGCGTTCTGAGAAACATCCTTGTGATGTTTGTATTCAGGACACAGAGATGAACATTCCCTATCATAGAGCAGGTTGGAATCACTCCTTTTGTAGTATCTGGAAGTGGACATTTGGAGCGCTTTCAGGCCTATGTTGAAAAAGGAAATATCTTCCCATAACAACTAGACACAAGCATTCTCAGAAACTTGTTTGTGATGTGTGCCCTCTACTGACAGAGTTGAACCTTTCTTTTCATAGAGCAGTTTTGAAACACTCTTTTTGTAGAATCTGCAAGAGGATATTTGCATAGCTTTGAGGATTTCGTGGGAAACGGGATTGTCTTCAGGTAAAATCTAGACAGAAGCATTCTCAGAAACTTCTTTGGGATGTTTGCATTCAAGTCACAGAGTAGAACATTCCCTTTGGTAGAGCAGGTTTGAAACACTCTTTTTGTAGTATCTGGAAGTGGACATTTGGAGCGCTTTCAGGCCCATGTTGGAAAGGGAAATATCTTCCCGTAACAACTAGGCAGAAGCATTCTCAGAAACTTATTTGAGATGTGTGTACTCAACTAAGAGAATTGAACCACCGTTTTGAAGGAGCAGTTTTGAAACACTCTTTTTCTGGAATCTGCAAGAGTATATTTGCCTAGCCTTGAGGATTTCGTTGGAAACGGGATTGTCTTCAGAGAAAATCTAGACAGAAGCATTCTCAGAAACTTCTTTGGGATGTTTGCATTCAAGTCACAGAGTAGAACATTCCCTTTGGTAGAGCAGGTTTGAAACACTCTTTTTTTAGTATATGGAAGTGGACATTTGGAGCGCTTTCAGGCCTACGTTGGAAAAGGAAATATCTTCCCATAACAACTAGACAGATAAGCATTCTCAGAAACTAGTTTCTGATGTGTGTCCTCAACTAACACAGTTGAACATTTCTATAGACAGAACAGTTTTGAAACACTCTTTTTGTGGAATCTGCAAGTGGCTATTTGGCTAGATTTGAGGATTTCGTTGGAAACGGGATTACATATAAAAAGCAGTCAGCAGCATTCTCAGAAAGTTCTTTGTGATGATTGCATTCAAGTCACAGAATTGAACATTCCCTTTCACAGAGCAGGTTTGAAACACTCTTTTTGTAGTGTGTGTAAGTGGACATTTGGAACCCTTACCGGCCTAAGGTGAAAAAGGAAATATCTTCCCATAAAAACTAGACAGAAGCATTCTCAGAAACTTACTCGTGATGTGTGCCCTCAACTAAAGGAGTAGAACCTTTCTTTTCATAGAGAAGTTTTGAAACGCTCTTTTTGTGGAATCTGCAAGTGGATATTTGGCTAGTTTTGAGGATTTCGTTGGAAGCGGGAATTCATACAAATTGCAGACTGCAGCGTTCTGAGAAACATCTTTGTGATGTTTGTATTCAGGACACAGATTTGAACATTCCCTATCATAGAGCAGGTTTGAATCACTCCTTTTGTAGTATCTGGAAGTGGACATTTGGAGCGCTTTCAGGCCTATGTTGGAAAAGGAAATATCTTCCCATAACAACTAGACAGAAGCATTCTCAGAAACTTATTTGAGATGTGTGTACTCAACTAAGAGAATTGAACCACCGTTTTGAAGGAGCAGTTTTGAAACACTCTTTTTCTGGAATCTGCAAGTGGATATTTGGCTAGCTTTGGGGATTTCGCTGGAAGCGGGAATACATATAAAAAGCACACAGCAGCGTTCTGAGAAACTGCTTTCTGATGTTTGCATTCAAGTCAAAAGTTGAACACTCCCTTTCATAGAGCAGTCTTGAAACACCCCTTTTGTAGTATCTGGAACTGGACTTTTGGAGCGATTTCAGGGCTAAGGTGAAAAAGGAAATATCTTCCCATAAAAACTGGACAGAAGCATTCTCAGAAACTTGTTTATGCTGTATCTACTCAACTAACAAAGTTGAACCTTTCTTTTGATAGAGCAGTTTTGAAATGGTCTTTTTGTGGAATCTGCAAGTGGATATTTGGCTAGTTTTGAGGATTTCGTTGGAAGCGGGAATTCATACAAATTGCAGACTGCAGCGTTCTGAGAAACATCTTTGTGATGTTTGTATTCAGGACACAGAGTTGAACATTCCCTATCATAGAGCAGGTTGGAATCACTCCTTTTGTAGTATCTGGAAGTGGACATTTGGAGCGCTTTCAGGCCTATTTTGGAAAGGGAAATATCTTCCCGTAACAACTATGCAGAAGCATTCTCAGAAACTTGTTTGTGATGTGTGCCCTCTACTGACAGAGTTGAACCTTTCTTTTCATAGAGCAGTTTTGAAACACTCTTTTTGTAGAATCTGCAAGAGGATATTTGCATAGCTTTGAGGATTTCGTGGGAAACGGGATTGTCTTCAGGTAAAATCTAGACAGAAGCATTCTCAGAAACTTCTTTGGGATGTTTGCATTCATGTCACAGAGTAGAACATTCCCTTTGGTAGAGCAGGTTTGAAACACTCTTTTTGTAGTATCTGGAAGTGGACATTTGGAGCGCTTTCAGGCCCATGTTGGAAAGGGAAATATCTTCCCGTAACAACTAGGCAGAAGCATTCTCAGAAACTTATTTGAGATGTGTGTACTCAACTAAGAGAATTGAACCACCGTTTTGAAGGAGCAGTTTTGAAACACTCTTTTTCTGGAATCTGCTAGAGTATATTTGCCTAGCTTTGAGGATTTCGTTGGAAACGGGATTGTCTTCAGCTAAAATCTAGACAGAAGCATTCTCAGAAACTTCTTTGGGATGTTTCTATTCAAGTCACAGAGTAGAACATTCCCTTTGGTAGAGCAGGTTTGAAACACTCTTTTTGTAGTATCTGGAAGTGGACATTTGGAGCGCTTTCAGGCCTATGTTGGAAAGGGAAATATCTTCCCGTAACAACTAGGCAGAAGCATTCTCAGAAACTTATTTGAGATGGGTGTACTCAACTAAGAGAATTGAACCACCCTTTTCAAGGAGCAGTTTTGAAACACTCTTTTTCTGGAATCTGCAAGAGTATATTTGCCTAGCTTTGAGGATTTCGTTGGAAACGGGATTGTCTTCAGATAAAATCTAGACAGAAGCATTCTCAGAAACTTCTTTGGGTGTTTGCATTCAATTCATAGAGTAGAACATTCCCTTTGTTAGAGCAGGTTTGAAACACTCTTTTTTTAGTATATGGAAGTGGACATTTGGAGCGCTTTCAGGCCTACGTTGGAAAAGGAAATATCTTCCCATAACAACTAGACAGAAGCATTCTCAGAAACTAGTTTCTGATGTGTGTCCTCAACTAACACAGTTGAACATTTCTTTAGACAGAACAGTTTTGAAACACTCTTTTTGTGGAATCTGCAAGTGGCTATTTGGCTAGATTTGAGGATTTCTTTGGAAACGGGATTACATATAAAAAGCTGACAGCAGCATTCTCAGAAAGTTCTTTGTGATGATTGCATTCAAGTCACAGAATTGAACATTCCCTTTCACAGAGCAGGTTTGAAACCCTCTTTTTGTAGTGTGTGTAAGTGGACATTTGGAGCGCTTTCTGGCCTAAGGTGAAAAAGGAAATATCTTCCCATAAAAACTAGACAGAAGCATTCTCAGAAACTTACTCTTGATGTGTGTCCTCAACTAAAGGAGTAGAACCTTTCTTTTCATAGAGAAGTTTTGAAACGCTCTTTTTGTGGAATCTGCAAGTGGATATTTGCCTAGTTTTGAGGATTTCGTTGGAAGCGGGAATTCATACAAATTGCAGACTGCAGCGTTCTGAGAAACATATTTGTGATGTTTGTATTCAGGACACAGAGATGAACATTCCCTATCATAGAGCAGGTTGGAATCACTCCTTTTGTAGTATCTGGAAGTGGACATTTGGAGCGCTTTCAGGCCTATGTTGAAAAAGGAAATATCTTCCCATAACAACTAGACACAAGCATTCTCAGAAACTTGTTTGTGATGTGTGCCCTCTACTGACAGAGTTGAACCTTTCTTTTCATAGAGCAGTTTTGAAACACTCTTTTTGTAGAATCTGCAAAAGGATATTTGCATAGCTTTGAGGATTTCGTGGGAAACGGGATTGTCTTCAGGTAAAATCTAGACAGAAGCATTCTCAGAAACTTCTCTGGGATGTTTGCATTCAAGTCACAGAGTAGAACATTCCCTTTGGTAGAGCAGGTTTGAAACACTCTTTTTGTAGTATCTGGAAGTGGACATTTGGAGCGCTTTCAGGCCCATGTTGGAAAGGGAAATATCTTCCCGTAACAACTAGGCAGAAGCATTCTCAGAAACATATTTGAGATGTGTGTACTCAACTAAGAGAATTGAACCACCGTTTCGAAGGAGCAGTTTTGAAACACCCTTTTTCTGGAATCTGCAAGAGTATATTTGCCTAGCCTTGAGGATTTCGTTGGAAACGGGATTGTCTTCAGATCAAATCTAGACAGAAGCATTCTCAGAAACTTCTTTGGGATGTTTGCATTCAAGTCACAGAGTAGAACATTCCCTTTGGCAGAGCAGGTTTGAAACACTCTTTTTGTAGTATCTGGAAGTGGACATTTGGAGCGCTTTCAGTCCTATGTTGGAAAGGGAAATATCTTCCCTTAACAACTAGGCAGAAGCATTCTCAGAAACTTATTTGAGATGTGTGTACTCAACTAAGAGAATTGAACCACCGTTTTGAAGGAGCAGTTTTGAAACACTCTTTTTCTGGAATCTGCAAGAGTATATTTGCCTAGCCTTGAGGATTTCGTTGGAAACGGGATTGTCTTCAGATAAAATCTAGACAGAAGCATTCTCAGAAACTTCTTTGGGATGTTTGTATTCAAGTCACAGAGTAGAACATTCCCTTTGGTAGAGCAGGTTTGAAACACTCTTTTTTTAGTATATGGAAGTGGACATTTTGATCGCTTTCAGGCCTACGTTGGAAAGGGAAATATCTTCCCATAACAACTAGACAGAAGCATTCTCAGAAACTAGTTTCTGATGTGTGTCCTCAACTAACACAGTTGAACATTTCTATAGACAGAACAGTTTTGAAACACTCTTTTTGTGGAATCTGCAAGTGGCTATTTGGCTAGATTTGAGGATTTCGTTGGAAACGGGATTACATATAAAAAGCAGTCAGCAGCATTCTCAGAAAGTTCTTTGTGATGATTGCATTCAAGTCACAGAATTGAACATTCCCTTTCACAGAGCAGGTTTGAAACACTCTTTTTGTAGTGTGTGTAAGTGGACATTTGGAACCCTTACCGGCCTAAGGTGAAAAAGGAAATATCTTCCCATAAAAACTAGACAGAAGCATTCTCAGAAACTTACTCGTGATGTGTGTCCTCAACTAAAGGAGTAGAACCTTTCTTTTCATAGAGAAGTTTTGAAACGCTCTTTTTGTGGAATCTGCAAGTGGATATTTGGCTAGTTTGGAGGATTTCGTTGGAAGCGGGAATTCATACAAATTGCAGACTGCAGCGTTCTGAGAAACATCTTTGTGATGTTTGTATTCAGGACACAGAGTTGAACATTCCCTATCATAGAGCAGGTTTGAATCACTCCTTTTGTAGTATCTGGAAGTGGACATTTGGAGCGCTTTCAGGCCTATGTTGGAAAAGGAAATATCTTCCCATAACAACTAGACAGAAGCATTCTCAGAAACTTATTTGAGATGTGTGTACTCAACTAAGAGAATTGAACCACCGTTTTGAAGGAGCAGTTTTGAAACACTCTTTTTCTGGAATCTGCAAGTGGATATTTGGCTAGCTTTGGGGATTTCGCTGGAAGCGGGAATACATATAAAAAGCACACAGCAGCGTTCTGAGAAACTGCTTTCTGATGTTTGCATTCAAGTCAAAAGTTGAACACTCCCTTTCATAGAGCAGTCTTGAAACACCCCTTTTGTAGTATCTGGAACTGGACTTTTGGAGCGATTTCAGGGCTAAGGTGAAAAAGGAAATATCTTCCCATAAAAACTGGACAGAAGCATTCTCAGAAACTTGGTTATGCTGTATCTACTCAACTAACAAAGTTGAACCTTTCTTTTGATAGAGCAGTTTTGAAATGGTCTTTTTGTGGAATCTGCAAGTGGATATTTGGCTAGTTTTGAGGATTTCGTTGGAAGCGGGAATTCATACAAATTGCAGACTGCAGCGTTCTGAGAAACATCTTTGTGATGTTTGTATTCAGGACACAGAGTTGAACATTCCCTATCATAGAGCAGGTTGGAATCACTCCTTTTGTAGTATCTGGAAGTGGACATTTGGAGCGCTTTCAGGCCTATTTTGGAAAGGGAAATATCTTCCCGTAACAACTATGCAGAAGCATTCTCAGAAACTTGTTTGTGATGTGTGCCCTCTACTGACAGAGTTGAACCTTTCTTTTCATAGAGCAGTTTTGAAACACTCTTTTTGTAGAATCTGCAAGAGGATATTTGCATAGCTTTGAGGATTTCGTGGGAAACGGGATTGTCTTCAGGTAAAATCTAGACAGAAGCATTCTCAGAAACTTCTTTGGGATGTTTGCATTCAAGTCACAGAGTAGAACATTCCCTTTGGTAGAGCAGGTTTGAAACACTCTTTTTGTAGTATCTGGAAGTGGACATTTGGAGCGCTTTGAGGCCCATGTTGGAAAGGGAAATATCTTCCCGTAACAACTAGGCAGAAGCATTCTCAGAAACTTATTTGAGATGTGTGTACTCAACTAAGAGAAATGAACCACCGTTTTGAAGGAGCAGTTTTGAAACACTCTTTTTCTGGAATCTGCAAGAGTATATTTGCCTAGCCTTGAGGATTTCGTTGGAAACGGGATTGTCTTCAGATAAAATCTAGACAGAAGCATTCTCAGAAACTTCTTTGGGATGTTTGCATTCAAGTCACAGAGTAGAACATTCCCTTCGGTAGAGCAGGTTTGAAACACTCTTTTTTTAGTATATGGAAGTGGACATTTGGAGCGCTTTCAGGCCTACGTTGGAAAAGGAAATATCTTCCCATAACAACTAGACAGAAGCATTCTCAGAAACTAGTTTCTGATGTGTGTCCTCAACTAACACAGTTGAACTTTTCTTTAGACAGAACAGTTTTGAAACACTCTTTTTGTGGAATCTGCAAGTGGATATTGGGCTAGATTTGAGGATTTCGTTGGAAACGGGATTACATATAAAAAACAGTCAGCAGCATTCTCAGAAAGTTCTTTGTGATGATTGCATTCAAGTCACAGAATTGAACATTCCCTTTCACAGAGCAGGTTTGAAACACTCTTTTTGTAGTGTGTGTAAGTGGACATTTGGAGCGCTTTCCGGCCTAAGGTGAAAAAGGACATATCTTCCCATAAAAACTAGACAGAAGCATTCTCAGAAACTTACTCGTGATGTGTGTCCTCAACTAAAGGAGTAGAACCTTTCTATTCATAGAGAAGTTTTGAAACGCTCTTTTTGTGGAATCTCCAAGTGGATATTTGGCTAGTTTTGAGGATTTCGTTGGAAGCGGGAATTCATACAAATTGCAGACTGCAGCGTTCTGAGAAACATCTTTGTGATGTTTGTATTCAGGACACAGAGATGAACATTCCCTATCATAGAGCAGGTTGGAATCACTCCTTTTGTAGTATCTGGAAGTGGACATTTGGAGCGCTTTCAGGCCTATGTTGAAAAAGGAAATATCTTCCCATAACAACTAGACACAAGCATTCTCAGAAACTTGTTTGTGATGTGTGCCCTCTACTGACAGAGTTGAACCTTTCTTTTCATAGAGCAGTTTTGAAACACTCTTTTTGTAGAATCTGCAAGAGGATATTTGCATAGCTTTGAGGATTTCGTGGGAAACGGGATTGTCTTCAGGTAAAATCTAGACAGAAGCATTCTCAGAAACTTCTTTGGGATGTTTGCATTCAAGTCACAGAGTAGAACATTCCCTTTGGTAGAGCAGGTTTGAAACCCTCTTTTTGTAGTATCTGGAAGTGGACATTTGGAGCGCTTTCAGGCCCATGTTGGAAAGGGAAATATCTTCCCGTAACAACGAGGCAGAAGCATTCTCAGAAACTTATTTGAGATGTGTGTACTCAACTAAGAGAATTGAACCACCGTTTTGAAGGAGCAGTTTTGAAACCCTCTTTTTCTGGAATCTGCAAGAGTATATTTGCCTAGCCTTGAGGATTTCGTTGGAAACGGGATTGTCTTCAGATAAAATCTAGACAGAAGCATTCTCAGAAACTTCTTTGGGATGTTTGCATTCAAGTCACAGAGTAGAACATTCCCTTTGGTAGAGCAGGTTTGAAACACTCTTTTTTTAGTATATGGAAGTGGACATTTGGAGCGCTTTCAGGCCTACGTTGGAAAAGGAAATATCTTCCCATAACAACTAGACAGAAGCATTCTCAGAAACTAGTTTCTGATGTGTGTCCTCAACTAACACAGTTGAACTTTTCTTTAGACAGAACAGTTTTGAAACACTCTTTTTGTGGAATCTGCAAGTGGATATTTGGCTAGATTTGAGGATTTCGTTGGAAACGGGATTACATATAAAAAGCAGACAGCAGCATTCTCAGAAAGTTCTTTGTGATGATTGCATTCAAGTCACAGAATTGAACATTGCCTTTCACAAAGCAGGTTTGAAACACTCTTTTTGTAGTGTGTGTAAGTGGACATTTGGAGCGCTTTCCGGCCTAAGGTGAAAAAGGAAATATCTTCCCATAAAAACTAGACAGAAGCATTCTCAGAAACTTACTCGTGATGTGTGTCCTCAACTAAAGGAGTAGAACCTTTCTATTCGTAGAGAAGCTTTGAAATGCTCTTTTTGTGGAATCTCCAAGTGGATATTTGGCTAGTTTTGAGGATTTCGTTGGAAGCGGGAATTCATACAAATTGCAGACTGGCAGCGTTCTGAGAAACATCTTTGTGATGTTTGTATTCAGGACACAGAGAGGAACATTCCCTATCATAGAGCAGGTTGGAATCACTCCTTTTGTAGTATCTGGAAGTGGACATTTGGAGCGCTTTCAGGCCTATGTTGAAAAAGGAAATATCTTCCCATAACAACTAGACACAAGCATTCTCAGAAACTTGTTTGTGATGTGTGCCCTCTACTGACAGAGTTGAACCTTTCTTTTCATAGAGCAGTTTTGAAACACTCTTTTTGTAGAATCTGCAAGAGGATATTTGCATAGCTTTGAGGATTTCGTGGGAAACGGGATTGTCTTCAGGTAAAATCTAGACAGAAGCATTCTCAGAAACTTCTTTGGGATGTTTGCATTCAAGTCACAGAGTAGAACATTCCCTTTGGTAGAGCAGGTTTGAAACCCTCTTTTTGTAGTATCTGGAAGTGGACATTTGGAGCGCTTTCAGGCCCATGTTGGAAAG
The DNA here is from genome assembly GCF_000001405.40 of Homo sapiens. Classification (NCBI taxonomy): domain Eukaryota; kingdom Metazoa; phylum Chordata; class Mammalia; order Primates; family Hominidae; genus Homo; species Homo sapiens. The sequence goes on from NC_000018.10 coordinate 16,454,861, forward strand.
GGAAATATCTTCCCGTAACAACTAGGCAGAAGCATTCTCAGAAACTTATTTGAGATGTGTGTACTCAACTAAGAGAATTGAACCACCGTTTTGAAGGAGCAGTTTTGAAACACTCTTTTTCTGGAATCTGCAAGAGTATATTTGCCTAGCCTTGAGGATTTCGTTGGAAACGGGATTGTCTTCAGATAAAATCTAGACAGAAGCATTCTCAGAAACTTCTTTGGGATGTTTGCATTCAAGTCACAGAGTAGAACATTCCCTTTGGTAGAGCAGGTTTGAAACACTCTTTTTTTAGTATATGGAAGTGGACATTTGGAGCGCTTTCAGGCCTACGTTGGAAAAGGAAATATCTTCCCATAACAACTAGACAGAAGCATTCTCAGAAACTAGTTTCTGATGTGTGTCCTCAACTAACACAGTTGTACATTTCTTTAGACAGAACAGTTTTGAAACACTCTTTTTGTGGAATCTGCAAGTGGATACTGGGCTAGATTTGAGGATTTCGTTGGAAACGGGATTACATATAAAAAGCAGTCAGCAGCATTCTCAGAAAGTTCTTTGTGATGATTGCATTCAAGTCACAGAATTGAACATTCCCTTTCACAGAGCAGGTTTGAAACACTCTTTTTGTAGTGTGTGTAAGTGGACATTTGGAGCGCTTTCCGGCCTAAGGTGAAAAAGGACATATCTTCCCATAAAAACTAGACAGAAGCATTCTCAGAAACTTACTCGTGATGTGTGTCCTCAACTAAAGGAGTGGAACCTTTCTATTCATGGAGAAGTTTTGAAACGCTCTTTTTGTGGAATCTCCAAGTGGATATTTGGCTAGTTTTGAGGATTTCGTTGGAAGCGGGAATTCATACAAATTGCAGACTGCAGCGTTCTGAGAAACATCTTTGTGATGTTTGTATTCAAGACACAGAGATGAACATTCCCTATCATAGAGCATGTTGGAATCACTCCTTTTGTAGTATCTGGAAGTGGACATTTGGAGCGCTTTCAGGCCTATGTTGAAAAAGGAAATATCTTCCCATAACAACTAGACACAAGCATTCTCAGAAACTTGTTTGTGATGTGTGCCCTCTACTGACAGAGTTGAACCTTTCTTTTCATAGAGCAGTTTTGAAACACTCTTTTTGTAGAATCCGCAAGAGGATATTTGCATAGCTTTGAGGATTTCGTGGGAAACGGGATTGTCTTCAGGTAAAATCTAGACAGAAGCATTCTCAGAAACTTCTTTGGGATGTTTGCATTCAAGTCACAGAGTAGAACATTCCCTTTGGTAGAGCAGGTTTGAAACACTCTTTTTGTAGTATCTGGAAGTGGACATTTGGAGCGCTTTCAGGCCTATGTTGGAAAGGGAAATATCTTCCCGTAACAACTAGGCAGAAGCATTCTCAGAAACTTATTTGAGATGTGTGTACTCAACGAAGAGAATTGAACCACCGTTTTGAAGGAGCAGTTTTGAAACCCTCTTTTTCTGGAATCTGAAAGAGTATATTTGCCTAGCCTTGAGGATTTCGTTGGAAACGGGATTGTCTTCAGATAAAATCTAGACAGAAGCATTCTCAGAAACTTCTTTGGGATGTTTGCATTCAAGTCACAGAGTAGAACATTCCCTTTGGTAGAGCAGGTTTGAAACACTCTTTTTGTAGTATCTGGAAGTGGACATTTGGAGCGCTTTCAGGCCTATGTTGGAAAGGGAAATATCTTCCCGTAACAACTAGGCAGAAGCATTCTCAGAAACTTATTTGAGATGTGTGTACTCAACTAAGAGAATTGAACCACAGTTTTGAAGGAGCAGTTTTGAAACACTCTTTTTCTGGAATCTGCAAGAGGATATTTGCCTAGTCTTGAGGATTTCGTTGGAATCGGGATTGTCTTCAGATCAAATCTAGACAGAAGCATTCTCAGAAACTTCTTTGGGATGTTTGCATTCAAGTCACAGAGTAGAACATTCCCTTTGGTAGAGCAGGTTTGAAACACTCTTTTTTTAGTATATGGAAGTGGACATTTGGAGCGCTTTCAGGCCTACTTTGGAAAAGGAAATATCTTCCCATAACAACTAGACAGAAGCATTCTCAGAAACTAGTTTCTGATGTGTGTCCTCAACTAACACAGTTGTACATTTCTTTAGACAGAACACTTTTGAAACACTCTTTTTGTGGAATCTGCAAGTGGATATTGGGCTAGATTTGAGGATTTCGTTGGAAACGGGATTACATATAAAAAGCAGTCAGCAGCATTCTCAGAAAGTTCTTTGTGATGATTGCATTCAAGTCACAGAATTGAACATTCCCTTTCACAGAGGAGGTTTGAAACACTCTTTTTGTAGTGTGTGTAAGTGGACATTTGGAGCGCTTTCTGGCCTAAGGTGAAAAAGGACATATCTTCCCATAAAAACTAGACAGAAGCATTCTCAGAAACTTACTCGTGATGTGTGTCCTCAACTAAAGGAGTAGAACCTTTCTATTCATAGAGAAGTTTTGAAACGCTCTTTTTGTGGAATCTCCAAGTGGATATTTGGCTAGTTTTGAGGATTTCGTTGGAAGCGGGAATTCATACAAATTGCAGACTGCAGCGTTCTGAGAAACATCTTTGTGATGTTTGTATTAAAGACACAGAGATGAACATTCCCTATCATAGAGCAGGTTGGAATCACTCCTTTTGTAGTATCTGGAAGTGGACATTTGGAGCGCTTTCAGGCCTATGTTGAAAAAGGAAATATCTTCCCATAACAACTAGACACAAGCATTCTCAGAAACTTGTTTGTGATGTGTGCCCTCTACTGACAGAGTTGAACCTTTCTTTTCATAGAGCAGTTTTGAAACACTCTTTTTGTAGAATCCGCAAGAGGATATTTGCATAGCTTTGAGGATTTCGTGGGAAACGGGATTGTCTTCAGGTAAAATCTAGACCGAAGCATTCTCAGAAACTTCTTTGGGATGTTTGCATTCAAGTCACAGAGTAGAACATTCCCTTTGGTAGAGCAGGTTTGAAACACTCTTTTTGTAGTATCTGGAAGTGGACATTTGGAGCGCTTTCAGGCCCATGTTGGAAAGGGAAATATCTTCCCGTAACAACTAGGCAGAAGCATTCTCAGAAACTTATTTGAGATGTGTGTACTCAACTAAGAGAATTGAACCACCGTTTTGAAGGAGCAGTTTTGAAACACTCTTTTTCTGGAATCTGCAAGAGTATATTTGCCTAGCCTTGAGGATTTCGTTGGAAACGGGATTGTCTTCAGAGAAAATCTAGACAGAAGCATTCTCAGAAACTTCTTTGGGATGTTTGCATTCAAGTCACAGAGTAGAACATTCCCTTTGGTAGAGCAGGTTTGAAACACTCTTTTTTTAGTATCTGGAAGTGGACATTTGGAGCGCTTTCAGGCCTACGTTGGAAAAGGAAATATCTTCCCATAACAACTAGACAGAAGCATTCTCAGAAACTAGTTTCTGATGTGTGTCCTCAACTAACACAGTTGAACATTTCTTTAGACAGAACAGTTTTGAAACACTCTTTTTGTGGAATCTGCAAGTGGCTATTTGGCTAGATTTGAGGATTTCGTTGGAAACGGGATTACATATAAAAAGCAGTCAGCAGCATTCTCAGAAAGTTCTTTGTGATGATTGCATTCAAGTCACAGAATTGAACATTCCCTTTCACAGAGCAGGTTTGAAACACTCTTTTTGTAGTGTGTGTAAGTGGACATTTGGAGCACTTACCGGCCTAAGGTGAAAAAGGAAATATCTTCCCATAAAAACTAGACAGAAGCATTCTCAGAAACTTACTCGTGATGTGTGTCCTCAACTAAAGGAGTAGAACCTTTCTTTTCATAGAGAAGTTTTGAAACGCTCTTTTTGTGGAATCTGCAAGTGGATATTTGGCTAGTTTTGAGGATTTCGTTGGAAGCGGGAATTCATACAAATTGCAGACTGGCAGCGTTCTGAGAAACATCTTTGTGATGTTTGTATTCAGGACACAGAGTTGAACATTCCCTATCATAGAGCAGGTTGGAATCACTCCTTTTGTAGTATCTGGAAGTGGACATTTGGAGCGCTTTCAGGCCCTATGTTGGAAAAGGAAATATCTTCCCATAACAACTAGACAGAAGCATTCTCAGAAACTTATTTGAGATGTGTGTACTCAACTAAGAGAATTGAACCACCGTTTTGAAGGAGCAGTTTTGAAACTCTCTTTTTCTGGAATCTGCAAGTGGATATTTGGCTAGCTTTGGGGATTTCGCTGGAAGCGGGAATACATATAAAAAGCACACAGCAGCGTTCTGAGAAACTGCTTTCTGATGTTTGCATTCAAGTCAAAAGTTGAACACTCCCTTTCATAGAGCAGTCTTGAAACACCCCTTTTGTAGTATCTGGAACTGGACTTTTGGAGCGATTTCAGGGCTAAGGTGAAAAAGGAAATATCTTCCCATAAAAACTGGACAGAAGCATTCTCAGAAACTTGTTTATGCTGTATCTACTCAACTAACAAAGTTGAACCTTTCTTTTGATAGAGCAGTTTTGAAATGGTCTTTTTGTGGAATCTGCAAGTGGATATTTGGCTAGTTTTGAGGATTTCGTTGGAAGCGGGAATTCATACAAATTGCAGACTGCAGCGTTCTGAGAAACATCTTTGTGATGTTTGCATTCAGGACAGAGAGTTGAACATTCCCTATCATAGAGCAGGTTGGAATCACTCCTTTTGTAGTATCTGGAAGTGGACATTTGGAGCGCTTTCAGGCCTATGTTGAAAAAGGAAATATCTTCCCATAACAACTAGACACAAGCATTCTCAGAAACTTGTTTGTGATGTGTGCCCTCTACTGACAGAGTTGAACCTTTCTTTTCATAGAGCAGTTTTGAAACACTCTTTTTGTAGAATCTGCAAGAGGATATTTGCATAGCTTTGAGGATTTCGTGGGAAACGGGATTGTCTTCAGGTAAAATCTAGACAGAAGCATTCTCAGAAACTTCTTTGGGATGTTTGCATTCAAGTCACAGAGTAGAACATTCCCTTTGGTAGAGCAGGTTTGAAACACTCTTTTTGTAGTATCTGGAAGTGGACATTTGGAGCGCTTTCAGGCCCATGTTGGAAAGGGAAATATCTTCCCGTAACAACTAGGCAGAAGCATTCTCAGAAACTTATTTGAGATGTGTGTACTCAACTAAGAGAATTGAACCACCGTTTTGAAGGAGCAGTTTTGAAACACTCTTTTTCTGGAATCTGCAAGAGTATATTTGCCTAGCCTTGAGGATTTCGTTGGAAACGGGATTGTCTTCAGAGAAAATCTAGACAGAAGCATTCTCAGAAACTTCTTTGGGATGTTTGCATTCAAGTCACAGAGTAGAACATTCCCTTTGGTAGAGCAGGTTTGAAACACTCTTTTTTTAGTATATGGAAGTGGACATTTGGATCGCTTTCAGGCCTACGTTGGAAAAGGAAATATCTTCCCATAACAACTAGACAGAAGCATTCTCAGAAACTAGTTTCTGATGTGTGTCCTCAACTAACACAGTTGAACATTTCTTTAGACAGAACAGTTTTGAAACACTCTTTTTGTGGAATCTGCAAGTGGCTATTTGGCTAGATTTGAGGATTTCGTTGGAAACGGGATTACATATAAAAAGCAGTCAGCAGCATTCTCAGAAAGTTCTTTGTGATGATTGCATTCAAGTCACAGAATTGAACATTCCCTTTCACAGAGCAGGTTTGAAACACTCTTTTTGTAGTGTGTGTAAGTGGACATTTGGAGCACTTACCGGCCTAAGGTGAAAAAGGAAATATCTTCCCATAAAAACTAGACAGAAGCATTCTCAGAAACTTACTCGTGATGTGTGTCCTCAACTAAAGGAGTAGAACCTTTCTTTTCATAGAGAAGTTTTGAAACGCTCTTTTTGTGGAATCTGCAAGTGGATATTTGGCTAGTTTTGAGGATTTCGTTGGAAGCGGGAATTCATACAAATTGCAGACTGCAGCGTTCTGAGAAACATCTTTGTGATGTTTGTATTCAGGACACAGAGATGAACATTCCCTATCATAGAGCAGTTTGGAATCACTCCTTTTGTAGTATCTGGAAGTGGACATTTGGAGCGCTTTCAGGCCTATGTTGAAAAAGGAAATATCTTCCCATAACAACTAGACACAAGCATTCTCAGAAACTTATTTGAGATGTGTGTACTCAACTAAGAGAATTGAACCACCGTTTTGAAGGAGCAGTTTTGAAACTCTCTTTTTCTGGAATCTGCAAGTGGATATTTGGCTAGCTTTGGGGATTTCGCTGGAAGCGGGAATACATATAAAAAGCACACAGCAGCGTTCTGAGAAACTGCTTTCTGATGTTTGCATTCAAGTCAAAAGTTGAACACTCCCTTTCATAGAGCAGTCCTGAAACACCCCTTTTGTAGTATCTGGAACTGGACTTTTGGAGCGATTTCAGGGCTAAGGTGAAAAAGGAAATATCTTCCCATAAAAACTGGACAGAAGCATTCTCAGAAACTTGTTTATGCTGTATCTACTCAACTAACAAAGTTGAACCTTTCTTTTGATAGAGCAGTTTTGAAATGGTCTTTTTGTGGAATCTGCAAGTGGATATTTGGCTAGTTTTGAGGATTTCGTTGGAAGCGGGAATTCATACAAATTGCAGACTGCAGCGTTCTGAGAAACATCTTTGTGATGTTTGTATTCAGGACACAGAGTTGAACATTCCCTATCATAGAGCAGGTTGGAATCACTCCTTTTGTAGTATCTGGAAGTGGACATTTGGAGCGCTTTCAGGCCTATTTTGGAAAGGGAAATATCTTCCCGTAACAACTATGCAGAAGCATTCTCAGAAACTTGTTTGTGATGTGTGCCCTCTAATGACAGAGTTGAACCTTTCTTTTCATAGAGCAGTTTTGAAACACTCTTTTTGTAGAATCTGCAAGAGGATATTTGCATAGCTTTGAGGATTTCGTGGGAAACGGGATTGTCTTCAGGTAAAATCTAGACAGAAGCATTCTCAGAAACTTCTTTGGGATGTTTGCATTCAAGTCACAGAGTAGAACATTCCCTTTGGTAGAGCAGGTTTGAAACCCTCTTTTTGTAGTATCTGGAAGTGGACATTTGGAGCGCTTTCAGGCCCATGTTGGAAAGGGAAATATCTTCCCGTAACAACTAGGCAGAAGCATTCTCAGAAACTTATTTGAGATGTGTGTACTCAACTAAGAGAATTGAACCACCGTTTTGAAGGAGCAGTTTTGAAACACTCTTTTTCTGGAATCTGCAAGAGTATATTTGCCTAGCCTTGAGGATTTCGTTGGAAACGGGGATTGTCTTCAGAGAAAATCTAGACAGAAGCATTCTCAGAAACTTCTTTGGGATGTTTGCATTCAAGTCACAGAGTAGAACATTCCCTTTGGTAGAGCAGGTTTGAAACACTCTTTTTTTAGTATATGGAAGTGGACATTTGGAGCGCTTTCAGGCCTACGTTGGAAAAGGAAATATCTTCCCATAACAACTAGACAGAAGCATTCTCAGGAACTAGTTTCTGATGTGTGTCCTCAACTAACACAGTTGAACTTTTCTTTAGACAGAACAGTTTTGAAACACTCTTTTTGTGGAATCTGCAAGTGGATATTTGGCTAGATTTGAGGATTTCGTTGGAAACGGGATTACATATAAAAAGCAGACAGCAGCATTCTCAGAAACTTCTTTGTGATGATTGCATTCAAGTCACAGAATTGAACATTCCCTTTCACAGAGCAGGTTTGAAACACTCTTTTTGTAGTGTGTGTAAGTGGACATTTGGAGCGCTTTCCGGCCTAAGGTGAACAAGGAAATATCTTCCCATAAAAACTAGACAGAAGCATTCTCAGAAACTTACTCGTGATGTGTGTCCTCAACTAAAGGAGTAGAACCTTTCTTTTCATAGAGAAGTTTTGAAACGCTCTTTTTGTGGACTCTGCAAGTGGATATTTGGCTAGTTTGGAGGATTTCGTTGGAAGCGGGAATTCATACAAATTGCATACTGCAGCGTTCTGAGAAACATCTTCGTGATGTTTGTATTCAGGACACAGAGTTGAACATTCCCTATCATAGAGCAGGTTGGAATCACTCCTTTTGTAGTATCTGGAAGTGGACATTTGGAGCGCTTTCAGGCCTATGTTGGAAAAGGAAATATCTTCCTATAACAACTAGACAGAAGCATTCTCAGAAACTTATTTGAGATGTGTGTACTCAACTAAGAGAATTGAACCACCGTTTTGAAGGAGCAGTTTTGAAACACTCTTTTTCTGGAATCTGCAAGTGGATATTTGGCTAGCTTTGGGGATTTCGCTGGAAGCGGGAATACATATAAAAAGCACACAGCAGCGTTCTGAGAAACTGCTTTCTGATGTTTGCATTCAAGTCAAAAGTTGAACACTCCCTTTCATAGAGCAGTCCTGAAACACTCCTTTTGTAGTATCTGGAACTGGACTTTTGGAGCGCTTTCAGGGCTAAGGTGAAAAAGGAAATATCTTCCCATAAAAACTGGACAGAAGCATTCTCAGAAACTTGTTTATGCTGTATCTACTCAACTAACAAAGTTGAACCTTTCTTTTGATAGAGCAGTTTTGAAATGCTCTTTTTGTGGAATCTGCAAGTGGATATTTGGCTAGTTTTGAGGATTTCGTTGGAAGCGGGAATTCATACAAATTGCAGACTGCAGCGTTCTGAGAAACATCTTTGTGATGTTTGTATTCAGGACAGAGAGTTGAACATTCCCTATCATAGAGCAGGTTGGAATCACTCCTTTTGTAGTATCTGGAAGTGGACATTTGGAGCGCTTTCAGGCCTATGTTGAAAAAGGAAATATCTTCCCATAACAACTAGACACAAGCATTCTCAGAAACTTGTTTGTGATGTGTGCCCTCTACTGACAGAGTTGAACCTTTCTTTTCATAGAGCAGTTTTGAAACACTCTTTTTGTAGAATCTGCAAGAGGATATTAGCATAGCTTTGAGGATTTCGTGGGAAACGGGATTGTCTTCAGGTAAAATCTAGACAGAAGCATTCTCAGAAACTTCTTTGGGATGTTTGCATTCAAGTCACAGAGTAGAACATTCCCTTTGGTAGAGCAGGTTTGAAACCCTCTTTTTGTAGTATCTGGAAGTGGACATTTGGAGCGCTTTCAGGCCCATGTTGGAAAGGGAAATATCTTCCCGTAACAACTAGGCAGAAGCATTCTCAGAAACTTATTTGAGATGTGTGTACTCAACTAAGAGAATTGAACCACCGTTTTGAAGGAGCAGTTTTGAAACACTCTTTTTCTGGAATCTGCAAGAGTATATTTGCCTAGCCTTGAGGATTTCGTTGGAAACGGGATTGTCTTCAGATCAAATCTAGACAGAAGCATTCTCAGAAACTTCTTTGGGATGTTTGCATTCAAGTCACAGAGTAGAACATTCCCTTTGGTAGAGCAGGTTTGAAACACTCTTTTTTTAGTATATGGAAGTGGACATTTGGAGCGCTTTCAGGCCTACGTTGGAAAAGGAAATATCTTCCCATAACAACTAGACAGAAGCATTCTCAGAAACTAGTTTCTGATGTGTGTCCTCAACTAACACAGTTGTACATTTCTTTAGACAGAACAGTTTTGAAACACTCTTTTGGTGGAATCTGCAAGTGGATATTTGGCTAGATTTGAGGATTTCGTTGGAAATGGGATTACATATAAAAAGCAGTCAGCAGCATTCTCAGAAAGTTCTTTGTGATGATTGCATTCAAGTCACAGAATTGAACATTCCCTTTCACAGAGCAGGTTTGAAACACTCTTTTTGTAGTGTGTGTAAGTGGACATTTGGAGCGCTTTCCGGCCTAAGGTGAAAAAGGAAATATCTTCCCATAAAAACTAGACAGAAGCATTCTGAGAAACTTACTCGTGATGTGTGTCCTCAACTAAAGGAGTAGAACCTTTCTCTTCATAGAGAAGTTTTGAAACGCTCTTTTTGTGGAATCTCCAAGTGGATATTTGGCTAGTTTTGAGGATTTCGTTGGAAGCGGGAATTCATACAAATTGCAGACTGCAGCGTTATGAGAAACAACTTTGTGATGTTTGTATTCAGGACACAGAGATGAACATTCCCTATCATAGAGCATGTTGGAATCACTCCTTTTGTAGTATCTGGAAATGGACATTTGGAGCGCTTTCAGGCCTATGTTGAAAAAGGAAATATCTTCCCATAACAACTAGACACAAGCATTCTCAGAAACTTGTTTGTGATGTGTGCCCTCTACTGACAGAGTTGAACCTTTCTTTTCATAGAGCAGTTTTGAAACACTCTTTTTGTAGAATCTGCAAGAGGATATTTGCATAGGTTTGAGGATTTCGTTGGAAACGGGATTACATATAAAAAGCAGACAGCAGCATTCTCAGAAAGTTCTTTGTGATGATTGCATTCAAGTCACAGAATTGAACATTGCCTTTCACAGAACAGGTTTGAAACACTCTTTTTGTAGTGTGTGTAAGTGGACATTTGGAGCGCTTTCCGGCCTAAGGTGAAAAAGGAAATATCTTCCCATAAAAACTAGACAGAAGCATTCTCAGAAACTTACTCGTGATGTGTGTCCTCAACTAAAGGAGTAGAACCTTTCTATTCATAGAGAAGTTTTGAAACGCTCTTTTTGTGGAATCTCCAAGTGGATATTTGGCTAGTTTTGAGGATTTCGTTGGAAGCGGGAATTCATACAAATTGCAGACTGCAGCGTTATGAGAAACATCTTTGTGATGTTTGTATTCAGGACACAGAGTTGAACATTCCCTATCATAGAGCAGGTTGGAATCACTCCTTTTGTAGTATCTGGAAGTGGACATTTGGAGCGCTTTCAGGCCTATGTTGAAAAAGGAAATATCTTCCCATAACAACTAGACACAAGCATTCTCAGAAACTTGTTTGTGATGTGTGACCTCTACTGACAGAGTTGAACCTTTCTTTTCATAGAGCAGTTTTGAAACACTCTTTTTGTAAAATCTGCAAGAGGATATTTGCATAGCTTTGAGGATTTCGTGGGAAACGGGATTGTCTTCAGGTAAAATCTAGACAGAAGCATTCTCAGAAACTTCTTTGTGATGTTTGCATTCAAGTCACAGAGTAGAACATTCCCTTTGGTAGAGCAGGTTTGAAACCCTATTTTTGTAGTATCTGGAAGTGGACATTTGGAGCGCTATCAGGCCCATGTTGGAAAGGGAAATATCTTCCCGTAACAACTAGGCAGAAGCATTCTCAGAAACTTATTTGAGATGTGTGTACTCAACTAAGAGAATTGAACCACCGTTTTGAAGGAGCAGTTTTGAAACACTCTTTTTCTGGAATCTGCAAGAGTATATTTGCCTAGCCTTGAGGATTTCGTTGGAAACGGGATTGTCTTCAGATAAAATCTAGACAGAAGCATTCTCAGAAACTTCTTTGGGATGTTTGCATTCAAGTCACAGAGTAGAACATTCCCTTTGGTAGAGCAGGTTTGAAACACTCTTTTTTTAGTATATGGAAGTGGACATTTGGAGCGCTTTCAGGCCTACGTTGGAAAAGGAAATATCTTCCCATAACAACTAGACAGAAGCATTCTCAGAAACTAGTTTCTGATGTGTGTCCTCAACTGACACAGTTGCACATTTCTTTAGACAGAACAGTTTTGAAACACTCTTTTTGTGGAATCTGCAAGTGGATATTGGGCTAGATTTGAGGATTTCGTTGGAAACGGGATTACATATAAAAAGCAGTCAGCAAGCATTCTCAGAAAGTTCTTTGTGATGATTGCATTCAAGTCACAGAATTGAACATTCCCTTTCACAGAGCAGGTTTGAAACACTCTTTTTGTAGTGTGTGTAAGTGGACATTTGGAGCGCTTTCCGGCCTAAGGTGAAAAAGGACATATCTTCCCATAAAAATTAGACAGAAGCATTCTCAGAAACTTACTCGTGATGTGTGTCCTCAACTAAAGGAGTAGAACCTTTCTATTCATAGAGAAGTTTTGAAACGCTCTTTTTGTGGAATCTCCAAGTGGATATTTGGCTAGTTTTGAGGATTTCGTTGGAAGCGGGAATTCATACAAATTGCAGACTGCAGCGTTCTGAGAAACATCTTTGTGATGTTTGTATTCAAGACACAGAGATGAACATTCCCTCTCATAGAGCATGTTGGAATCACTCCTTTTGTAGTATCTGGAAGTGGACATTTGGAGCGCTTTCAGGCCTATGTTGAAAAAGGAAATATCTTCCCATAACAACTAGACACAAGCATTCTCAGAAACTTGTTTGTGATGTGTGCCCTCTACTGACAGAGTTGAACCTTTCTTTTCATAGAGCAGTTTTGAAACACTCTTTTTGTAGAATCCGCAAGAGGATATTTGCATAGCTTTGAGGATTTCGTGGGAAACGGGATTGTCTTCAGGTAAAATCTAGACAGAAGCATTCTCAGAAACTCCTTTGGGATGTTTGCATTCAAGTCACAGAGTAGAACATTCCCTTTGGTAGAGCAGGTTTGAAACACTCTTTTTGTAGTATCTGGAAGTGGACATTTGGAGCGCTTTCAGGCCCATGTTGGAAAGGGAAATATCTTCCCGTAACAACTAGGCAGAAGCATTCTCAGAAACTTATTTGAGATGTGTGTACTCAACTAAGAGAATTGAACCACCGTTTTGAAGGAGCAGTTTTGAAACACTCTTTTTCTGGAATCTGCAAGAGTATATTTGCCTAGCCTTGAGGATTTCGTTGGAAACGGGATTGTCTTCAGATAAAATCTAGACAGAAGCATTCTCAGAAACTTCTTTGGGATGTTTGCATTCAAGTCACAGAGTAGAACATTCCCTTTGGTAGAGCAGGTTTGAAACACTCTTTTTTTAGTATATGGAAGTGGACATTTGGAGCGCTTTCAGGCCTACGTTGGAAAAGGAAATATCTTCCCATAACAACTAGACAGAAGCATTCTCAGAAACTAGTTTCTGATGTGTGTCCTCAACTAACACAGTTGAACTTTTCTTTAGACAGAACAGTTTTGAAACACTCTTTTTGTGGAATCTGCAAGTGGATATTTGCCTAGATTTGAGGATTTCGTTGGAAACGGGATTACATATAAAAAGCAGACAGCAGCATTCTCAGAAAGTTCTTTGTGATGATTGCATTCAAGTCACAGAATTGAACATTCCCTTTCACAGAGCAGGTTTGAAACACTCTTTTTGTAGTATGTGTAAGTGGACATTTGGAGCCCTTCTGGCCTAAGGTGAAAAAGGAAATATCTTCCCATAAAAACTAGACAGAAGCATTCTCAGAAACTTACTCGTGATGTGTGTCCTCAACTAAAGGAGTAGAACCTTTCTTTTCATAGAGAAGTTTTGAAACGCTCTTTTTGTGGAATCTGCAAGTGGATATTTGGCTAGTTTTGAGGATTTCGTTGGAAGCGGGAATTCATACAAATTGCAGACTGCAGCGTTCTGAGAAACATCTTTGTGATGTTTGTATTCAGGACACAGAGTTGAACATTCCCTATCATAGAGCAGGTTGGAATCACTCCTTTTGTAGTATCTGGAAGTGGACATTTGGAGCGCTTTCAGGCCTATGTTGGAAAAGGAAATATCTTCCCATAACAACTAGACAGAAGCATTCTCAGAAACTTATTTGAGATGTGTGTACTCAACTAAGAGAATTGAACCACCGTTTTGAAGGAGCAGTTTTGAAACTCTCTTTTTCTGGAATCTGCAAGTGGATATTTGGCTAGCTTTGGGGATTTCGCTGGAAGCGGGAATACATATAAAAAGCACACAGCAGCGTTCTGAGAAACTGCTTTCTGATGTTTGCATTCAAGTCAAAAGTTGAACACTCCCTTTCATAGAGCAGTCTTGAAACACCCCTTTTGTAGTATCTGGAACTGGACTTTTGGAGCGATTTCAGGGCTAAGGTGAAAAAGGAAATATCTTCCCATAAAAACTGGACAGAAGCATTCTCAGAAACTTGTTTATGCTGTATCTACTCAACTAACAAAGTTGAACCTTTCTTTTGATAGAGCAGTTTTGAAATGGTCTTTTTGTGGAATCTGCAAGTGGATATTTGGCTAGTTTTGAGGATTTCGTTGGAAGCGGGAATTCATACAAATTGCAGACTGCAGCGTTCTGAGAAACATCTTTGTGATGTTTGTATTCAGGACACAGAGTTGAACATTCCCTATCATAGAGCAGGTTGGAATCACTCCTTTTGTAGTATCTGGAAGTGGACATTTGGAGCGCTTTCAGGCCTATTTTGGAAAGGGAAATATCTTCCCGTAACAACTATGCAGAAGCATTCTCAGAAACTTGTTTGTGATGTGTGCCCTCTACTGACAGAGTTGAACCTTTCTTTTCATAGAGCAGTTTTGAAACACTCTTTTTGTAGAATCTGCAAGAGGATATTTGCATAGCTTTGAGGATTTCGTGGGAAACGGGATTGTCTTCAGGTAAAATCTAGACAGAAGCATTCTCAGAAACTTCTTTGGGATGTTTGCATTCAAGTCACAGAGTAGAACATTCCCTTTGGTAGAGCAGGTTTGAAACACTCTTTTTGTAGTATCTGGAAGTGGACATTTGGAGCGCTTTCAGGCCCATGTTGGAAAGGGAAATATCTTCCCGTAACAACTAGGCAGAAGCATTCTCAGAAACTTATTTGAGATGTGTGTACTCAACTAAGAGAATTGAACCACCGTTTTGAAGGAGCAGTTTTGAAACACTCTTTTTCTGGAATCTGCAAGAGTATATTTGCCTAGCCTTGAGGATTTCGTTGGAAACGGGATTGTCTTCAGAGAAAATCTAGACAGAAGCATTCTCAGAAACTTCTTTGGGATGTTTGCATTCAAGTCACAGAGTAGAACATTCCCTTTGGTAGAGCAGGTTTGAAACACTCTTTTTTTAGTATATGGAAGTGGACATTTGGAGCGCTTTCAGGCCTACGTTGGAAAAGGAAATATCTTCCCATAACAACTAGACAGAAGCATTCTCAGAAACTAGTTTCTGATGTGTGTCCTCAACTAACACAGTTGAACATTTCTTTAGACAGAACAGTTTTGAAACACTCTTTTTGTGGAATCTGCAAGTGGCTATTTGGCTAGATTTGAGGATTTCGTTGGAAACGGGATTACATATAAAAAGCAGTCAGCAGCATTCTCAGAAAGTTCTTTGTGATGATTGCATTCAAGTCACAGAATTGAACATTCCCTTTCACAGAGCAGGTTTGAAATACTCTTTTTTAGTGTGTGTAATTGGACATTTGGAGCACTTTCCGGCCTAAGGTGGAAAAGGAAATATCTTCCCATAAAAACTAGACAGAAGCATTCTCAGAAACTTACTCGTGATGTGTGTCCTCCACTAAATGAGTAGAACCTTTCTTTTCATAGAGAAGTTTTGAAACGCTCTTTTTGTAGAATCTGCAAGAGGATATTTGCATAGCTTTGAGGATTTCGTGGGAAACGGGATTGTCTTCAGGTAAAATCTAGACAGAAGCATTCTCAGAAACTTCTTTGGGATGTTTGCATTCAAGTCACAGAGTAGAACATTCCCTTTGGTAGAGCAGGTTTGAAACACTCTTTTTATAGTATCTGGAAGTGGACATTTGGAGCGCTTTCAGGCCTATGTTGGAAAGGGAAATATCTTCCCGTAACAACTAGGCAGAAGCATTCTCAGAAACTTATTTGAGATGTGTGTACTCAACTAAGAGAATTGAACCACCGTTTTGAAGGAGCAGTTTTGAAACACTCTTTTTCTGGAATCTGCAAGAGGATATTTGCCTAGCTTTGAGGATTTCGTTGGAAACGGGATTGTCTTCAGATCAAATCTAGACAGAAGCATTCTCAGAAACTTCTTTGGGATGTTTGCATTCAAGTCACAGAGTAGAACATTCCCTTTGGTAGAGCAGGTTTGAAACACTCTTTTTTTAGTATATGGAAGTGGACATTTGGAGCGCTTTCAGGCCTACGTTGGAAAAGGAAATATCTTCCCATAACAACTAGACAGAAGCATTCTCAGAAACTAGTTTCTGATGTGTGTCCTCAACTAACACAGTTGAACATTTCTTTAGACAGAACAGTTTTGAAACTCTCTTTTTGTGGAATCTGCAAGTGGCTATTTGGCTAGATTGGAGGATTTCGTTGGAAACGGGATTACATATAAAAAGCAGACAGCAAGCATTCTCAGAACGTTCTTTGTGATGATTGCATTCAAGTCACAGAATTGAACATTCCCTTTCACAGAGCAGGTTTGAAACACTCTTTTTGTAGTGTGTGTAAGTGGACATTTGGAGCACTTTCCGGCCTAAGGTGAAAAAGGAAATATCTTCCCATAAAAACTAGACAGAAGCATTCTCAGAAACTTACTCGTGATGTGTGTCCTCAACTAAAGGAGTAGAACCTTTCTTTTCATAGAGAAGTTTTGAAACGCTCTTTTTGTGGAATCTGCAAGTGGATATTTGGCTAGTTTTGAGGATTTCGTTGGAAGCGGGAATTCATACAAATTGCAGACTGCAGCGTTCTGAGAAACATCTTTGTGATGTTTGTATTCAGGACACAGAGTTGAACATTCCCTATCATAGAGCAGGTTTGAATCACTCCTTTTGTAGTATCTGGAAGTGGACATTTGGAGCGCTTTCAGGCCTATGTTGGAAAAGGAAATATCTTCCCATAACAACTAGACAGAAGCATTCTCAGAAACTTATTTGAGATGTGTGTACTCAACTAAGAGAATTGAACCACCGTTTTGAAGGAGCAGTTTTGAAACACTCTTTTTCTGGAATCTGCAAGTGGATATTTGGCTAGCTTTGGGGATTTCGCTGGAAGCGGGAATACATATAAAAAGCACACAGCAGCGTTCTGAGAAACTGCTTTCTGATGTTTGCATTCAAGTCAAAAGTTGAACACTCCCTTTCATAGAGCAGTCCTGAAACACTCCTTTTGTAGTATCTGGAACTGGACTTTTGGAGCGCTTTCAGGGCTAAGGTGAAAAAGGAAATATCTTCCCATAAAAACTGGACAGAAGCATTCTCAGAAACTTGTTTATGCTGTATCTACTCAACTAACAAAGTTGAACCTTTCTTTTGATAGAGCAGTTTTGAAATGCTCTTTTTGTGGAATCTGCAAGTGGATATTTGGCTAGTTGCGAGGATTTCGTTGGAAGCTGGAATTCATACAAATTGCAGACTGCAGCGTTCTGAGAAACATCTTTGTGATGTTTGTATTCAGGACAGAGAGTTGAACATTCCCTATCATAGAGCAGGTTGGAATCACTCCTTTTGTAGTATCTGGAAGTGGACATTTGGAGCGCTTTCAGGCCTATGTTGAAAAAGGAAATATCTTCCCATAACAACTAGACACAAGCATTCTCAGAAACATATTTGAGATGTGTGTACTCAACTAAGAGAGTTGAACCACCGTTTTGAAGGAGCAGTTTTGAAACACTCTTTTTCTGGAATCTGCAAGAGTATATTTGCCTAGCCTTGAGGATTTCGTTGGAAACGGGATTGTCTTCAGATAAAATCTAGACAGAAGCATTCTCAGAAACTTCTTTGGGATGTTTGCATTCAAGTCACAGAGTAGAACATTCCCTTTGGTAGAGCAGGTTTGAAACACTCTTTTTGTAGTATCTGGAAGTGGACATTTGGAGCGCTTTCAGGCCTATGTTGGAAAGGGAAATATCTTCCCGTAACAACTAGGCAGAAGCATTCTCAGAAACTTATTTGAGATGTGTGTACTCAACTAAGAGAATTGAACCACCATTTTGAAGGAGCAGTTTTGAAACACTCTTTTTCTGGAATCTGCAAGAGGATATTTGCCTAGCCTTGAGGATTTCGTTGGAAACGGGATTGTCTTCAGATCAAATCTAGACAGAAGCATTCTCAGAAACTTCTTTGGGATGTTTGCATTCAAGTCACAGAGTAGAACATTCCCTTTGGTAGAGCAGGTTTGAAACACTCTTTTTTTAGTATATGGAAGTGGACATTTGGAGCGCTTTCAGGCCTACGTTGGAAAAGGAAATATCTTCCCATAACAACTAGACAGAAGCATTCTCAGAAACTAGTTTCTGATGTGTGTCCTCAACTAACACAGTTGAACATTTCTTTAGACAGAACAGTTTTGAAACTCTCTTTTTGTGGAATCTGCAAGTGGCTATTTGGCTAGATTTGAGGATTTCGTTGGAAACGGGATTACATATAAAAAGCAGACAGCAGCATTCTCAGAAAGTTCTTTGTGATGATTGCATTCAAGTCACAGAATTGAACATTCCCTTTCACAGAGCAGGTTTGAAACACTCTTTTTGTAGTGTGTGTAAGTGGACATTTGGAGCACTTTCCGGCCTAAGGTGAAAAAGGAAATATCTTCCCATAAAAACTAGACAGAAGCATTCTCAGAAACTTACTCGTGATGTGTGTCCTCAACTAAAGGAGTAGAACCTTTGTTTTCATAGAGAAGTTTTGAAACGCTCTTTTTGTGGAATCTGCAAGTGGATATTTGGCTAATTTTGAGGATTTTGTTGGAAGCGGGAATTCATACAAATTGCAGACTGCAGCGTTCTGAGAAACTGCTTTCTGATGTTTGCATTCAAGTCAAAAGTTGAACACTCCCTTTCATAGAGCAGTCTTGAAACACCCCTTTTGTAGTATCTGGAACTGGACATTTGGAGCGCTTTCAGGGCTAAGGTGAAAAAGGAAATATCTTCCCATAAAAACTGGACAGAAGCATTCTCAGAAACTTGTTTATGCTGTATCTACTCTACTAACAAAGTTGAACCTTTCTTTTGATAGAGCAGTTTTGAAATGCTCTTTTTGTGGAATCTGCAAGTGGATATTTGGCTAGTTTTGAGGATTTCGTTGGAAGCTGGAATTCATGCAAATTGCAGACTGCAGCGTTCTGAGAAACATCTTTGTGATGTTTGTATTCAGGACACAGAGTTGAACTTTCCCTATCATAGAGCAGGTTGGAATCACTCCTTTTGTAGTATCTGGAAGTGGACATTTGGAGCGCTTTCAGGCCTATTTTGGACAGGGAAATATCTTCCCATAACAACTAGACACAAGCAGTTCTCAGAAAACCTTGTTTGTGATGTGTGCCCTCTCACTGACAGAGTTGAACCTTTCTTTTCATAGAGCAGTTTTGAAACACTCTTTTTGTAGAATCTGCAAGAGGATATTTGCATAGCTTTGAGGATTTCGTAGGAAACGGGATTGTCTTCAGGTAAAATCTAGACAGAAGCATTCTCAGAAACTTCTTTGGGATGTTTGCATTCAAGTCACAGAGCAGAACATTCCCTTTGGTAGAGCAGGTTTGAAACACTCTTTTTGTAGTATCTGGAAGTGGACATTTGGAGCGCTTTCAGGCCTATGTTGGAAAGGGAAATATCTTCCCGTAACAACTAGGCAGAAGCATTCTCAGAAAGTTATTTGAGATGTGTGTACTCAACTAAGAGAATTGAACCACCGTTTTCAAGGAGCAGTTTTGAAACACTCTTTCTCTGGAATCTGCAAGAGGATATTTGCCTAGCCTTGAGGATTTCGTTGGAAACGGGATTGTCTTCAGATCAAATCTAGACAGAAGCATTCTCAAAAACTTCTTTGGGATGTTTGCATTCAAGTCACAGAGTAGAACATTCCCTTTGGTAGAGCAGGTTTGAAACACTCTTTTTTTAGTATATGGAAGTGGACATTTGGAGTGCTTTCAGGCCTACGTTGGAAAAGGAAATATCTTCCCATAACAACTAGACAGAAACATTCTCAGAAACTAGTTTCTGATGTGTGTCCTCAACTAACACAGTTGAACATTTCTTTAGACAGAACAGTTTTGAAACACTCTTTTTGTGGAATCTGCAAGTGGCTATTTGGCTAGATTTGAGGATTTCGTTGGAAACGGGATTACATATAAAAAGCAGACAGCAGCATTCTCAGAAAGTTCTTTGTGATGATTGCATTCAAGTCACAGAATTGAACATTCCCTTTCACAGAGCAGGTTTGAAACACTCTTTTTGTAGTGTGTGTAAGTGGACATTTGGAGCACTTTCCGGCCTAAGGTGAAAAAGGAAATATCTTCCCATAAAAACTAGACAGAAGCACTCTCAGAAACTTACTCGTGATGTGTGTCCTCAACTAAAGGAGTAGAACCTTTCTTTTCATAGAGAAGTTTTGAAACGCTCTTTTTGTGGAATCTGCAAGTGGATATTTGGCTAGTTTGGAGGATTTCGTTGGAAGCGGGAATTCATACAAATTGCAGACTGCAGCGTTCTGAGAAACATCTTTGTGATGTTTGTATTCAGGACACAGAGTTGAACATTCCCTATCATAGAGCAGGTTTGAATCACTCCTTTTGTAGTATCTGGAAGTGGACATTTGGAGCGCTTTCAGGCCTATGTTGGAAAAGGAAATATCTTCCCATAACAACTAGACAGAAGCATTCTCAGAAACTTATTTGAGATGTGTGTACTCAACTAAGTAGAATTGAACCACCGTTTTGAAGGAGCAGTTTTGAAACTCTCTTTTTCTGGAATCTGCAAGTGGATATTTGGCTAGCTTTGGGGATTTCGCTGGAAGCGGGAATACATATAAAAAGCACACAGCAGCGTTCTGAGAAACTGCTTTCTGATGTTTGCATTCAAGTCAAAAGTTGAACACTCCCTTTCATAGAGCAGTCCTGAAACACTCCTTTTGTAGTATCTGGAACTGGACTTTTGGAGCGCTTTCAGGGCTAAGGTGAAAAAGGAAATATCTTCCCATAAAAACTGGACAGAAGCATTCTCAGAAACTTGTTTATGCTGTATCTACTCAACTAACAAAGTTGAACCTTTCTTTTGATAGAGCAGTTTTGAAATGCTCTTTTTGTGGAATCTGCAAGTGGATATTTGGCTAGTTTTGAGGATTTCGTTGGAAGCGGGAATTCATACAAATTGCAGACTGCAGCGTTCTGAGAAACATCTTTGTGATGTTTGTATTCAGGACAGAGAGTTGAACATTCCCTATCATAGAGCAGGTTGGAATCACTCCTTTTGTAGTATCTGGAAGTGGACATTTGGAGCGCTTTCAGGCCTATGTTGAAAAAGGAAATATCTTCCCATAACAACTAGACACAAGCATTCTCAGAAACTTGTTTGTGATGTGTGCCCTCTACTGACACAGTTGAACCTTTCTTTTCATAGAGCAGTTTTGAAACACTCTTTTTGTAGAATCTGCAAGAGGATATTTGCATAGCTTTGAGGATTTCGTGGGAAACGGGATTGTCTTCAGGTAAAATCTAGACAGAAGCATTCTCAGAAACTTCTTTGGGATGTTTGCATTCAAGTCACAGAGTAGAACATTCCCTTTGGTAGAGCAGGTTTGAAACACTCTTTTTGTAGTATCTGGAAGTGGACATTTGGAGCGCTTTCAGGCCTATGTTGGAAAGGGAAATATCTTCCCGTAACAACTAGGCAGAAGCATTCTCAGAAACTTATTTGAGATGTGTGTACTCAACTAAGAGAATTGAACCACCGTTTTGAAGGAGCAGTTTTGAAACACTCTTTTTCTGGAATCTGCAAGAGGATATTTGCCTAGCCTTGAGGATTTCGTTGGAAACGGGATTGTCTTCAGAGAAAATCTAGACAGAAGCATTCTCAGAAACTTCTTTGGGATGTTTGCATTCAAGTCACAGAGTAGAACATTCCCTTTGGTAGAGCAGGTTTGAAACACTCTTTTTTTAGTATATGGAAGTGGACATTTGGAGCGCTTTCAGGCCTACGTTGGAAAAGGAAATATCTTCCCATAACAACTAGACAGAAGCATTCTCAGAAACTAGTTTCTGATGTGTGTCCTCAACTAACACAGTTGAACATTTCTTTAGACAGAACAGTTTTGAAACACTCTTTTTGTGGAATCTGCAAGTGGCTATTTGGCTAGATTTGAGGATTTCGTTGGAAACGGGATTACATATAAAAAGCAGTCAGCAGCATTCTCAGAAAGTTCTTTGTGATGATTGCATTCAAGTCACAGAATTGAACATTCCCTTTCACAGAGCAGGTTTGAAACACTCTTTGTGTAGTGTGTGTAAGTGGACATTTGGAGCACTTTCCGGCCTAAGGTGAAAAAGGAAATATCTTCCCATAAAAACTAGACAGAAGCATTCTCAGAAACTTACTCGTGATGTGTGTCCTCAACTAAAGGAGTAGAACCTTTCCTTTCATAGAGAAGTTTTGAAACGCTCTTTTTGTGGAATCTGCAAGTGGATATTTGGCTAGTTTTGAGGATTTCGTTGGAAGCGGGAATTCATACAAATTGCAGACTGCAGCGTTCTGAGAAACATCTTTGTGATGTTTGTATTCAGGACACAGAGTTGAACATTCCCTATCATAGAGCAGGTTTGAATCACTCCTTTTCTAGTATCTGGAAGTGGACATTTGGAGCGCTTTCAGGCCTATGTTGGAAAAGGAAATATCTTCCCATAACAAATAGACAGAAGCATTCTCAGAAACTTATTTGAGATGTGTGTACTCAACTAAGAGAATTGAACCACCGTTTTGAAGGAGCAGTTTTGAAACACTCTTTTTCTGGAATCTGCAAGTGGATATTTGGCTAGCTTTGGGGATTTCGCTGGAAGCGGGAATACATATAAAAAGCACACAGCAGCGTTCTGAGAAACTGCTTTCTGATGTTTGCATTCAAGTCAAAAGTTGAACACTCCCTTTCATAGAGCAGTCCTGAAACACTCCTTTTGTAGTATCTGGAACTGGACTTTTGGAGCGCTTTCAGGGCTAAGGTGAAAAAGGAAATATCTTCCCATAAAAACTGGACAGAAGCATTCTCAGAAACTTGTTTATGCTGTATCTACTCAACTAACAAAGTTGAACCTTTCTTTTGATAGAGCAGTTTTGAAATGCTCTTTTTGTGGAATCTGCAAGTGGATATTTGGCTAGTTTTGAGGATTTCGCTGGAAGCGGGAATTCATACAAATTGCAGACTGCAGCGTTCTGAGAAACATCTTTGTGATGTTTGTATTCAGGACAGAGAGTTGAACATTCCCTATCATAGAGCAGGTTGGAATCACTCCTTTTGTAGTATCTGGAAGTGGACATTTGGAGCGCTTTCAGGCCTATGTTGAAAAAGGAAATATCTTCCCATAACAACTAGACACAAGCATTCTCAGAAACTTGTTTGTGATGTGTGCCCTCTAGTGACAGAGTTGAACCTTTCTTTTCATAGAGCAGTTTTGAAACACTCTTTTTGTAGAATCTGCAAGAGGATATTTGAATAGCTTTGAGGATTTCGTGGGAAACGGGATTGTCTTCAGGTAAAATCTAGACAGAAGCATTCTCAGAAACTTCTTTGGGATGTTTGCATTCAAGTCACAGAGTAGAACATTCCCTTTGGTAGAGCAGGTTTGAAACACTCTTTTTGTAGTATCTGGAAGTGGACATTTGGAGCGCTTTCAGGCCCATGTTGGAAAGGGAAATATCTTCCCGTAACAACTAGGCAGAAGCATTCTCAGAAACTTATTTGAGATGTGTGTACTCAACTAAGAGAATTGAACCACCGTTTTGAAGGAGCAGTTTTGAAACACTCTTTTTCTGGAATCTGCAAGAGTATATTTGCCTAGCCATGAGGATTTCGTTGGAAACGGGATTGTCTTCAGAGAAAATCTAGACAGAAGCATTCTCAGAAACTTCTTTGGGATGTTTGCATTCAAGTCACAGAGTAGAACATTCCCTTTGGTAGAGCAGGTTTGAAACACTCTTTTTTTAGTATCTGGAAGTGGACATTTGGAGCGCTTTCAGGCCTACGTTGGAAAAGGAAATATCTTCCCATAACAACTAGACAGAAGCATTCTCAGAAACTAGTTTCTGATGTGTGTCCTCAACTAACACAGTTGAACATTTCTTTAGACAGAACAGTTTTGAAACACTCTTTTTGTGGAATCTGCAAGTGGCTATTTGGCTAGATTTGAGGATTTCGTTGGAAACGGGATTACATATAAAAAGCAGTCAGCAGCATTCTCAGAAAGTTCTTTGTGATGATTGCATTCAAGTCACAGAATTGAACATTCCCTTTCACAGAGCAGGTTTGAAACACTCTTTTTGTAGTGTGTGTAAGTGGACATTTGGAGCACTTACCGGCCTAAGGTGAAAAAGGAAATATCTTCCCATAAAAACTAGACAGAAGCATTCTCAGAAACTTACTCGTGATGTGTGTCCTCAACTAAAGGAGTAGAACCTTTCTTTTCATAGAGAAGTTTTGAAACGCTCTTTTTGTGGAATCTGCAAGTGGATATTTGGCTAGTTTTGAGGATTTCGTTGGAAGCGGGAATTCATACAAATTGCAGACTGCAGCGTTCTGAGAAACATCTTTGTGATGTTTGTATTCAGGACACAGAGTTGAACATTCCCTATCATAGAGCAGGTTGGAATCACTCCTTTTGTAGTATCTGGAAGTGGACATTTGGAGCGCTTTCAGGCCTATGTTGGAAAAGGAAATATCTTCCCATAACAACTAGACAGAAGCATTCTCAGAAACTTATTTGAGATGTGTGTACTCAACTAAGAGAATTGAACCACCGTTTTGAAGGAGCAGTTTTGAAACTCTCTTTTTCTGGAATCTGCAAGTGGATATTTGGCTAGCTTTGGGGATTTCGCTGGAAGCGGGAATACATATAAAAAGCACACAGCAGCGTTCTGAGAAACTGCTTTCTGATGTTTGCATTCAAGTCAAAAGTTGAACACTCCCTTTCATAGAGCAGTCTTGAAACACCCCTTTTGTAGTATCTGGAACTGGACTTTTGGAGCGATTTCAGGGCTAAGGTGAAAAAGGAAATATCTTCCCATAAAAACTGGACAGAAGCATTCTCAGAAACTTGGTTATGCTGTATCTACTCAACTAACAAAGTTGAACCTTTCTTTTGATAGAGCAGTTTTGAAATGGTCTTTTTGTGGAATCTGCAAGTGGATATTTGGCTAGTTTTGAGGATTTCGTTGGAAGCGGGAATTCATACAAATTGCAGACTGCAGCGTTCTGAGAAACATCTTTGTGATGTTTGTATTCAGGACAGAGAGTTGAACATTCCCTATCATAGAGCAGGTTGGAATCACTCCTTTTGTAGTATCTGGAAGTGGACATTTGGAGCGCTTTCAGGCCTATTTTGGAAAGGGAAATATCTTCCCGTAACAACTATGCAGAAGCATTCTCAGAAACTTGTTTGTGATGTGTGCCCTCTACTGACAGAGTTGAACCTTTCTTTTCATAGAGCAGTTTTGAAACACTCTTTTTGTAGAATCTGCAAGAGGATATTTGCATAGCTTTGAGGATTTCGTGGGAAACGGGATTGTCTTCAGGTAAAATCTAGACAGAAGCATTCTCAGAAACTTCTTTGGGATGTTTGCATTCAAGTCACAGAGTAGAACATTCCCTTTGGTAGAGCAGGTTTGAAACACTCTTTTTGTAGTATCTGGAAGTGGACATTTGGAGCGCTTTCAGGCCCATGTTGGAAAGGGAAATATCTTCCCGTAACAACTAGGCAGAAGCATTCTCAGAAACTTATTTGAGATGTGTGTACTCAACTAAGAGAATTGAACCACCGTTTTGAAGGAGCAGTTTTGAAACACTCTTTTTCTGGAATCTGCAAGAGTATATTTGCCTAGCCTTGAGGATTTCGTTGGAAACGGGATTGTCTTCAGAGAAAATCTAGACAGAAGCATTCTCAGAAACTTCTTTGGGATGCTTGCATTCAAGTCACAGAGTAGAACATTCCCTTTGGTAGAGCAGGTTTGAAACACTCTTTTTGTAGTATCTGGAAGTGGACATTTGGAGCGCTTTCAGGCCTACGTTGGAAAAGGAAATATCTTCCCATAACAACTAGACAGAAGCATTCTCAGAAACTAGTTTCTGATGTGTGTCCTCAACTAACACAGTTGAACATTTCTTTAGACAGAACAGTTTTGAAACACTCTTTTTGTGGAATCTGCAAGTGGCTATTTGGCTAGATTTGAGGATTTCGTTGGAAACGGGATTACATATAAAAAGCAGTCAGCAGCATTCTCAGAAAGTTCTTTGTGATGATTGCATTCAAGTCACAGAATTGAACATTCCCTTTCACAGAGCAGGTTTGAAACACTCTTTTTGTAGTGTGTGTAAGTGGACATTTGGAGCACTTACCGGCCTAAGGTGAAAAAGGAAATATCTTCCCATAAAAACTAGACAGAAGCATTCTCAGAAACTTACTCGTGATGTGTGTCCTCAACTAAAGGAGTAGAACCTTTCTTTTCATAGAGAAGTTTTGAAACGCTCTTTTTGTGGAATCTGCAAGTGGATATTTGGCTAGTTTTGAGGATTTCGTTGGAAGCGGGAATTCATACAAATTGCAGACTGCAGCGTTCTGAGAAACATCTTTGTGATGTTTGTATTCAGGACACAGAGTTGAACATTCCCTATCATAGAGCAGGTTTGAATCACTCCTTTTGTAGTATCTGGAAGTGGACATTTGGAGCGCTTTCAGGCCTATGTTGGAAAAGGAAATATCTTCCCATAACAACTAGACAGAAGCATTCTCAGAAACTTGTTTGAGATGTGTGTACTCAACTAAGAGAATTGAACCACCGTTTTGAAGGAGCAGTTTTGAAACACTCTTTTTCTGGAATCAGCAAGTGGATATTTGGCTAGCTTTGGGGATTTCGCTGGAAGCGGGAATACATATAAAAAGCACACAGCAGCGTTCTGAGAAACTGCTTTCTGATGTTTGCATTCAAGTCAAAAGTTGAACACTCCCTTTCATAGAGCAGTCCTGAAACACTCCTTTTGTAGTATCTGGAACTGGACTTTTGGAGCGCTTTCAGGGCTAAGGTGAAAAAGGAAATATCTTCCCATAAAAACTGGACAGAAGAATTCTCAGAAACTTGTTTATGCTGTATCTACTCTACTAAAAAAGTTGAACCTTTCTTTTGATAGAGCAGTTTTGAAATGCTCTTTTTGTGGAATCTGCAATTGGATATTTGGCTAGATTTGAGGATTTCGTTGGAAGCTGGAATACATACAAATTGCAGACTGCAGCGTTCTGAGAAACATCTTTGTGATGTTTGTATTCAGGACACAGAGTTGAACATTCCCTATCATAGAGCAGGTTGGGATCACTCCTTTTGTAGTATCTGGAAGTGGACATTTGGAGCGCTTTCAGGCCTATGTTGAAAAAGGAAAAATCTTCCCATAACAACTAGACAGAAGCATTCTCAGAAACTTGTTGGTGATGTGTTTCCTCTACTGACAGAGTTGAACCTTTCTTTTCATAGAGCAGTTTCGAAACACTCTTTTTGTAGAATCTGCAAGAGGATATTTGCATAGCTCTGAGGATTTCGTGGGAAACGGGATTGTCTTCAGGTAAAATCTAGACAGAAGCATTCTCAGAAACTTCTTTGGGATGTTTGCATTCAAGTCACAGAGTAGAACATTCCCTTCGGTAGAGCAGGTTTGAAACACTCTTTTTGTAGTATCTGGAAGTGGACATTTGTTGCGCTTTCAGGCCTATGTTGGAAAGGGAAATATCTTCCCGTAACAACTAGGCAGAAGCATTCTCAGAAACTTATTTGAGATGTGTGTACTCAACTAAGAGAATTGAACCACCGTTTTGAAGGAGCAGTTTGGAAACACTCTTTTTCTGGAATCTGCAAGAGGATATTTGCCTAGCTTTGAGGATTTCGTTGGAAAAGGGATTGTCTTCAGATCAAATCTAGACAGAAGCATTCTCAGAAACTTCTTTGGGATGTTTGCATTCAAGTCACAGAGTCGAACATTCACTTTGGTAGAGCAGGTTTGAAACACTCTTTTTGTAGTGTGTGTAAGTGGACATTTGGAGCGCTTTCAGGCCTACGTTGGAAAAGGAAATATCTTCCCATAACAACTAGACAGAAGCATTCTCAGAAACTAGTTTCTGATGTGTGTCCTCAACTAACACAGTTGAACATTTCTTTAGACAGAACAGTTTTGAAACACTCTTTTTGTGGAATCTGCAAGTGGATATTTGGCTAGATTTGAGGATTTCGTTGGAAACGGGATTACATATAAAAAGCAGACAGCAGCATTCTCAGAAACTTCTTTGTGATGATTGCATTCAAGTCACAGAATTGAACATTCCCTTTCACAGAGCAGGTTTGAAACACTCTTTTTGTAGTGTGTGTAAGTGGACATTTGGAGCACTTTCCGGCCTAAGGTGAACAAGGAAATATCTTCCCATAAAAACTAGACAGAAGCATTCTCAGAAACTTACTCGTGATGTGTGTCCTCAACTAAAGGAGTAGAACCTTTCTTTTCATAGAGAAGTTTTGAAACGCTCTTTTTGTGGAATCTGCAAGTGGATATTTGGCTAGTTTGGAGGATTTCGTTGGAAGCGGGAATTCATACAAATTGCAGACTGCAGCGTTCTGAGAAACATCTTTGTGATGTTTGTATTCAGGACACAGAGTTGAACATTCCCTATCATAGAGCAGGTTGGAATCACTCCTTTTGTAGTATCTGGAAGTGGACATTTGGAGCGCTTTCAGGCCTATGTTGGAAAAGGAAATATCTTCCCATAACAACTAGACAGAAGCATTCTCAGAAACTTATTTGAGATGTGTGTACTCAACTAAGAGAATTGAACCACCGTTTTAAAAGAGCAGTTTTGAAACACTCTTTTTCTGGAATCTGCAAGTGGATATTTGGCTAGCTTTGGGGATTTCGCTGGAAGCGGGAATACCTATAAAGAGCACACAGCAGCGTTCTGAGAAACTGCTTTCTGATGTTTGCATTCAAGTCAAAAGTTGAACACTCCCTTTCATAGAGCAGTCTTGAAACACCCCTTTTGTAGTATCTGGAACTGGACATTTGGAGCGCTTTCAGGGCTAAGGTGAAAAAGGAAATATCTTCCCATAAAAACTGGACAGAAGCATTCTCAGAAACTTGTTTATGCTGTATCTACTCAACTAACAAAGTTGAACCTTTCTTTTGATAGAGCAGTTTTGAAATGCTCTTTTTGTGGAATCTGCAAGTGGATATTTGTCTAGGTTTGAGGATTTCGTTGGAAGCGGGAATTCATACAAATTGCAGACTGCAGCGTTCTGAGAAACATCTTTGTGATGTTTGTATTCAGGACACAGAGTTGAACATTCCCTATCATAGAGCAGGTTGGAATCACTCCTTTTGTAGTATCTGGAAGTGGACATTTGGTGCGCTTTCAGGCCTATGTTGAAAAAGGAAATATCTTCCCATAACAACTAGGCAGAAGCATTCTCAGAAACTTGTTTGTGATGTGTGCCCTCTACTGACACAGTTGAACCTTTCTTTTCATAGAGCAGTTTCGAAACACTCTTTTTGTAGAATCTGCAAGAGGATATTTGCATAGCTTTGAGGATTTCGTGGGAAACGGGATTGTCTTCAGGTAAAATCTAGACAGAAGCATTCTCAGAAACTTCTTTGGGATGTTTGCATTCAAGTCACAGAGTTGAACATTCCCTTTGTTAGAGCAGGTTTGAAACACTCTTTTAGTAGTGTGTGTAAGTGGACATTTGGAGCGCTTTCAGGCCTACGTTGGAAAAGGAAATATCTTCCCATAACAACTAGACAGAAGCATTCTCAGAAACTAGTTTCTGATGTGTGTCCTCAACTAACACAGTTGAACATTTCTTTAGACAGAACAGTTTTGAAACACTCTTTTTGTGGAATCTGCAAGTGGATATTTGGCTAGATTTGAGGATTTCGTTGGAAACGGGATTACATATAAAAAGCAGACAGCAGCATTCTCAGAAACTTCTTTGTGATGATTGCATTCAAGTCACAGAATTGAACATTCCCTTTCACAGAGCAGGTTTGAAACACTCTTTTTGTAGTGTGTGTAAGTGGACATTTGGAGCGCTTTCCGGCCTAAGGTGAACAAGGAAATATCTTGCCATAAAAACTAGACAGAAGCATTCTCAGAAACTTACTCGTGATGTGTGTCCTCAACTAAAGGAGTAGAACCTTTCTTTTCATAGAGAAGTTTTGAAACGCTCTTTTTGTGGAATCTGCAAGTGGATATTTGGCTAGTTTGGAGGATTTCGTTGGAAGCGGGAATTCATACAAATTGCAGACTGCAGCGTTCTGAGAAACATCTTTGTGATGTTTGTATTCAGGACACAGAGTTGAACATTCCCTATCATAGAGCAGGTTGGAATCACTCCTTTTGTAGTATCTGGAAGTGGACATTTGGAGCGCTTTCAGGCCTATGTTGGAAAAGGAAATATCTTCCCATAACAACTAGACAGAAGCATTCTCAGAAACTTATTTGAGATGTGTGTACTCAACTAAGAGAATTGAACCACCGTTTTGAAGGAGCAGTTTTGAAACACTCTTTTTCTGGAATCTGCAAGTGGATATTTGGCTAGCTTTGGGGATTTCGCTGGAAGCGGGAATACATATAAAAAGCACACAGCAGCGTTCTGAGAAACTGCTTTCTGATGTTTGCATTCAAGTCAAAAGTTGAACACTCCCTTTCATAGAGCAGTCCTGAAACACTCCTTTTGTAGTATCTGGAACTGGACTTTTGGAGCGCTTTCAGGGCTAAGGTGAAAAAGGAAATATCTTCCCATAAAAACTGGACAGAAGCATTCTCAGAAACTTGTTTATGCTGTATCTACTCTACTAAAAAAGTTGAACCTTTCTTTTGATAGAGCAGTTTTGAAATGCTCTTTTTGTGGAATCTGCAAGTGGATATTTGGCTAGATTTGAGGATTTCGTTGGAAGCTGGAATACATACAAATTGCAGACTGCAGCGTTCTGAGAAACATCTTTGTGATGTTTGTATTCAGGACACAGAGTTGAACATTCCCTATCATAGAGCAGGTTGGAATCACTCCTTTTGTAGTATCTGGAAGTGGACATTTGGAGCGCTTTCAGGCCTATGTTGAAAAAGGAAATATCTTCCCATAACAACTAGACACAAGCATTCTCAGAAACTTGTTTGTGATGTGTGCCCTCTACTGACAGAGTTGAACCTTTCTTTTCATAGAGCAGTTTTGAAACACTCTTTTTGTAGAATCTGCAAGAGGATATTTGCATAGCTTTGAGGATTTCGTGGGAAACGGGATTGTCTTCAGGTAAAATCTAGACAGAAGCATTCTCAGAAACTTCTTTGGGATGTTTGCATTCAAGTCACAGAGTAGAACATTCCCTTTGGTAGAGCAGGTTTGAAACACTCTTTTTGTAGTATCTGGAAGTGGACATTTGGAGCGCTTTCAGGCCTATGTTGGAAAGGGAAATATCTTCCCGTAACAACTAGGCAGAAGCATTCTCAGAAACTTATTTGAGATGTGTGTACTCAAGTAAGAGAATTGAACCACCGTTTTGAAGGAGCAGTTTTGAAACACTCTTTTTCTGGAATCTGCAAGAGGATATTTGCCTAGCCTTGATGATTTCGTTGGAAACGGGATTGTCTTCAGATCAAATCTAGACAGAAGCATTCTCAGAAACTTCTTTGGGATGTTTGCATTCAAGTCACAGAGTAGAACATTCCCTTTGGTAGAGCAGGTTTGAAACACTCTTTTTTTAGTATATGGAAGTGGACATTTGGAGCGCTTTCAGGCCTACGTTGGAAAAGGAAATATCTTCCCATAACAACTAGACAGAAGCATTCTCAGAAACTAGTTTCTGATGTGTGTCCTCAACTAACACAGTTGAACATTTCTTTAGACAGAACAGTTTTGAAACACTCTTTTTGTGGAATCTGCAAGTGGCTATTTGGCTAGATTTGAGGATTTCGTTGGAAACGGGATTACATATAAAAAGCAGACAGCAGCATTCTCAGAAAGTTCTTTGTGATGATTGCATTCAAGTCACAGAATTGAACATTCCCTTTCACAGAGCAGGTTTGAAACACTCTTTTTGTAGTGTGTGTAAGTGGACATTTGGAGCACTTTCCGGCCTAAGGTGAAAAAGGAAATATCTTCCCATAAAAACTAGACAGAAGCACTCTCAGAAACTTACTCGTGATGTGTGTCCTCAACTAAAGGAGTAGAACCTTTCTTTTCATAGAGAAGTTTTGAAACGCTCTTTTTGTGGAATCTGCAAGTGGATATTTGGCTAGTTTGGAGGATTTCGTTGGAAGCGGGAATTCATACAAATTGCAGACTGCAGCGTTCTGAGAAACATCTTTGTGATGTTTGTATTCAGGACACAGAGTTGAACATTCCCTATCATAGAGCAGGTTTGAATCACTCCTTTTGTAGTATCTGGAAGTGGACATTTGGAGCGCTTTCAGGCCTATGTTGGAAAAGGAAATATCTTCCCATAACAACTAGACAGAAGCATTCTCAGAAACTTATTTGAGATGTGTGTACTCAACTAAGAGAATTGAACCACCGTTTTGAAGGAGCAGTTTTGAAACACTCTTTTCCTGGAATCTGCAAGTGGATATTTGGCTAGCTTTGGGGATTTCGCTGGAAGCGGGAATACATATAAAAAGCACACAGCAGCGTTCTGAGAAACTGCTTTCTGATGTTTGCATTCAAGTCAAAAGTTGAACACTCCCTTTCATAGAGCAGTCCTGAAACACTCCTTTTGTAGTATCTGGAACTGCACTTTTGGAGCGCTTTCAGGGCTAAGGTGAAAAAGGAAATATCTTCCCATAAAAACTGGACAGAAGCATTCTCAGAAACTTGTTTATGCTGTATCTACTCAACTAACAAAGTTGAACCTTTCTTTTGATAGAGCAGTTTTGAAATGCTCTTTTTGTGGAATCTGCAAGTGGATATTTGGCTAGTTTTGAGGATTTCGTTGGAAGCTGGAATTCATACAAATTGCAGACTGCAGCGTTCTGAGAAACATCTTTGTGATGTTTGTATTCAGGACACAGAGTTGAACATTCCCTATCATAGAGCAGGTTGGAATCACTCCTTTTGTAGTATCTGGAAGTGGACATTTGGAGCGCTTTCAGGCCTATTTTGGAAAGGGAAATATCTTCCCGTAACAACTATGCAGAAGCATTCTCAGAAACTTGTTTGTGATGTGTGCCCTCTACTGACAGAGTTGAACCTTTCTTTTCATAGAGCAGTTTTGAAACACTCTTTTTGTAGAATCTGCAAGAGGATATTTGCATAGCTTTGAGGATTTCGTGGGAAACGGGATTGTCTTCAGGTAAAATCTAGACAGAAGCATTCTCAGAAACTTCTTTGGGATGTTTGCATTCAAGTCACAGAGTAGAACATTCCCTTTGGTAGAGCAGGTTTGAAACACTCTTTTTGTAGTATCTGGAAGTGGACATTTGGAGCGCTTTCAGGCCCATGTTGGAAAGGGAAATATCTTCCCGTAACAACTAGGCAGAAGCATTCTCAGAAACTTATTTGAGATGTGTGTACTCAACTAAGAGAATTGAACCACCGTTTTGAAGGAGCAGTTTTGAAACACTCTTTTTCTGGAATCTGCAAGAGTATATTTGCCTAGCCTTGAGGATTTCGTTGGAAACGGGATTGTCTTCAGAGAAAATCTAGACAGAAGCATTCTCAGAAACTTCTTTGGGATGTTTGCATTCAAGTCACAGAGTAGAACATTCCCTTTGGTAGAGCAGGTTTGAAACACTCTTTTTTTAGTATATGGAAGTGGACATTTGGAGCGCTTTCAGGCCTACGTTGGAAAAGGAAATATCTTCCCATAACAACTAGACAGAAGCATTCTCAGAAACTAGTTTCTGATGTGTGTCCTCAACTAACACAGTTGAACATTTCTTTAGACAGAACAGTTTTGAAACACTCTTTTTGTCGAATCTGCAAGTGGCTATTTGGCTAGATTTGAGGATTTCGTTGGAAACGGGATTACATATACAAAGCAGACAGCAGCATTCTCAGAAAGTTCTTTGTGATGATTGCATTCAAGTCACAGAATTGAACATTCCCTTTCACAGAGCAGGTTTGAAACACTCTTTTTGTAGTGTGTGTAAGTGGACATTTGGAGCACTTACCGGCCTAAGGTGAAAAAGGAAATATCTTCCCATAAAAACTAGACAGAAGCATTCTCAGAAACTTACTCGTGATGTGTGTCCTCAACTAAAGGAGTAGAACCTTTCTTTTCATAGAGAAGTTTTGAAACGCTCTTTTTGTGGAATCTGCAAGTGGATATTTGGCTAGTTTTGAGGATTTCGTTGGAAGCGGGAATTCATACAAATTGCAGACTGCAGCGTTCTGAGAAACATCTTTGTGATGTTTGTATTCAGGACACAGAGTTGAACATTCCCTATCATAGAGCAGGTTTGAATCACTCCTTTTGTAGTATCTGGAAGTGGACATTTGGAGCGCTTTCAGGCCTATGTTGGAAAAGGAAATATCTTCCCATAACAACTAGACAGAAGCATTCTCAGAAACTTATTTGAGATGTGTGTACTCAACTAAGAGAATTGAACCACCGTTTTGAAGGAGCAGTTTTGAAACACTCTTTTTCTGGAATCTGCAAGTGGATATTTGGCTAGCTTTGGGGATTTCGCTGGAAGCGGGAATACATATAAAAAGCACACAGCAGCGTTCTGAGAAACTGCTTTCTGATGTTTGCATTCAAGTCAAAAGTTGAACACTCCCTTTCATAGAGCAGTTCTGAAACACTCCTTTTGTAGTATCTGGAACTGGACTTTTGGAGCGCTTTCAGGGCTAAGGTGAAAAAGGAAATATCTTCCCATAAAAACTGGACAGAAGCATTCTCAGAAACTTGTTTATGCTGTATCTACTCAACTAACAAAGTTGAACCTTTCTTTTGATAGAGCAGTTTTGAAATGCTCTTTTTGTGGAATCTGCAAGTGGATATTTGGCTAGTTTTGAGGATTTCGTTGGAAGCGGGAATTCATACAAATTGCAGACTGCAGCGTTCTGAGAAACATCTTTGTGATGTTTGTATTCAGGACAGAGAGTTGAACATTCCCTATCATAGAGCAGGTTGGAATCACTCCTTTTGTAGTATCTGGAAGTGGACATTTGGAGCGCTTTCAGGCCTATGTTGAAAAAGGAAATATCTTCCCATAACAACTAGACACAAGCATTCTCAGAAACTTGTTTGTGATGTGTGCCCTCTACTGACAGAGTTGAACCTTTCTTTTCATAGAGCAGTTTTGAAACACTCTTTTTGTAGAATCTGCAAGAGGATATTTGCATAGCTTTGAGGATTTCGTGGGAAACGGGATTGTCTTCAGGTAAAATCTAGACAGAAGCATTCTCAGAAACTTCTTTGGGATGTTTGCATTCAAGTCACAGAGTAGAACATTCCCTTTGGTAGAGCAGGTTTGAAACACTCTTTTTGTAGTATCTGGAAGTGGACATTTGGAGCGCTTTCAGGCCTATGTTGGAAAAGGAAATATCTTCCCATAACAACTAGACAGAAGCATTCTCAGAAACTAGTTTCTGATGTGTGTCCTCAACTAACACAGTTGAACATTTCTTTAGACAGAACAGTTTTGAAACTCTCTTTTTGTGGAATCTGCAAGTGGCTATTTGGCTAGATTTGAGGATTTCGTTGGAAACGGGATTACATATAAAAAGCAGACAGCAGCATTCTCAGAAAGTTCTTTGTGATGATTGCATTCAAGTCACAGAATTGAACATTCCCTTTCACAGAGCAGGTTTGAAACACTCTTTTTATAGTGTGTGTAAGTGGACATTTGGAGCACTTTCCGGCCTAAGGTGAAAAAGGAAATATCTTCCCATAAAAACTAGACAGAAGCATTCTCAGAAACTTACTCGTGATGTGTGTCCTCAACTAAAGGAGTAGAACCTTTCTTTCATAGAGAAGTTTTGAAACGCTCTTTTTGTGGAATCTGCAAGTGGATATTTGGCTAGTTTGGAGGATTTCGTTGGAAGCGGGAATTCATACAAATTGCAGACTGCAGCGTTCTGAGAAACATCTTTGTGATGTTTGTATACAGGACACAGAGTTGAACATTCCCTATCATAGAGCAGGTTGGAATCACTCCTTTTGTAGTATCTGGAAGTGGACATTTGGAGCGCTTTCAGGCCTATGTTGGAAAAGGAAATATCTTCCCATAACAACTAGACAGAAGCATTCTCAGAAACTTATTTGAGATGTGTGTACTCAACTAAGAGAATTGAACCACCGTTTTGAAGGAGCAGTTTTGAAACACTCTTTTTCTGGAATCTGCAAGTGGATATTTGGCTAGCTTTGGGGATTTCGCTGGAAGCGGGAATACATATAAAAAGCACACAGCAGCGTTCTGAGAAACTGCTTTCTGATGTTTGCATTCAAGTCAAAAGTTGAACCCTCCCTTTCATAGTGCAGTCCTGAAACACTCCTTTTGTAGTATCTGGAACTGGACTTTTGGAGCGCTTTCAGGGCTAAGGTGAAAAAGGAAATATCTTCCCATAAAAACTGGACAGAAGCATTCTCAGAAACTTGTTTATGCTGTATCTACTCAACTAACAAAGTTGAACCTTTCTTTTGATAGAGCAGTTTTGAAATGCTCTTTTTGTGGAATCTGCAAGTGGATATTTGGCTAGTTTTGAGGATTTCGTTGGAAGCGGGAATTCATACAAATTGCAGACTGCAGCGTTCTGAGAAACATCTTTGTGATGTTTGTATTCAGGACAGAGAGTTGAACATTCCCTATCATAGAGCAGGTTGGAATCACTCCTTTTGTAGTATCTGGAAGTGGACATTTGGAGCGCTTTCAGGCCTATGTTGAAAAAGGAAATATCTTCCCATAACAACTAGACACAAGCATTCTCAGAAACTTGTTTGTGATGTGTGCCCTCTACTGACAGAGTTGAACCTTTCTTTTCATAGAGCAGTTTTGAAACACTCTTTTTGTAGAATCTGCAAGAGGATATTTGCATAGTTTTGAGGATTTCGTGAGAAACGGGATTGTCTTCAGGTAAAATCTAGACAGAAGCATTCTCAGAAACTTCTTTGGGATGTTTGCATTCAAGTCACAGAGTAGAACATTCCCTTTGGTAGAGCAGGTTTGAAACACTCTTTTTGTAGTATCTGGAAGTGGACATTTGGAGCGCTTTCAGGCCCATGTTGGAAAGGGAAATATCTTCCCGTAACAACTAGGCAGAAGCATTCTCAGAAACTTATTTGAGATGTGTGTACTCAACTAAGAGAATTGAACCACCGTTTTGAAGGAGCAGTTTTGAAACACTCTTTTTCTGGAATCTGCAAGAGTATATTTGCCTAGCCTTGAGGATTTCGTTGGAAACGGGATTGTCTTCAGAGAAAATCTAGACAGAAGCATTCTCAGAAACTTCTTTGGGATGTTTGCATTCAAGTCACAGAGTAGAACATTCCCTTTGGTAGAGCAGGTTTGAAACACTCTTTTTGTAGTATCTGGAAGTGGACATTTGGAGCGCTTTCAGGCCTACGTTGGAAAAGGAAATATCTTCCCATAACAACTAGACAGAAGCATTCTCAGAAACTAGTTTCTGATGTGTGTCCTCAACTAACACAGTTGAACATTTCTTTAGACAGAACAGTTTTGAAACACTCTTTTTGTGGAATCTGCAAGTGGCTATTTGGCTAGATTTGAGGATTTCGTTGGAAACGGGATTACATATAAAAAGCAGTCAGCAGCATTCTCAGAAACTTGTTTGTGATGATTGCATTCAAGTCACAGAATTGAACATTCCCTTTCACAGAGCAGGTTTGAAACACTCTTTTTGTAGTGTGTGTAAGTGGACAGTTGGAGCGCTTTCCGGCCTAAGGTGAACAAGGAAATATCTTCCCATAAAAACTAGACAGAAGCATTCTCAGAAACTTACTCGTGATGTGTGTCCTCAACTAAAGGAGTAGAACCTTTCTTTTCATAGAGAAGTTTTGAAACGCTCTTTTTGTGGAATCTGCAAGTGGATATTTGGCTAGTTTGGAGGATTTCGTTGGAAGCGGGAATTCATACAAATTGCAGACTGCAGCGTTCTGAGAAACATCTTTGTGATGTTTGTATTCAGGACACAGAGTTGAACATTCCCTATCATAGAGCAGGTTGGAATCACTCCTTTTGTAGTATCTGGAAGTGGACATTTGGAGCGCTTTCAGGCCTATGTTGGAAAAGGAAATATCTTCCCATAACAACTAGACAGAAGCATTCTCAGAAACTTATTTGAGATGTGTGTACTCAACTAAGAGAATTGAACCACCGTTTTGAAGGAGCAGTTTTGAAACTCTCTTTTTCTGGAATCTGCAAGTGGATATTTGGCTAGCTTTGGGGATTTCGCTGGAAGCGGGAATACATATAAAAAGCACACAGCAGCGTTCTGAGAAACTGCTTTCTGATGTTTGCATTCAAGTCAAAAGTTGAACACTCCCTTTCATAGAGCAGTCTTGAAACACCCCTTTTGTAGTATCTGGAACTGGACTTTTGGAGCGATTTCAGGGCTAAGGTGAAAAAGGAAATATCTTCCCATAAAAACTGGACAGAAGCATTCTCAGAAACTTGTTTATGCTGTATCTACTCAACTAACAAAGTTGAACCTTTCTTTTGATAGAGCAGTTTTGAAATGGTCTTTTTGTGGAATCTGCAAGTGGATATTTGGCTAGTTTTGAGGATTTCGTTGGAAGCGGGAATTCATACAAATTGCAGACTGCAGCGTTCTGAGAAATATCTTTGTGATGTTTGTATTCAGGACACAGAGTTGAACATTCCCTATCATAGAGCAGGTTGGAATCACTCCTTTTGTAGTATCTGGAAGTGTACATTTGGAGCGCTTTCAGGCCTATGTTGAAAAAGGAAATATCTTCCCATAACAACTAGACACAAGCATTCTCAGAAACTTGTTTGTGATGTGTGCCCTCTACTGACAGAGTTGAACCTTTCTTTTCATAGAGCAGTTTTGAAACACTCTTTTTGTAGAATCTGCAAGAGGATATTTGCATAGCTTTGAGGATTTCGTGGGAAACGGGATTGTCTTCAGGTAAAATCTAGACAGAAGCATTCTCAGAAACTTCTTTGGGATGTTTGCATTCAAGTCACAGAGTAGAACATTCCCTTTGGTAGAGCAGGTTTGAAACACTCTTTTTGTAGTATCTGGAAGTGGACATTTGGAGCGCTTTCAGGCCCATGTTGGAAAGGGAAATATCTTCCCGTAACAACTAGGCAGAAGCATTCTCAGAAACTTATTTGAGATGTGTGTACTCAACTAAGAGAATTGAACCACCGTTTTGAAGGAGCAGTTTTGAAACACTCTTTTTCTGGAATCTGCAAGAGGATATTGGCCTAGCCTTGAGGATTTCGTTGGAAACGGGATTGTCTTCAGAGAAAATCTAGACAGAAGCATTCTCAGAAACTTCTTTGGGATGTTTGCATTCAAGTCACAGAGTAGAACATTCCCTTTGGTAGAGCAGGTTTGAAACACTCTTTTTTTAGTATATGGAAGTGGACATTTGGAGCGCTTTCAGGCCTACGTTGGAAAAGGAAATATCTTCCCATAACAACTAGACAGAAGCATTCTCAGAAACTAGTTTCTGATGTGTGTCCTCAACTAACACAGTTGAACATTTCTTTAGACAGAACAGTTTTGAAACTCTCTTTTTGTGGAATCTGCAAGTGGCTATTTGGCTAGATTTGAGGATTTCGTTGGAAACGGGATTACATATAAAAAGCAGACAGCAGCATTCTCAGAAAGTTCTTTGTGATGATTGCATTCAAGTCACAGAATTGAACATTCCCTTTCACAGAGCAGGTTTGAAACACTCTTTTTGTAGTGTGTGTAAGTGGACATTTGGAGCACTTTCCGGCCTAAGGTGAAAAAGGAAATATCTTCCCATAAAAACTAGACAGAAGCATTCTCAGAAACTTACTCGTGATGTGTGTCCTCAACTAAAGGAGTAGAACCTTTCTTTTCATAGAGAAGTTTTGAAACGCTCTTTTTGTGGAATCTGCAAGTGGATATTTGGCTAGTTTGGAGGATTTCGTTGGAAGCGGGAATTCATACAAATTGCAGACTGCAGCGTTCTGAGAAACATCTTTGTGATGTTTGTATTCAGGACACAGAGTTGAACATTCCCTATCATAGAGCAGGTTGGAATCACTCCTTTTGTAGTATCTGGAAGTGGACATTTGGAGTGCTTTCAGGCCTATGTTGGAAAAGGAAATATCTTCCCATAACAACTAGACAGAAGCATTCTCAGAAACTTATTTGAGATGTGTGTACTCAACTAAGAGAATTGAACCACCGTTTTGAAGGAGCAGTTTTGAAACACTCTTTTTCTGGAATCTGCAAGTGGATATTTGGCTAGCTTTGGGGATTTCGCTGGAGGCGGGAATACAAATAAAAAGCACACAGCAGCGTTCTGAGAAACTGCTTTCTGATGTTTGCATTCAAGTCAAAAGTTGAACACTCCCTTTCATAGAGCAGTCCTGAAACACTCCTTTTGTAGTATCTGGAACTGGACTTTTGGAGCGCTTTCAGGGCTAAGGTGAAAAAGGAAATATCTTCCCATAAAAACTGGACAGAAGCATTCTCAGAAACTTTTTTATGCTGTATCTACTCAACTAACAAAGTTGAACCTTTCTTTTGATAGAGCAGTTTTGAAATGCTCTTTTTGTGGAATCTGCAAGTGGATATTTGGCTAGTTTTGAGGATTTCGTTGGAAGCGGGAATTCATACAAATTGCAGACTGCAGCGTTCTGAGAAACATCTTTGTGATGTTTGTATTCAGGACAGAGAGTTGAACATTCCCTATCATAGAGCAGGTTGGAATCACTCCTTTTGTAGTATCTGGAAGTGGACATTTGGAGCGCTTTCTGGCCTATGTTGAAAAAGGAAATATCTTCCCATAACAACTAGACACAAGCATTCTCAGAAACTTGTTTGTGATGTGTGCCCTCTACTGACAGAGTTGAACCTTTCTTTTCATAGAGCAGTTTTGAAACACTCTTTTTGTAGAATCTGCAAGAGGATATTTGCATAGCTTTGAGGATTTCGTGGGAAACGGGATTGTCTTCAGGTAAAATCTAGACAGAAGCATTCTCAGAAACTTCTTTGGGATGTTTGCATCAAAGTCACAGAGTAGAACATTCCCTTTGGTAGAGCAGGTTTGAAACACTCTTTTTGTAGTATCTGGAAGTGGACATTTGGAGCGCTTTCAGGCCTATGTTGGAAAGGGAAATATCTTCCGGTAACAACTAGGCAGAAGCATTCTCAGAAACTTATTTGAGATGTGTGTACTCAACTAAGAGAATTGAACCACCGTTTTGAAGGAGCAGTTTTGAAACACTCTTTTTCTGGAATCTGCAAGAGTATATTTGCCTAGCCATGAGGATTTCGTTGGAAACGGGATTGTCTTCAGAGAAAATCTAGACAGAAGCATTCTCAGAAACTTCTTTGGGATGTTTGCATTCAAGTCACAGAGTAGAACATTCCCTTTGGTAGAGCAGGTTTGAAACACTCTTTTTTTAGTATATGGAAGTGGACATTTTGATCGCTTCAGGCCTACGTTGGAAAAGGAAATATCTTCCCATAACAACTAGACAGAAGCATTCTCAGAAACTAGTTTCTGATGTGTGTCCTCAACTAACACAGTTGAACATTTCTTTAGACAGAACAGTTTTGAAACACTCTTTTTGTGGAATCTGCAAGTGGCTATTTGGCTAGATTTGAGGATTTCGTTGGAAACGGGATTACATATAAAAAGCAGTCAGCAGCATTCTCAGAAAGTTCTTTGTGATGATTGCATTCAAGTCACAGAATTGAACATTCCCTTTCACAGAGCAGGTTTGAAACACTCTTTTTGTAGTGTGTGTAAGTGGACATTTGGAGCACTTACCGGCCTAAGGTGAAAAAGGAAATATCTTCCCATAAAAACTAGACAGAAGCATTCTCAGAAACTTACTCGTGATGTGTGTCCTCAACTAAAGGAGTAGAACCTTTCTTTTCATAGAGAAGTTTTGAAACGCTCTTTTTGTGGAATCTGCAAGTGGATATTTGGCTAGTTTTGAGGATTTCGTTGGAAGCGGGAATTCATACAAATTGCAGACTGCAGCGTTCTGAGAAACATCTTTGTGATGTTTGTATTCAGGACACAGAGTTGAACATTCCCTATCATAGAGCAGGTTGGAATCACTCCTTTTGTAGTATCTGGAAGTGGACATTTGGAGCGCTTTCAGGCCTATTTTGGAAAGGGAAATATCTTCCCGTAACAACTATGCAGAAGCATTCTCAGAAACTTATTTGAGATGTGTGTACTCAACTAAGAGAATTGAACCACCGTTTTGAAGGAGCAGTTTTGACACACTCTTTTTCTGGAATCTGCAAGTGGATATTTGGCTAGCTTTGGGGATTTCGCTGGAAGCGGGAATACATATAAAAAGCACACAGCAGCATTCTCAGAAACTTATTTGAGATGTGTGTACTCAACTAAGAGAATTGAACCACCGTTTTGAAGGAGCAGTTTTGAAACACTCTTTTTCTGGAATCTGCAAGTGGATATTTGGCTAGCTTTGGGGATTTCGCTGGAAGCGGGAATACATATAAAAAGCACACAGCAGCGTTCTGAGAAACTGCTTTCTGATGTTTGCATTCAAGTCAAAAGTTGAACACTCCCTTTCATAGAGCAGTCTTGAAACACCCCTTTTGTAGTATCTGGAACTGGACATTTGGAGCGCTTTCAGGGCTAAGGTGAAAAAGGAAATATCTTCCCATAAAAACTGGACAGAAGCATTCTCAGAAACTTGTTTATGCTGTATCTACTCAACTAACAAAGTTGAACCTTTCTTTTGATAGAGCAGTTTTGAAATGCTCTTTTTGTGGAATCTGCAAGTGGATATTTGGCTAGTTTTGAGGATTTCGCTGGAAGCGGGAATTCATACAAATTGCAGACTGCAGCGTTCTGTGAAACATCTTTGTGATGTTTGTATTCAGGACAGAGAGTTGAACATTCCCTATCATAGAGCAGGTTGGAATCACTCCTTTTGTAGTATCTGGAAGTGGACATTTGGAGCGCTTTCAGGCCTATGTTGAAAAAGGAAATATCTTCCCATAACAACTAGACACAAGCATTCTCAGAAACTTATTTGAGATGTGTGTACTCAACTAAGAGAATTGAACCACCGTTTTGAAGGAGCAGTTTTGAAACACCCTTTTTCTGGAATCTGCAAGTGGATATTTGGCTAGCTTTGGGGATTTCGCTGGAAGCGGGAATACATATAAAAAGCACACAGCAGCGTTCTGAGAAACTGCTTTCTGATGTTTGCATTCAAGTCAAAAGTTGAACACTCCCTTTCATAGTGCAGTCTGAAACACTCCTTTTGTAGTATCTGGAACTGGACTTTTGGAGCGCTTTCAGGGCTAAGGTGAAAAAGGAAATATCTTCCCATAAAAACTGGACAGAAGCATTCTCAGAAACTTGTTTATGCTGTATCTACTCAACTAACAAAGTTGAACCTTTCTTTTGATAGAGCAGTTTTGAAATGCTCTTTTTGTGGAATCTGCAAGTGGATATTTGGCTAGTTTTGAGGATTTCGTTGGAAGCGGGAATTCATACAAATTGCAGACTGCAGCGTTCTGAGAAACATCTTTGTGATGTTTGTATTCAGGACAGAGAGTTGAACATTCCCTATCATAGAGCAGGTTGGAATCACTCCTTTTGTAGTATCTGGAAGTGGACATTTGGAGCGCTTTCAGGCCTATGTTGAAAAAGGAAATATCTTCCCATAACAACTAGACACAAGCATTCTCAGAAACTTGTTTGTGATGTGTGCCCTCTACTGACAGAGTTGAACCTTTCTTTTCATAGAGCAGTTTTGAAACACTCTTTTTGTAGAATCTGCAAGAGGATATTAGCATAGCTTTGAGGATTTCGTGGGAAACGGGATTGTCTTCAGGTAAAATCTAGACAGAAGCATTCTCAGAAACTTCTTTGGGATGTTTGCATTCAAGTCACAGAGTAGAACATTCCCTTTGGTAGAGCAGGTTTGAAACACTCTTTTTGTAGTATCTGGAAGTGGACATTTGGAGCGCTTTCAGGCCCATGTTGGAAAGGGAAATATCTTCCCGTAACAACTAGGCAGAAGCATTCTCAGAAACTTATTTGAGATGTGTGTACTCAACTAAGAGAATTGAACCACCGTTTTGAAGGAGCAGTTTTGAAACACTCTTTTTCTGGAATCTGCAAGAGTATATTTGCCTAGCCTTGAGGATTTCGTTGGAAACGGGATTGTCTTCAGAGAAAATCTAGACAGAAGCATTCTCAGAAACTTCTTTGGGATGTTTGCATTCAAGTCACAGAGTAGAACATTCCCTTTGGTAGAGCAGGTTTGAAACACTCTTTTTTTAGTATATGGAAGTGGACATTTGGAGCGCTTTC
Organism: Homo sapiens; assembly: GCF_000001405.40. NCBI lineage: Eukaryota > Metazoa > Chordata > Mammalia > Primates > Hominidae > Homo > Homo sapiens. The sequence goes on from NC_000018.10 coordinate 16,499,121, forward strand.
AGGCCTACGTTGGAAAAGGAAATATCTTCCCATAACAACTAGACAGAAGCATTCTCAGAAACTAGTTTCTGATGTGTGTCCTCAACTAACACAGTTGAACATTTCTTTAGACAGAACAGTTTTGAAACACTCTTTTTGTGGAATCTGCAAGTGGCTATTTGGCTAGATTTGAGGATTTCGTTGGAAACGGGATTACATATAAAAAGCAGTCAGCAGCATTCTCAGAAAGTTCTTTGTGATGATTGCATTCAAGTCACAGAATTGAACATTCCCTTTCACAGAGCAGGTTTGAAACACTCTTTTTGTAGTGTGTGTAAGTGGACATTTGGAGCACTTACCGGCCTAAGGTGAAAAAGGAAATATCTTCCCATAAAAACTAGACAGAAGCATTCTCAGAAACTTACTCGTGATGTGTGTCCTCAACTAAAGGAGTAGAACCTTTCTTTTCATAGAGAAGTTTTGAAACGCTCTTTTTGTGGAATCTGCAAGTGGATATTTGGCTAGTTTTGAGGATTTCGTTGGAAGCGGGAATTCATACAAATTGCAGACTGCAGCGTTCTGAGAAACATCTTTGTGATGTTTGTATTCAGGACACAGAGTTGAACATTCCCTATCATAGAGCAGGTTGGAATCACTCCTTTTGTAGTATCTGGAAGTGGACATTTGGAGCGCTTTCAGGCCTATGTTGGAAAAGGAAATATCTTCCCATAACAACTAGACAGAAGCATTCTCAGAAACTTATTTGAGATGTGTGTACTCAACTAAGAGAATTGAACCACCGTTTTGAAGGAGCAGTTTTGAAACTCTCTTTTTCTGGAATCTGCAAGTGGATATTTGGCTAGCTTTGGAGATTTCGCTGGAAGCGGGAATACATATAAAAAGCACACAGCAGCGTTCTGAGAAACTGCTTTCTGATGTTTGCATTCAAGTCAAAAGTTGAACACTCCCTTTCATAGAGCAGTCTTGAAACACCCCTGTTGTAGTATCTGGAACTGGACTTTTGGAGCGATTTCAGGGCTAAGGTGAAAAAGGAAACATCTTCCCATAAAAACTGGACAGAAGCATTCTCAGAAACTTGTTTATGCTGTATCTACTCAACTAACAAAGTTGAACCTTTCTTTTGATAGAGCAGTTTTGAAATGGTCTTTTTGTGGAATCTGCAAGTGGATATTTGGCTAGTTTTGAGGATTTCGTTGGAAGCGGGAATTCATACAAATTGCAGACTGCAGCGTTCTGAGAAACATCTTTGTGATGTTTGTATTCAGGACACAGAGTTGAACATTCCCTATCATAGAGCAGGTTGGAATCACTCCTTTTGTAGTATCTGGAAGTGGACATTTGGAGCGCTTTCAGGCCTATTTTGGAAAGGGAAATATCTTCCCGTAACAACTATGCAGAAGCATTCTCAGAAACTTGTTTGTGATGTGTGCCCTCTACTGACAGAGTTGAACCTTTCTTTTCATAGAGCAGTTTTGAAACACTCTTTTTGTAGAATCTGCAAGAGGATATTTGCATAGCTTTGAGGATTTCGTGGGAAACGGGATTGTCTTCAGGTAAAAATCTAGACAGAAGCATTCTCAGAAACTTCTTTGGGATGTTTGCATTCAAGTCACAGAGTAGAACATTCCCTTTGGTAGAGCAGGTTTGAAACACTCTTTTTATAGTATCTGGAAGTGGACATTTGGAGCGCTTTCAGGCCTATGTTGGAAAGGGAAATATACTTCCCGTAACAACTAGGCAGAAGCATTCTCAGAAACTTATTTGAGATGTGTGTACTCAACTAAGAGAATTGAACCACCGTTTTGAAGGAGCAGTTTTGAAACACTCTTTTTCTGGAATCTGCAAGAGGATATTTGCCTAGCCTTGAGGATTTCGTTGGAAACGGGATTGTCTTCAGATCAAATCTAGACAGAAGCATTCTCAGAAACTTCTTTGGGATGTTTGCATTCAAGTCACAGAGTAGAACATTCCCTTTGGTAGAGCAGGTTTGAAACACTCTTTTTGTAGTATCTGGAAGTGGACATTTGGAGCGCTTTCAGGCCTATGTTGGAAAGGGAAATATCTTCCCGTAACAACTAGGCAGAAGCATTCTCAGAAACTTATTTGAGATGTGTGTACTCAACTAAGAGAATTGAACCACCGTTTTGAAGGAGCAGTTTTGAAACACTCTTTTTCTGGAATCTGCAAGAGGATATTTGCCTAGCCTTGAGGATTTCGTTGGAAACGGGATTGTCTTCATATCAAATCTAGACAGAAGCATTCTCAGAAACTTCTTTGGGATGTTTGCATTCAAGTCACAGAGTAGAACATTCCCTTTGGTTGAGCAGGTTTGAAACACTCTTTTTTTAGTATATGGAAGTGGACATTTGGAGCGCTTTCAGGTCTACGTTGGAAAAGGAAATATCTTCCCATAACAACTAGACAGAAGCATTCTCAGAAACTAGTTTCTGATGTGTGTCCTCAACTAACACAGTTGAACATTTCTTTAGACAGAACAGTTTTGAAACACTCTTTTTGTGGAATCTGCAAGTGGCTATTTGGCTAGATTTGAGGATTTCGTTGGAAACGGGATTACATATAAAAAGCAGACAGCAGCATTCTCAGAAAGTTCTTTGTGATGATTGCATTCAAGTCACAGAATTGAACATTCCCTTTCACAGAGCAGGTTTGAAACACTCTTTTTGTAGTGTGTGTAAGTGGACATTTGGAGCACTTTCCGGCCTAAGGTGAAAAAGGAAATATCTTCCCTTAAAAACTAGACAGATAAGCATTCTCAGCAAACTTACTCGTGATGTGTGTCCTCAACTAAAGGAGTAGAACCTTTCTTTTCATAGAGAAGTTTTGAAACGCTCTTTTTGTGGAATCTGCAAGTGGATATTTGGCTAGTTTTGAGGATTTCGTTGGAAGCGGGAATTCATACAAATTGCAGACTGCAGCGTTCTGAGAAACATCTTTGTGATGTTTGTATTCAGGACACAGAGTTGAACATTCCCTATCATAGAGCAGGTTGGAATCACTCCTTTTGTAGTATCTGGAAGTGGACATTTGGAGCGCTTTCAGGCCTATGTTGGAAAAGGAAATATCTTCCCATAACAACTAGACAGAAGCATTCTCAGAAACTTATTTGAGATGTGTGTACTCAACTAAGAGAATTGAACCACCGTTTTGAAGGAGCAGTTTTGAAACTCTCTTTTTCTGGAATCTGCAAGTGGATATTTGGCTAGCTTTGGGGATTTCGCTGGAAGCGGGAATACATATAAAAAGCACACAGCAGCGTTCTGAGAAACTGCTTTCTGATGTTTGCATTCAAGTCAAAAGTTGAACACTCCCTTTCATAGAGCAGTCTTGAAACACCCCTTTTGTAGTATCTGGAACTGGACTTTTGGAGCGATTTCAGGGCTAAGGTGAAAAAGGAAATATCTTCCCATAAAAACTGGACAGAAGCATTCTCAGAAACTTGGTTATGCTGTATCTACTCAACTAACAAAGTTGAACCTTTCTTTTGATAGAGCAGTTTTGAAATGGTCTTTTTGTGGAATCTGCAAGTGGATATTTGGCTAGTTTTGAGGATTTCGTTGGAAGCGGGAATTCATACAAATTGCAGACTGCAGCGTTCTGAGAAACATCTTTGTGATGTTTGTATTCAGGACACAGAGATGAAAATTCCCTATCATAGAGCAGGTTGGAATCACTCCTTTTGTAGTATCTGGAAGTGGACATTTGGAGCGCTTTCAGGCCTATGTTGAAAAAGGAAATATCTTCCCATAACAACTAGACACAAGCATTCTCAGAAACTTGTTTGTGATGTGTGCCCTCTACTGACAGAGTTGAACCTTTCTTTTCATAGAGCAGTTTTGAAACACTCTTTTTGTAGAATCTGCAAGAGGATATTTGCATAGCTTTGAGGATTTCGTGGGAAACGGGATTGTCTTCAGGTAAAATCTAGACAGAAGCATTCTCAGAAACTTCTTTGGGATGTTTGCATTCAAGTCACAGAGTAGAACATTCCCTTTGGTAGAGCAGGTTTGAAACACTCTTTTTGTAGTATCTGGAAGTGGACATTTGGAGCGCTTTCAGGCCCATGTTGGAAAGGGAAATATCTTCCCGTAACAACTAGGCAGAAGCATTCTCAGAAACTTATTTGAGATGTGTGTACTCAACTAAGAGAATTGAACCACCGTTTTGAAGGAGCAGTTTTGAAACACTCTTTTTCTGGAATCTGCAAGAGGATATTTGCCTAGCCTTGAGGATTTCGTTGGAAACGGGATTGTCTTCAGATCAAATCTAGACAGAAGCATTCTCAGAAACTTCTTTGGGATGCTTGCATTCAAGTCACAGAGTAGAACATTCCCTTTGGTAGAGCAGGTTTGAAACACTCTTTTTGTAGTATCTGGAAGTGGACATTTGGAGCGCTTTCAGGCCTACGTTGGAAAAGGAAATATCTTCCCATAACAACTAGACAGAAGCATTCTCAGAAACTAGTTTCTGATGTGTGTCCTCAACTAACACAGTTGAACATTTCTTTAGACAGAACAGTTTTGAAACACTCTTTTTGTGGAATCTGCAAGTGGCTATTTGGCTAGATTTGAGGATTTCGTTGGAAACGGGATTACATATAAAAAGCAGTCAGCGGCATTCTCAGAAAGTTCTTTGTGATGATTGCATTCAAGTCACAGAATTGAACATTCCCTTTCACAGAGCAGGTTTGAAACACTCTTTTTGTAGTGTGTGTAAGTGGACATTTGGAGCACTTACCGGCCTAAGGTGAAAAAGGAAATATCTTCCCATAAAAACTAGACAGAAGCATTCTCAGAAACTTACTCGTGATGTGTGTCCTCAACTAAAGGAGTAGAACCTTTCTTTTCATAGAGAAGTTTTGAAACGCTCTTTTTGTGGAATCTGCAAGTGGATATTTGGCTAGTTTTGAGGATTTCGTTGGAAGCGGGAATTCATACAAATTGCAGACTGCAGCGTTCTGAGAAACATCTTTGTGATGTTTGTATTCAGGACACAGAGTTGAACATTCCCTATCATAGAGCAGGTTGGAATCACTCCTTTTGTAGTATCTGGAAGTGGACATTTGGAGCGCTTTCAGGCCTATGTTGGAAAAGGAAATATCTTCCCATAACAACTAGACAGAAGCATTCTCAGAAACTTATTTGAGATGTGTGTACTCAACTAAGAGAATTGAACCACCGTTTTGAAGGAGCAGTTTTGAAACTCTCTTTTTCTGGAATCTGCAAGTGGATATTTGGCTAGCTTTGGGGATTTCGCTGGAAGCGGGAATACATATAAAAAGCACACAGCAGCGTTCTGAGAAACTGCTTTCTGATGTTTGCATTCAAGTCAAAAGTTGAACACTCCCTTTCATAGAGCAGTCTTGAAACACCCCTGTTGTAGTATCTGGAACTGGACTTTTGGAGCGATTTCAGGGCTAAGGTGAAAAAGGAAACATCTTCCCATAAAAACTGGACAGAAGCATTCTCAGAAACTTGTTTATGCTGTATCTACTCAACTAACAAAGTTGAACCTTTCTTTTGATAGAGCAGTTTTGAAATGGTCTTTTTGTGGAATCTGCAAGTGGATATTTGGCTAGTTTTGAGGATTTCGTTGGAAGCGGGAATTCATACAAATTGCAGACTGCAGCGTTCTGAGAAACATCTTTGTGATGTTTGTATTCAGGACACAGAGTTGAACATTCCCTATCATAGAGCAGGTTGGAATCACTCCTTTTGTAGTATCTGGAAGTGGACATTTGGAGCGCTTTCAGGCCTATTTTGGAAAGGGAAATATCTTCCCGTAACAACTATGCAGAAGCATTCTCAGAAACTTGTTTGTGATGTGTGCCCTCTACTGACAGAGTTGAACCTTTCTTTTCATAGAGCAGTTTTGAAACACTCTTTTTGTAGAATCTGCAAGAGGATATTTGCATAGCTTTGAGGATTTCGTGGGAAACGGGATTGTCTTCAGGTAAAATCTAGACAGAAGCATTCTCAGAAACTTCTTTGGGATGTTTGCATTCAAGTCACAGAGTAGAACATTCCCTTTGGTAGAGCAGGTTTGAAACACTCTTTTTGTAGTATCTGGAAGTGGACATTTGGAGCGCTTTCAGGCCCATGTTGGAAAGGGAAATATCTTCCCGTAACAACTAGGCAGAAGCATTCTCAGAAACTTATTTGAGATGTGTGTACTCAACTAAGAGAATTGAACCACCGTTTTGAAGGAGCAGTTTTGAAACACTCTTTTTCTGGAATCTGCAAGAGTATATTTGCCTAGCCTTGAGGATTTCGTTGGAAACGGGATTGTCTTCAGAGAAAATCTAGACAGAAGCATTCTCAGAAACTTCTTTGGGATGTTTGCATTCAAGTCACAGAGTAGAACATTCCCTTTGGTAGAGCAGGTTTGAAACACTCTTTTTTTAGTATATGGAAGTGGACATTTGGATCGCTTTCAGGCCTACGTTGGAAAAGGAAATATCTTCCCATAACAACTAGACAGAAGCATTCTCAGAAACTAGTTTCTGATGTGTGTCCTCAACTAACACAGTTGAACATTTCTTTAGACAGAACAGTTTTGAAACACTCTTTTTGTGGAATCTGCAAGTGGCTATTTGGCTAGATTTGAGGATTTCGTTGGAAACGGGATTACATATAAAAAGCAGTCAGCAGCATTCTCAGAAAGTTCTTTGTGATGATTGCATTCAAGTCACAGAATTGAACATTCCCTTTCACAGAGCAGGTTTGAAACACTCTTTTTGTAGTGTGTGTAAGTGGACATTTGGAGCACTTACCGGCCTAAGGTGAAAAAGGAAATATCTTCCCATAAAAACTAGACAGATAAGCATTCTCAGAAACTTACTCGTGATGTGTGTCCTCAACTAAAGGAGTAGAACCTTTCTTTTCATAGAGAAGTTTTGAAACGCTCTTTTTGTGGAATCTGCAAGTGGATATTTGGCTAGTTTGGAGGATTTCGTTGGAAGCGGGAATTCATACAAATTGCAGACTGCAGCGTTCTGAGAAACATCTTTGTGATGTTTGTATTCAGGACACAGAGTTGAACATTCCCTATCATAGAGCAGGTTTGAATCACTCCTTTTGTAGTATCTGGAAGTGGACATTTGGAGCGCTTTCAGGCCTATGTTGGAAAAGGAAATATCTTCCCATAACAACTAGACAGAAGCATTCTCAGAAACTTATTTGAGATGTGTGTACTCAACTAAGAGAATTGAACCACCGTTTTGAAGGAGCAGTTTTGAAACTCTCTTTTTCTGGAATCTGCAAGTGGATATTTGGCTAGCTTTGGGGATTTCGCTGGAAGCGGGAATACATATAAAAAGCACACAGCAGCGTTCTGAGAAACTGCTTTCTGATGTTTGCATTCAAGTCAAAAGTTGAACACTCCCTTTCATAGAGCAGTCCTGAAACACCCCTTTTGTAGTATCTGGAACTGGACTTTTGGAGCGATTTCAGGGCTAAGGTGAAAAAGGAAATATCTTCCCATAAAAACTGGACAGAAGCATTCTCAGAAACTTGTTTATGCTGTAACTACTCAACTAACAAAGTTGAACCTTTCTTTTGATAGAGCAGTTTTGAAATGGTCTTTTTGTGGAATCTGCAAGTGGATATTTGGCTAGTTTTGAGGATTTCGTTGGAAGCGGGAATTCATACAAATTGCAGACTGCAGCGTTCTGAGAAACATCTTTGTGATGTTTGTATTCAGGACACAGAGTTGAACATTCCCTATCATAGAGCAGGTTGGAATCACTCCTTTTGTAGTATCTGGAAGTGGACATTTGGAGCGCTTTCAGGCCTATTTTGGAAAGGGAAATATCTTCCCGTAACAACTATGCAGAAGCATTCTCAGAAACTTGTTTGTGATGTGTGCCCTCTACTGACAGAGTTGAACCTTTCTTTTCATAGAGCAGTTTTGAAACACTCTTTTTGTAGAATCTGCAAGAGGATATTTGCATAGCTTTGAGGATTTCGTGGGAAACGGGATTGTCTTCAGGTAAAATCTAGACAGAAGCATTCTCAGAAACTTCTTTGGGATGTTTGCATTCAAGTCACAGAGTAGAACATTCCCTTTGGTAGAGCAGGTTTGAAACACTCTTTTTGTAGTATCTGGAAGTGGACATTTGGAGCGCTTTCAGGCCCATGTTGGAAAGGGAAATATCTTCCCGTAACAACTAGGCAGAAGCATTCTCAGAAACTTATTTGAGATGTGTGTACTCAACTAAGAGAATTGAACCACCGTTTTGAAGGAGCAGTTTTGAAACACTCTTTTTCTGGAATCTGCAAGAGTATATTTGCCTAGCCTTGAGGATTTCGTTGGAAACGGGATTGTCTTCAGAGAAAATCTAGACAGAAGCATTCTCAGAAACTTCTTTGGGATGTTTGCATTCAAGTCACAGAGTAGAACATTCCCTTTGGTAGAGCAGGTTTGAAACACTCTTTTTTTAGTATATGGAAGTGGACATTTGGAGCGCTTTCAGGCCTACGTTGGAAAAGGAAATATCTTCCCATAACAACTAGACAGAAGCATTCTCAGAAACTAGTTTCTGATGTGTGTCCTCAACTAACACAGTTGAACATTTCTTTAGACAGAACAGTTTTGAAACTCTCTTTTTGTGGAATCTGCAAGTGGCTATTTGGCTAGATTTGAGGATTTCGTTGGAAACGGGATTACATATAAAAAGCAGACAGCAGCATTCTCAGAAAGTTCTTTGTGATGATTGCATTCAAGTCACAGAATTGAACATTCCCTTTCACAGAGCAGGTTTGAAACACTCTTTTTGTAGTGTGTGTAAGTGGACATTTGGAGCACTTTCCGGCCTAAGGTGAAAAAGGAAATATCTTCCCATAAAAACTAGACAGAAGCATTCTCAGAAACTTACTCGTGATGTGTGTCCTCAACTAAAGGAGTAGAACCTTTCTTTTCATAGAGAAGTTTTGAAACGCTCTTTTTGTGGAATCTGCAAGTGGATATTTGGCTAGTTTGGAGGATTTCGTTGGAAGCGGGAATTCATACAAATTGCAGACTGCAGCGTTCTGAGAAACATCTTTGTGATGTTTGTATTCAGGACACAGAGTTGAACATTCCCTATCATAGAGCAGGTTGGAATCACTCCTTTTGTAGTATCTGGAAGTGGACATTTGGAGCGCTTTCAGGCCTATGTTGGAAAAGGAAATATCTTCCCATAACAACTAGACAGAAGCATTCTCAGAAACTTATTTGAGATGTGTGTACTCAACTAAGAGAATTGAACCACCGTTTTGAAGGAGCAGTTTTGAAACACTCTTTTTCTGGAATCTGCAAGTGGATATTTGGCTAGCTTTGGGGATTTCGCTGGAGGCGGGAATACATATAAAAAGCACACAGCAGCGTTCTGAGAAACTGCTTTCTGATGTTTGCATTCAAGTCAAAAGTTGAACACTCCCTTTGATAGAGCAGTCCTGAAACACTCCTTTTGTAGTATCTGGAACTGGACTTTTGGAGCGCTTTCAGGGCTAAGTTGAAAAAGGAAATATCTTCCCATAAAAACTGGACAGAAGCATTCTCAGAAACTTGTTTATGCTGTATCTACTCAACTAACAAAGTTGAACCTTTCTTTTGATAGAGCAGTTTTGAAATGCTCTTTTTGTGGAATCTGCAAGTGGATATTTGGCTAGTTTTGAGGATTTCGTTGGAAGCGGGAATTCATACAAATTGCAGACTGCAGCGTTCTGAGAAACATCTTTGTGATGTTTGTATGCAGGACAGGGGAGTTGAACATTCCCTATCATAGAGCAGGTTGGAATCACTCCTTTTGTAGTATCTGGAAGTGGACATTTGGAGCGCTTTCTGGCCTATGTTGAAAAAGGAAATATCTTCCCATAACAACTAGACACAAGCATTCTCAGCAAACTTGTTTGTGATGTGTGCCCTCTACTGACAGAGTTGAACCTTTCTTTTCATAGAGCAGTTTTGAAACACTCTTTTTGTAGAATCCGCAAGAGGATATTTGCATAGCTTTGAGGATTTCGTGGGAAACGGGATTGTCTTCAGGTAAAATCTAGACAGAAGCATTCTCAGAAACTTCTTTGGGATGTTTGCATTCAAGTCACAGAGTAGAACATTCCCTTTGGTAGAGCAGGTTTGAAACACTCTTTTTGTAGTATCTGGAAGTGGACATTTGGAGCGCTTTCAGGCCCATGTTGGAAAGGGAAATATCTTCCCGTAACAACTAGGCAGAAGCATTCTCAGAAACTTATTTGAGATGTGTGTACTCAACTAAGAGAATTGAACCACCGTTTTGAAGGAGCAGTTTTGAAACACTCTTTTTCTGGAATCTGCAAGAGTATATTTGCCTAGCCTTGAGGATTTCGTTGGAAACGGGATTGTCTTCAGAGAAAATCTAGACAGAAGCATTCTCAGAAACTTCTTTGGGATGCTTGCATTCAAGTCACAGAGTAGAACATTCCCTTTGGTAGAGCAGGTTTGAAACACTCTTTTTGTAGTATCTGGAAGTGGACATTTGGAGCGCTTTCAGGCCTACGTTGGAAAAGGAAATATCTTCCCATAACAACTAGACAGAAGCATTCTCAGAAACTAGTTTCTGATGTGTGTCCTCAACTAACACAGTTGAACATTTCTTTAGACAGAACAGTTTTGAAACACTCTTTTTGTGGAATCTGCAAGTGGCTATTTGGCTAGATTTGAGGATTTCGTTGGAAACGGGATTACATATAAAAAGCAGTCAGCGGCATTCTCAGAAAGTTCTTTGTGATGATTGCATTCAAGTCACAGAATTGAACATTCCCTTTCACAGAGCAGGTTTGAAACACTCTTTTTGTAGTGTGTGTAAGTGGACATTTGGAGCACTTACCGGCCTAAGGTGAAAAAGGAAATAATCTTCCCATAAAAACTAGACAGAAGCATTCTCAGAAACTTACTCGTGATGTGTGTCCTCAACTAAAGGAGTAGAACCTTTCTTTTCATAGAGAAGTTTTGAAACGCTCTTTTTGTGGAATCTGCAAGTGGATATTTGGCTAGTTTTGAGGATTTCGTTGGAAGCGGGAATTCATACAAATTGCAGACTGCAGCGTTCTGAGAAACATCTTTGTGATGTTTGTATTCAGGACACAGAGTTGAACATTCCCTATCATAGAGCAGGTTTGAATCACTCCTTTTGTAGTATCTGGAAGTGGACATTTGGAGCGCTTTCAGGCCTATGTTGGAAAAGGAAATATCTTCCCATAACAACTAGACAGAAGCATTCTCAGAAACTTATTTGAGATGTGTGTACTCAACTAAGAGAATTGAACCACCGTTTTGAAGGAGCAGTTTTGAAACACTCTTTTTCTGGAATCTGCAAGTGGATATTTGGCTAGCTTTGGGGATTTCGCTGGAAGCGGGAATACATATAAAAAGCACACAGCAGCGTTCTGAGAAACTGCTTTCTGATGTTTGCATTCAAGTCAAAAGTTGAACACTCCCTTTCATAGAGCAGTCTTGAAACACCCCTTTTGTAGTATCTGGAACTGGACTTTTGGAGGGCTTTCAGGGCTAAGGTGAAAAAGGAAATATCTTCCCATAAAAACTGGACAGAAGCATTCTCAGAAACTTGTTTATGCTGTATCTACTCAACTAACAAAGTTGAACCTTTCTTTTGATAGAGCAGTTTTGAAATGCTCTTTTTGTGGAATCTGCAAGTGGATATTTGGCTAGTTTTGAGGATTTCGTTGGGAGCGGGAATTCATACAAATTGCAGACTGCAGCGTTCTGAGAAACATCTTTGTGATGTTTGTATTCAGGACAGAGAGTTGAACATTCCCTATCATAGAGCAGGTTGGAATCACTCCTTTTGTAGTATCTGGAAGTGGACATTTGGAGCGCTTTCAGGCCTATGTTGAAAAAGGAAATATCTTCCCATAACAACTAGACACAAGCATTCTCAGAAACTTGTTTGTGATGTGTGCCCTCTACTGACAGAGTTGAACCTTTCTTTTCATAGAGCAGTTTTGAAACACTCTTTTTGTAGAATCTGCAAGAGGATATTTGCATAGCTTTGAGGATTTCGTGGGAAACGGGATTGTCTTCAGGTAAAATCTAGACAGAAGCATTCTCAGAAACTTCTTTGGGATGTTTGCATTCAAGTCACAGAGTAGAACATTCCCTTTGGTAGAGCAGGTTTGAAACACTCTTTTTGTAGTATCTGGAAGTGGACATTTGGAGCGCTTTCAGGCCTATGTTGGAAAGGGAAATATCTTCCCGTAACAACTAGGCAGAAGCATTCTCAGAAACTTATTTGAGATGTGTGTACTCAACTAAGAGAATTGAACCACCGTTTTGAAGGAGCAGTTTTGAAACACTCTTTTTCTGGAATCTGCAAGAGGATATTTGCCTAGCCTTGAGGATTTCGTTGGAAACGGGATTGTCTTCAGATCAAATCTAGACAGAAGCATTCTCAGAAACTTCTTTGGGATGTTTGCATTCAAGTCACAGAGTAGAACATTCCCTTTGGTAGAGCAGGTTTGAAACACTCTTTTTTTAGTATATGGAAGTGGACATTTGGAGCGCTTTCAGGCCTACGTTGGAAAAGGAAATATCTTCCCATAACAACTAGACAGAAGCATTCTCAGAAACTAGTTTCTGATGTGTGTCCTCAACTAACACAGTTGAACATTTCTTTAGACAGAACAGTTTTGAAACTCTCTTTTTGTGGAATCTGCAAGTGGCTATTTGGCTAGATTTGAGGATTTCGTTGGAAACGGGATTACATATAAAAAGCAGACAGCAGCATTCTCAGAAAGTTCTTTGTGATGATTGCATTCAAGTCACAGAATTGAACATTCCCTTTCACAGAGCAGGTTTGAAACACTCTTTTTATAGTGTGTGTAAGTGGACATTTGGAGCACTTTCCGGCCTAAGGTGAGAAAGGAAATATCTTCCCATAAAAACTAGACAGAAGCATTCTCAGAAACTTACTCGTGATGTGTGTCCTCAACTAAAGGAGTAGAACCTTTCTTTCATAGAGAAGTTTTGAAACGCTCTTTTTGTGGAATCTGCAAGTGGATATTTGGCTAGTTTGGAGGATTTCGTTGGAAGCGGGAATTCATACAAATTGCAGACTGCAGCGTTCTGAGAAACATCTTTGTGATGTTTGTATTCAGGACACAGAGTTGAACATTCCCTATCATAGAGCAGGTTGGAATCACTCCTTTTGTAGTATCTGGAAGTGGACATTTGGAGCGCTTTCAGGCCTATGTTGGAAAAGGAAATATCTTCCCATAACAACTAGACAGAAGCATTCTCAGAAACTAGTTTCTGATGTGTGTCCTCAACTAACACAGTTGAACATTTCTTTAGACAGAACAGTTTTGAAACTCTCTTTTTGTGGAATCTGCAAGTGGCTATTTGGCTAGATTTGAGGATTTCGTTGGAAACGGGATTACATATAAAAAGCAGACAGCAGCATTCTCAGAAAGTTCTTTGTGATGATTGCATTCAAGTCACAGAATTGAACATTCCCTTTCACAGAGCAGGTTTGAAACACTCTTTTTATAGTGTGTGTAAGTGGACATTTGGAGCACTTTCCGGCCTAAGGTGAAAAAGGAAATATCTTCCCATAAAAACTAGACAGAAGCATTCTCAGAAACTTACTCGTGATGTGTGTCCTCAACTAAAGGAGTAGAACCTTTCTTTTCATAGAGAAGTTTTGAAACGCTCTTTTTGTGGAATCTGCAAGTGGATATTTGGCTAGTTTGGAGGATTTCGTTGGAAGCGGGAATTCATACAAATTGCAGACTGCAGCGTTCTGAGAAACATCTTTGTGATGTTTGTATTCAGGACACAGAGTTGAACATTCCCTATCATAGAGCAGGTTTGAATCACTCCTTTTGTAGTATCTGGAAGTGGACATTTGGAGCGCTTTCAGGCCTATGTTGGAAAAGGAAATATCTTCCCATAACAACTAGACAGAAGCATTCTCAGAAACTTATTTGAGATGTGTGTACTCAACTAAGAGAATTGAACCACCGTTTTGAAGGAGCAGTTTTGAAACACTCTTTTTCTGGAATCTGCAAGTGGATATTTGGCTAGCTTTGGGGATTTCGCTGGAAGCGGGAATACATATAAAAAGCACACAGCAGCGTTCTGAGAAACTGCTTTCTGATGTTTGCATTCAAGTCAAAAGTTGAACACTCCCTTTCATAGAGCAGTCCTGAAACACTCCTTTTGTAGTATCTGGAACTGGACTTTTGGAGCGCTTTCAGGGCTAAGGTGAAAAAGGAAATATCTTCCCATAAAAACTAGACAGAAGCATTCTCAGAAACTTGTTTATGCTGTATCTACTCAACTAACAAAGTTGAACCTTTCTTTTGATAGAGCAGTTTTGAAATGCTCTTTTTGTGGAATCTGCAAGTGGATATTTGGCTAGTTTTGAGGATTTCGTTGGAAGCGGGAATTCATACAAATTGCAGACTGCAGCGTTCTGAGAAACATCTTTGTGATGTTTGTATTCAGGACACAGAGTTGAACATTCCCTATCATAGAGCAGGTTGGGATCACTCCTTTTGTAGTATCTGGAAGTGGACATTTGGAGCGCTTTCAGGCCTATGTTGAAAAAGGAAAAATCTTCCCATAACAACTAGACAGAAGCATTCTCAGAAACTTGTTGGTGATGTGTTTCCTCTACTGACAGAGTTGAACCTTTCTTTTCATAGAGCAGTTTCGAAACACTCTTTTTGTAGAATCTGCAAGAGGATATTTGCCTAGCTTTGAGGATTTCGTTGGAAAAGGGATTGTCTTCAGATCAAATCTAGACAGAAGCATTCTCAGAAACTTCTTTGGGATGTTTGCATTCAAGTCACAGAGTAGAACATTCCCTTTGGTAGAGCAGGTTTGAAACACTCTTTTTTTAGTATATGGAAGTGGACATTTGGAGCACTTTCAGGCCTACGTTGGAAAAGGAAATATCTTCCCATAACAACTAGACAGAGAGCATTCTCAGAAACTAGTTTCTGATGTGTGTCCTCAACTAACACAGTTGAACATTTCTTTAGACAGAACAGTTTTGAAACACTCTTTTTGTGGAATCTGCAAGTGGCTATTTGGCTAGATTTGAGGATTTCGTTGGAAACGGGATTACATATAAAAAGCAGTCAGCAGCATTCTCAGAAAGTTCTTTGTGATGATTGCATTCAAGTCACAGAATTGAACATTCCCTTTCACAGAGCAGGTTTGAAACACTCTTTTTGTAGTGTGTGTAAGTGGACATTTGGAGCACTTACCGGCCTAAGGTGAAAAAGGAAATATCTTCCCATAAAAACTAGACAGAAGCATTCTCAGAAACTTACTCGTGATGTGTGTCCTCAACTAAAGGAGTAGAACCTTTCTTTTCATAGAGAAGTTTTGAAACGCTCTTTTTGTGGAATCTGCAAGTGGATATTTGGCTAGTTTTGAGGATTTCGTTGGAAGCGGGAATTCATACAAATTGCAGACTGCAGCGTTCTGAGAAACATCTTTGTGATGTTTGTATTCAGGACACAGAGTTGAACATTCCCTATCATAGAGCAGGTTGGAATCACTCCTTTTGTAGTATCTGGAAGTGGACATTTGGAGCGCTTTCAGGCCTATGTTGGAAAAGGAAATATCTTCCCATAACAACTAGACAGAAGCATTCTCAGAAACTTATTTGAGATGTGTGTACTCAACTAAGAGAATTGAACCACCGTTTTGAAGGAGCAGTTTTGAAACTCTCTTTTTCTGGAATCTGCAAGTGGATATTTGGCTAGCTTTGGGGATTTCGCTGGAAGCGGGAATACATATAAAAAGCACACAGCAGCGTTCTGAGAAACTGCTTTCTGATGTTTGCATTCAAGTCAAAAGTTGAACACTCCCTTTCATAGAGCAGTCCTGAAACACCCCTTTTGTAGTATCTGGAACTGGACTTTTGGAGCGATTTCAGGGCTAAGGTGAAAAAGGAAATATCTTCCCATAAAAACTGGACAGAAGCATTCTCAGAAACTTGTTTATGCTGTATCTACTCAACTAACAAAGTTGAACCTTTCTTTTGATAGAGCAGTTTTGAAATGGTCTTTTTGTGGAATCTGCAAGTGGATATTTGGCTAGTTTTGAGGATTTCGTTGGAAGCGGGAATTCATACAAATTGCAGACTGCAGCGTTCTGAGAAACATCTTTGTGATGTTTGTATTCAGGACACAGAGTTGAACATTCCCTATCATAGAGCAGGTTGGAATCACTCCTTTTGTAGTATCTGGAAGTGGACATTTGGAGCGCTTTCAGGCCTATTTTGGAAAGGGAAATATCTTCCCGTAACAACTATGCAGAAGCATTCTCAGAAACTTGTTTGTGATGTGTGCCCTCTACTGACAGAGTTGAACCTTTCTTTTCATAGAGCAGTTTTGAAACACTCTTTTTGTAGAATCTGCAAGAGGATATTTGCATAGCTTTGAGGATTTCGTGGGAAACGGGATTGTCTTCAGGTAAAATCTAGACAGAAGCATTCTCAGAAACTTCTTTGGGATGTTTGCATTCAAGTCACAGAGTAGAACATTCCCTTTGGTAGAGCAGGTTTGAAACACTCTTTTTGTAGTATCTGGAAGTGGACATTTGGAGCGCTTTCAGGCCCATGTTGGAAAGGGAAATATCTTCCCGTAACAACTAGGCAGAAGCATTCTCAGAAACTTATTTGAGATGTGTGTACTCAACTAAGAGAATTGAACCACCGTTTTGAAGGAGCAGTTTTGAAACACTCTTTTTCTGGAATCTGCAAGAGTATATTTGCCTAGCCTTGAGGATTTCGTTGGAAACGGGATTGTCTTCAGAGAAAATCTAGACAGAAGCATTCTCAGAAACTTCTTTGGGATGTTTGCATTCAAGTCACAGAGTAGAACATTCCCTTTGGTAGAGCAGGTTTGAAACACTCTTTTTTTAGTATATGGAAGTGGACATTTGGATCGCTTTCAGGCCTACGTTGGAAAAGGAAATATCTTCCCATAACAACTAGACAGAAGCATTCTCAGAAACTAGTTTCTGATGTGTGTCCTCAACTAACACAGTTGAACATTTCTTTAGACAGAACAGTTTTGAAACACTCTTTTTGTGGAATCTGCAAGTGGCTATTTGGCTAGATTTGAGGATTTCGTTGGAAACGGGATTACATATAAAAAGCAGTCAGCAGCATTCTCAGAAAGTTCTTTGTGATGATTGCATTCAAGTCACAGAATTGAACATTCCCTTTCACAGAGCAGGTTTGAAACACTCTTTTTGTAGTGTGTGTAAGTGGACATTTGGAGCACTTACCGGCCTAAGGTGAAAAAGGAAATATCTTCCCATAAAAACTAGACAGAAGCATTCTCAGAAACTTACTCGTGATGTGTGTCCTCAACTAAAGGAGTAGAACCTTTCTTTTCATAGAGAAGTTTTGAAACGCTCTTTTTGTGGAATCTGCAAGTGGATATTTGGCTAGTTTTGAGGATTTCGTTGGAAGCGGGAATTCATACAAATTGCAGACTGCAGCGTTCTGAGAAACATCTTTGTGATGTTTGTATTCAGGACACAGAGTTGAACATTCCCTATCATAGAGCAGGTTGGAATCACTCCTTTTGTAGTATCTGGAAGTGGACATTTGGAGTGCTTTCAGGCCTATGTTGGAAAAGGAAATATCTTCCCATAACAACTAGACAGAAGCATTCTCAGAAACTTATTTGAGATGAGTGTACTCAACTAAGAGAATTGAACCACCGTTTTGAAGGAGCAGTTTTGACACACTCTTTTTCTGGAATCTGCAAGTGGATATTTGGCTAGCTTTGGGGATTTCGCTGGAAGCGGGAATACATATAAAAAGCACACAGCAGCGTTCTGAGAAACTGCTTTCTGATGTTTGCATTCAAGTCAAAAGTTGAACACTCCCTTTCATAGAGCAGTCTTGAAACACCCCTTTTGTAGTATCTGGAACTGGACTTTTGGAGCGATTTCAGGGCTAAGGTGAAAAAGGAAATATCTTCCCATAAAAACTGGACAGAAGCATTCTCAGAAACTTGGTTATGCTGTATCTACTCAACTAACAAAGTTGAACCTTTCTTTTGATAGAGCAGTTTTGAAATGGTCTTTTTGTGGAATCTGCAAGTGGATATTTGGCTAGTTTTGAGGATTTCGTTGGAAGCGGGAATTCATACAAATTGCAGACTGCAGCGTTCTGAGAAACATCTTTGTGATGTTTGTATTCAGGACACAGAGTTGAACATTCCCTATCATAGAGCAGGTTGGAATCACTCCTTTTGTAGTATCTGGAAGTGGACATTTGGAGCGCTTTCAGGCCTATTTTGGAAAGGGAAATATCTTCCCGTAACAACTATGCAGAAGCATTCTCAGAAACTTGTTTGTGATGTGTGCCCTCTACTGACAGAGTTGAACCTTTCTTTTCATAGAGCAGTTTTGAAACACTCTTTTTGTAGAATCTGCAAGAGGATATTTGCATAGCTTTGAGGATTTCGTGGGAAACGGGATTGTCTTCAGGTAAAATCTAGACAGAAGCATTCTCAGAAACTTCTTTGGGATGTTTGCATTCAAGTCACAGAGTAGAACATTCCCTTTGGTAGAGCAGGTTTGAAACACTCTTTTTGTAGTATCTGGAAGTGGACATTTGGAGCGCTTTCAGGCCCATGTTGGAAAGGGAAATATCTTCCCGTAACAACTAGGCAGAAGCATTCTCAGAAACTTATTTGAGATGTGTGTACTCAACTAAGAGAATTGAACCACCGTTTTGAAGGAGCAGTTTTGAAACACTCTTTTTCTGGAATCTGCAAGAGTATATTTGCCTAGCCTTGAGGATTTCGTTGGAAACGGGATTGTCTTCAGAGAAAATCTAGACAGAAGCATTCTCAGAAACTTCTTTGGGATGTTTGCATTCAAGTCACAGAGTAGAACATTCCCTTTGGTAGAGCAGGTTTGAAACACTCTTTTTTTAGTATATGGAAGTGGACATTTGGATCGCTTTCAGGCCTACGTTGGAAAAGGAAATATCTTCCCATAACAACTAGACAGAAGCATTCTCAGAAACTAGTTTCTGATGTGTGTCCTCAACTAACACAGTTGAACATTTCTTTAGACAGAACAGTTTTGAAACACTCTTTTTGTGGAATCTGCAAGTGGCTATTTGGCTAGATTTGAGGATTTCGTTGGAAACGGGATTACATATAAAAAGCAGTCAGCCAGCAGTCTCAGAAAGTTCTTTTTGATGATTGCATTCAAGTCACAGAATTGAACATTCCCTTTCACAGAGCAGGTTTGAAACACTCTTTTTGTAGTGTGTGTAAGTGGACATTTGGAGCACTTTCCAGCCTAAGGTGAAAAAGGAAATATCTTCCCATAAAAACTAGACAGAGCATTCTCAGAAACTTACTCGTGATGTGTGTCCTCAACTAAAGGTGTAGAACCTTTCTTTTCATAGAGAAGTTTTGAAACGCTCTTTTTGTGGAATCTGCAAGTGGATATTTGGCTAGTTTTGAGGATTTCGTTGGAAGCGGGAATTCATACAAATTGCAGACTGCAGCGTTCTGAGAAACATCTTTGTGATGTTTGTATTCAGGACACAGAGTTGAACATTCCCTATCATAGAGCAGGTTGGAATCACTCCTTTTGTAGTATCTGGAAGTGGACATTTGGAGCGCTTTCAGGCCTATGTTGGAAAAGGAAATATCTTCCCATAACAACTAGACAGAAGCATTCTCAGAAACTTATTTGAGATGTGTGTACTCAACTAAGAGAATTGAACCACCGTTTTGAAGGAGCAGTTTTGAAACACTCTTTTTCTGGAATCTGCAAGTGGATATTTGGCTAGCTTTGGGGATTTCGCTGGAAGCGGGAATACATATAAAAAGCACACAGCAGCGTTCTGAGAAACTGCTTTCTGATGTTTGCATTCAAGTCAAAAGTTGAACACTCCCTTTCATAGAGCAGTCCTGAAACACTCCTTTTGTAGTATCTGGAACTGGACTTTTGGAGCGATTTCAGGGCTAAGGTGAAAAAGGAAATATCTTCCCATAAAAACTGGACAGAAGCATTCTCAGAAACTTGTTTATGCTGTATCTACTCAACTAACAAAGTTGAACCTTTCTTTTGATAGAGCAGTTTTGAAATGCTCTTTTTGTGGAATCTGCAAGTGGATATTTGGCTAGTTTTGAGGATTTCGTTGGAAGCGGGAATTCATACAAATTGCAGACTGCAGCGTTCTGAGAAACATCTTTGTGATGTTTGTATTCAGGACACAGAGTTGAACATTCCCTATCATAGAGCAGGTTGGGATCACTCCTTTTGTAGTATCTGGAAGTGGACATTTGGAGCGCTTTCAGGCCTATGTTGAAAAAGGAAAAATCTTCCCATAACAACTAGACAGAAGCATTCTCAGAAACTTGTTGGTGATGTGTTTCCTCTACTGACAGAGTTGAACCTTTCTTTTCATAGAGCAGTTTCGAAACACTCTTTTTGTAGAATCTGCAAGAGGATATTTGCCTAGCTTTGAGGATTTCGTTGGAAAAGGGATTGTCTTCAGATCAAATCTAGACAGAAGCATTCTCAGAAACTTCTTTGGGATGTTTGCATTCAAGTCACAGAGTAGAACATTCCCTTTGGTAGAGCAGGTTTGAAACCCTCTTTTTGTAGTATCTGGAAGTGGACATTTGGAGCGCTTTCAGGCCCATGTTGGAAAGGGAAATATCTTCCCGTAACAACTAGGCAGAAGCATTCTCAGAAACTTATTTGAGATGTGTGTACTCAACTAAGAGAATTGAACCACCGTTTTGAAGGAGCAGATTTGAAACACTCTTTTTCTGGAATCTGCAAGAGTATATTTGCCTAGCCTTGAAGATTTCGTTGGAAACGGGATTGTCTTCAGATAAAATCTAGACAGAAGCATTCTCAGAAACTTCTTTGGGATGTTTGCATTCAAGTCACAGAGTAGAACATTCCCTTTGGTAGAGCAGGTTTGAAACACTCTTTTTTTCGTATATGGAAGTGGACATTTGGAGCGCTTTCAGGCCTACGTTGGAAAAGGAAATATCTTCCCATAACAACTAGACAGAAGCATTCTCAGAAACTAGTTTCTGATGTGTGTCCTCAACTAACACAGTTGAACTTTTCTTTAGACAGAACAGTTTTGAAACACTCTTTTTGTGGAATCTGCAAGTGGCTATTTGGCTAGATTTGAGGATTTCGTTGGAAACGGGATTACATATAAAAAGCAGACAGCAGCATTCTCAGAAAGTTCTTTGTGATGATTGCATTCAAGTCACAGAATTGAACATTCCCTTTCACAGAGCAGGTTTGAAACACTCTTTTTGTAGTGTGTGTAAGTGGACATTTGGAGCGCTTTCCGGCCTAAGGTGAAAAAGGAAATATCTTCCCATAAAAACTAGACAGAAGCATTCTCAGAAACTTACTCGTGATGTGTGTCCTCAACTAAAGGAGTAGAACCTTTCTATTCATAGAGAAGTTTTGAAACGCTCTTTTTGTGGAATCTCCAAGTGGATATTTGGCTAGTTTTGAGGATTTCGTTGGAAGCGGGAATTCATACAAATTGCAGACTGCAGCGTTCTGAGAAACATCTTTGTGATGTTTGTATTCAGGACACAGAGATGAACATTCCCTATCATAGAGCAGGTTGGAATCACTCCTTTTGTAGTATCTGGAAGTGGACATTTGGAGCGCTTTCAGGCCTATGTTGAAAAAGGAAATATCTTCCCATAACAACTAGACACAAGCATTCTCAGAAACTTGTTTGTGATGTGTGCCCTCTACTGACAGAGTTGAACCTTTCTTTTCATAGAGCAGTTTTGAAACACTCTTTTTGTAGAATCCGCAAGAGGATATTTGCATAGCTTTGAGGATTTCGTGGGAAACGGGATTGTCTTCAGGTAAAATCTAGACAGAAGCATTCTCAGAAACTTCTTTGGGATGTTTGCATTCAAGTCACAGAGTAGAACATTCCCTTTGGTAGAGCAGGTTTGAAACACTCTTTTTGTAGTATCTGGAAGTGGACATTTGGAGCGCTTTCAGGCCCATGTTGGAAAGGGAAATATCTTCCCGTAACAACTAGGCAGAAGCATTCTCAGAAACTTATTTGAGATGTGTGTACTCAACTAAGAGAACTGAACCACCGTTTTGAAGGAGCAGTTTTGAAACCCTCTTTTTCTGGAATCTGCAAGAGTATATTTGCCTAGCCTTGAGGATTTCGTTGGAAACGGGATTGTCTTCAGATAAAATCTAGACAGAAGCATTCTCAGAAACTTCTTTGGGATGTTTGCATTCAAGTCACAGAGTAGAACATTCCCTTTGGTAGAGCAGGTTTGAAACACTCTTTTTTTAGTATATGGAAGTGGACATTTGGAGCGCTTTCAGGCCTACGTTGGAAAAGGAAATATCTTCCCATAACAACTAGACAGAAGCATTCTCAGAAACTAGTTTCTGATGTGTGTCCTCAACTAACACAGTTGAACATTTCTTTAGACAGAACAGTTTTGAAACACTCTCTTTGTGGAATCTGCAAGTGGATATTTGGCTAGATTTGAGGATTTCGTTGGAAACGGGATTACATATAAAAAGCAGACAGCAGCATTCTCAGAAAGTTCTTTGTGATGATTGCATTCAAGTCACAGAATTGAACATTCCCTTTCACAGAGCAGGTTTGAAACACTCTTTTTGTAGTGTGTGTAAGTGGACATTTGGAGCGCTTTCCGGCCTAAGGTGAACAAGGAAATATCTTCCTATAAAAACTAGACAGAAGTATTCTCAGAAACTTACTCGTGATGTGTGTCCTCAACTAAAGGAGTAGAACCTTTCTTTTCATAGAGAAGTTTTGAAACGCTCTTTTTGTGGAATCTGCAAGTGGATATTTGGCTAGTTTTGAGGATTTCGTTGGAAGCGGGAATTCATACAAATTGCAGACTGCAGCGTTCTGAGAAACATCTTTGTGATGTTTGTATTCAGGACACAGAGTTGAACGTTCCCTATCATAGAGCAGGTTTGAATCACTCCTTTTGTAGTATCTGGAAGTGGACATTTGGAGCGCTTTCCGGCCTCAGGTGAAAAAGGAAATATCTTCCCATAAAAACTAGACAGAAGCATTCTCAGAAACTTACTCGTGATGTGTGTCCTCAACTAAAGGGGTAGAACCTTTCTTTTGATAGAGCAGTTTTGAAACACTCTTTTTGTAGAATCTGCAAGTGGATATTTCGATAGCTTTGTGGATTTCGTTGGAAACGGGAATATCCTCATATAAAAATCTAGAGAGAAGCATTCTCAGAAACTTGTTTATGCTGTATCTACTCAACTAACAAAGTTGAACCTTTCTTTTGATAGAGCAGTTTTGAAATGCTCTTTTTGTGGAATCTGCAAGTGGATATTTTGCTAGTTTTGAGGATTTCGTTGGAAGCGGGAATTCATACAAATTGCAGACTGCAGCATTCTCAGAAACTTATTTGAGATGTGTGTACTCAACTAAGAGAATTGAACCACCGTTTTGAAGGAGCAGTTTTGAAACACTCTTTTTCTGGAATCTGCAAGTGGATATTTGGCTAGCTTTGGGGATTTCGCTGGAAGCGGGAATACATATAAAAAGCACACAGCAGCGTTCTGAGAAACTGCTTTCTGATGTTTGCATTCAAGTCAAAAGTTGAACACTCCCTTTCATAGAGCAGTCCTGAAACACCCCTTTTGTAGTATCTGGAACTGGACTTTTGGAGAGCTTTCAGGGCTAAGGTGAAAAAGGAAATATCTTCCCATAAAAACTGGACAGAAGCATTCTCAGAAACTTGTTTATGCTGTATCTACTCAACTAACAAAGTTGAACCTTTCTTTTGATAGAGCAGTTTTGAAATGCTCTTTTTGTGGAATCTGCAAGTGGATATTTGGCTAGTTTTGAGGATTTGGTTGGAAGCGGGAATTCATACAAATTGCAGACTGCAGCGTTCTGAGAAACATCTTTGTGATGTTTGTATTCAGGACACAGAGATGAACATTCCCTATCATAGAGCAGGTTGAAATCACTCCTTTTGTAGTATCTGGAAGTGGACATTTGGAGCGCTTTCAGGCCTATGTTGAAAAAGGAAATATCTTCCCATAACAACTAGACACAAGCATTCTCAGTAACTTGTTTGTGATGTGTGCCCTCTACTGACAGAGTTGAACCTTTCTTTTCATAGAGCAGTTTTGAAACACTCTTTTTGTAGAATCTGCAAGAGGATATTTGCATAGCTTTGAGGATTTCGTGGGAAACGGGATTGTCTTCAGGTAAAATCTAGACAGAAGCATTCTCAGAAACTTCTTTGGGATGTTTGCATTCAAGTCACAGAGGAGAACATTCCCTTTGGTAGAGCAGGTTTGAAACACTCTTTTTGTAGTATCTGGAAGTGGACATTTGGAGCGCTTTCAGGCCTATGTTGGAAAGGGAAATATCTTCCCGTAACAACTAGGCAGAAGCATTCTCAGAAACTTATTTGAGATGTGTGTACTCAACTAAGAGAATTGAACCACCGTTTTGAAGGAGCAGTTTTGAAACACTCTTTTTCTGGAATCTGCAAGAGGATATTTGCCTAGCCTTGAGGATTTCGTTGGAAACGGGATTGTCTTCAGATCAAATCTAGACAGAAGCATTCTCAGAAACTTCTTTGGGATGTTTGCATTCAAGTCACAGAGTAGAACATTCCCTTTGGTAGAGCAGGTTTGAAACACTGTTTTTTTAGTATATGGAAGTGGACATTTGGAGCGCTTTCAGGCCTACGTTGGAAAAGGAAATATCTTCCCATAACAACTAGACAGAAGCATTCTCAGAAACTAGTTTCTGATGTGTGTCCTCAACTAACACAGTTGAACATTTCTTTAGACAGAACAGTTTTGAAACACTCTCTTTGTGGAATCTGCAAGTGGATATTTGGCTAGATTTGAGGATTTCCGTTGGAAACGGGATTACATATAAAAAGCAGACAGCAGCATTCTCAGAAAGTTCTTTGTGATGATTGCATTCAAGTCACAGAATTGAACATTCCCTTTCACAGAGCAGGGTTGAAACCCTCTTTTTGTAGTGTGTGTAAGTGGACATTTGGAGCGCTTTCCGGCCTAAGGTGAAAAAGGAAATATCTTCCCATAAAAACTAGACAGAAGCATTCTCAGAAACTTACTCGTGATGTGTGTCCTCAACTAAAGGAGTAGAACCTTTCTATTCATAGAGAAGTTTTCAAACGCTCTTTTTGTGGAATCTCCAAGTGGATATTTGGCTAGTTTTGAGGATTTCGTTGGAAGCAGGAATTCATACAAATTGCAGACTGCAGCGCTCTGAGAAACATCTTTGTGATGTTTGTATTCAGGACACAGAGATGAACATTCCCTATCATAGAGCAGGTTGGAATCACTCCTTTTGTAGTATCTGGAAGTGGACATTTGGAGCGCTTTCAGGCCTATGTTGAAAAAGGAAATATCTTCCCATAACAACTAGACACAAGCATTCTCAGAAACTTGTTTGTGATGTGTACCCTGTACTGACAGAGTTGAACCTTTCTTTTCATAGAGCAGTTTTGAAACACTCTTTTTGTAGAATCTGCAAGAGGATATTTGCATAGCTTTGAGGATTTCGTGGGAAACGGGATTGTCTTCAGGTAAAATCTAGACAGAAGCATTCTCAGAAACTTCTTTTGGATGTTTGCATTCAAGTCACAGAGTAGAACATTCCCTTTGGTAGAGCAGGTTTGAAACAATCTTTTTGTAGTATCTGGAAGTGGACATTTGGAGCGCTTTCAGTCCCATGTTGGAAAGGGAAATATCTTCCCGTAACAACTAGGCAGAAGCATTCTCTGAAACTTTTTTGAGATGTGTGTACTCAACTAAGAGAATTGAACCACCGTTTTGAAGGAGCAGTTTTGAAACACTCTTTTTCTGGAATCTGCTAGAGGATATTTGCCTAGCTTTGAGGATTTCGTTGGAAACCGGATTGTCTTCAGATAAAATCTAGACAGAAGCATTCTCAGAAACTTCTTTGGGATGTTTGTATTCAAGTCACAGAGTAGAACATTCCCTTTTGTAGAGCAGGTTTGAAACACTCTTTTTTTAGTATATGGAAATGGACATTTGGAGCGCTTTCAGGCCTACGTTGGAAAAGGAAATATCTTCCCATAACAACTAGACAGAAGCATTCTCAGAAACTAGTTTCTGATGTGTGTCCTCAACTAACACAGTTGAACTTTTCTTTAGACAGAACAGTTTTGAAACACTCTTTTTGTGGAATCTGCAAGTGGATATTTGGCTAGATTTGAGGATTTCGTTGGAAACGGGATTACATATAAAAAGCAGACAGCAGCATTCTCAGAAAGTTCTCTGTGATGATTGCATTCAAGTCACAGAATTGAACATTCCCTTTCACAGAGCAGGTTTGAAACACTCTTTTTGTAGTGTGTGTAAGTGGACATTTGGAGCACTTTCCGGCCTAAGGTGAAAAAGGAAATATCTTCCCACAAAAACTAGACAGAAGCATTCTCAGAAACTTACTCGTGATGTGTGTCCTCAACTAAAGGAGTAGAACCTTTCTATTCGTAGAGAAGTTTTGAAATGCTCTTTTTGTGGAATCTCCAAGTGGATATTTGGCTAGTTTTGAGGATTTCGTTGGAAGCGGGAATTCATACAAATTGCAGACTGCAGCGTTCTGAGAAACATCTTTGTGATGTTTGTATTCAGGACACAGAGAGGAACATTCCCTATCATAGAGCAGGTTGGAATCACTCCTTTTGTAGTATCTGGAAGTGGACATTTGGAGCGCTTTCAGGCCTATGTTGAAAAAGGAAATATCTTCCCATAACAACTAGACACAAGCATTCTCAGAAACTTGTTTGTGATGTGTGCCCTCTACTGACAGAGTTGAACCTTTCCTTTCATAGAGCAGTTTTGAAACACTCTTTTTGTAGAATCTGCAAGAGGATATTTGCATAGCTTTGAGGATTTCGTGGGAAACGGGATTGTCTTCAGGTAAAATCTAGACAGAAGCATTCTCAGAAACTTCTTTGGGATGTTTACATTCAAGTCACAAAGTAGAACATTCCCTTTGGTAGAGCAGGTTTGAAACCCTCTTTTTGTAGTATCTGGAAGTGGACATTTGGAGCGCTTTCTGGCCCATGTTGCAAAGGGAAATATCTTCCCGTAACAACTAGGCAGAAGCATTCTCAGAAACATTTGAGATGTGTGTACTCAACTAAGAGAATTGAACCACCGTTTTGAAGGAGCAGTTTTGAAACACTCTTTTTCTGGAATCTGCAAGAGTATATTTGCCTAGCCTTGAGGATTTCGTTGGAAACGGGATTGTCTTCAGATAAAATCTAGACAGAAGCATTCTCAGAAACTTCTTTGGGATGTTTGCATTCAAGTCACAGAGTAGAACATTCCCTTTGGTAGAGCAGGTTTGAAACACTCTTTTTGTAGTATCTGGAAGTGGACATTTGGAGCGCTTTCAGGCCTACGTTGGAAAAGGAAATATCTTCCCATAACAACTAGACAGAAGCATTCTCAGAAACTAGTTTCTGATGTGTGTCCTCAACTAACACAGTTGAACATTTCTTTAGACAGAACAGTTTTGAAACACTCTTTTTGTGGAATCTGCAAGTGGCTATTTGGCTAGATTTGAGGATTTCGTTGGAAACGGGGATTACATATAAAAAGCAGTCAGCAGCATTCTCAGAAAGTTCTTTGTGATGATTGCATTCAAGTCACAGAATTGAACATTCCCTTTCACAGAGCAGGTTTGAAACACTCTTTTTGTAGTGTGTGTAAGTGGACATTTGGAGCACTTACCGGCCTAAGGTGAAAAAGGAAATATCTTCCCATAAAAACTAGACAGAAGCATTCTCAGAAACTTACTCGTGATGTGTGTCCTCAACTAAAGGAGTAGAACCTTTCTTTTCATAGAGAAGTTTTGAAACGCTCTTTTTGTGGAATCTGCAAGTGGATATTTGGCTAGTTTTGAGGATTTCGTTGGAAGCGGGAATTCATACAAATTGCAGACTGCAGCGTTCTGAGAAACATCTTTGTGATGTTTGTATTCAGGACACAGAGTTGAACATTCCCTATCATAGAGCAGGTTGGAATCACTCCTTTTGTAGTATCTGGAAGTGGACATTTGGAGCGCTTTCAGGCCTATGTTGGAAAAGGAAATATCTTCCCATAACAACTAGACAGAAGCATTCTCAGAAACTTATTTGAGATGTGTGTACTCAACTAAGAGAATTGAACCACCGTTTTGAAGGAGCAGTTTTGAAACTCTCTTTTTCTGGAATCTGCAAGTGGATATTTGGCTAGCTTTGGGGATTTCGCTGGAAGCGGGAATACATATAAAAAGCACACAGCAGCGTTCTGAGAAACTGCTTTCTGATGTTTGCATTCAAGTCAAAAGTTGAACACTCCCTTTCATAGAGCAGTCTTGAAACACCCCTTTTGTAGTATCTGGAACTGGACTTTTGGAGCGATTTCAGGGCTAAGGTGAAAAAGGAAATATCTTCCCATAAAAACTGGACAGAAGCATTCTCAGAAACTTGTTTATGCTGTATCTACTCAACTAACAAAGTTGAACCTTTCTTTTGATAGAGCAGTTTTGAAATGGTCTTTTTGTGGAATCTGCAAGTGGATATTTGGCTAGTTTTGAGGATTTCGTTGGAAGCGGGAATTCATACAAATTGCAGACTGCAGCGTTCTGAGAAACATCTTTGTGATGTTTGTATTCAGGACACAGAGTTGAACATTCCCTATCATAGAGCAGGTTGGAATCACTCCTTTTGTAGTATCTGGAAGTGGACATTTGGAGCGCTTTCAGGCCTATTTTGGAAAGGGAAATATCTTCCCGTAACAACTATGCAGAAGCATTCTCAGAAACTTGTTTGTGATGTGTGCCCTCTACTGACAGAGTTGAACCTTTCTTTTCATAGAGCAGTTTTGAAACACTCTTTTTGTAGAATCTGCAAGAGGATATTTGCATAGCTTTGAGGATTTCGTGGGAAACGGGATTGTCTTCAGGTAAAATCTAGACAGAAGCATTCTCAGAAACTTCTTTGGGATGTTTGCATTCAAGTCACAGAGTAGAACATTCCCTTTGGTAGAGCAGGTTTGAAACACTCTTTTTGTAGTATCTGGAAGTGGACATTTGGAGCGCTTTCAGGCCCATGTTGGAAAGGGAAATATCTTCCCGTAACAACTAGGCAGAAGCATTCTCAGAAACTTATTTGAGATGTGTGTACTCAACTAAGAGAATTGAACCACCGTTTTGAAGGAGCAGTTTTGAAACACTCTTTTTCTGGAATCTGCAAGAGTATATTTGCCTAGCCTTGAGGATTTCGTTGGAAACGGGATTGTCTTCAGAGAAAATCTAGACAGAAGCATTCTCAGAAACTTCTTTGGGATGCTTGCATTCAAGTCACAGAGTAGAACATTCCCTTTGGTAGAGCAGGTTTGAAACACTCTTTTTGTAGTATCTGGAAGTGGACATTTGGAGCGCTTTCAGGCCTACGTTGGAAAAGGAAATATCTTCCCATAACAACTAGACAGAAGCATTCTCAGAAACTAGTTTCTGATGTGTGTCCTCAACTAACACAGTTGAACATTTCTTTAGACAGAACAGTTTTGAAACACTCTTTTTGTGGAATCTGCAAGTGGCTATTTGGCTAGATTTGAGGATTTCGTTGGAAACGGGATTACATATAAAAAGCAGTCAGCGGCATTCTCAGAAAGTTCTTTGTGATGATTGCATTCAAGTCACAGAATTGAACATTCCCTTTCACAGAGCAGGTTTGAAACACTCTTTTTGTAGTGTGTGTAAGTGGACATTTGGAGCACTTACCGGCCTAAGGTGAAAAAGGAAATATCTTCCCATAAAAACTAGACAGAAGCATTCTCAGAAACTTACTCGTGATGTGTGTCCTCAACTAAAGGAGTAGAACCTTTCTTTTCATAGAGAAGTTTTGAAACGCTCTTTTTGTGGAATCTGCAAGTGGATATTTGGCTAGTTTTGAGGATTTCGTTGGAAGCGGGAATTCATACAAATTGCAGACTGCAGCGTTCTGAGAAACATCTTTGTGATGTTTGTATTCAGGACACAGAGTTGAACATTCCCTATCATAGAGCAGGTTTGAATCACTCCTTTTGTAGTATCTGGAAGTGGACATTTGGAGCGCTTTCAGGCCTATGTTGGAAAAGGAAATATCTTCCCATAACAACTAGACAGAAGCATTCTCAGAAACTTATTTGAGATGTGTGTACTCAACTAAGAGAATTGAACCACCGTTTTGAAGGAGCAGTTTTGAAACTCTCTTTTTCTGGAATCTGCAAGTGGATATTTGGCTAGCTTTGGGGATTTCGCTGGAAGCGGGAATACATATAAAAAGCACACAGCAGCGTTCTGAGAAACTGCTTTCTGATGTTTGCATTCAAGTCAAAAGTTGAACACTCCCTTTCATAGAGCAGTCCTGAAACACCCCTTTTGTAGTATCTGGAACTGGACTTTTGGAGCGATTTCAGGGCTAAGGTGAAAAAGGAAATATCTTCCCATAAAAACTGGACAGAAGCATTCTCAGAAACTTGTTTATGCTGTATCTACTCAACTAACAAAGTTGAACCTTTCTTTTGATAGAGCAGTTTTGAAATGGTCTTTTTGTGGAATCTGCAAGTGGATATTTGGCTAGTTTTGAGGATTTCGTTGGAAGCGGGAATTCATACAAATTGCAGACTGCAGCGTTCTGAGAAACATCTTTGTGATGTTTGTATTCAGGACACAGAGTTGAACATTCCCTATCATAGAGCAGGTTGGAATCACTCCTTTTGTAGTATCTGGAAGTGGACATTTGGAGCGCTTTCAGGCCTATTTTGGAAAGGGAAATATCTTCCCGTAACAACTATGCAGAAGCATTCTCAGAAACTTGTTTGTGATGTGTGCCCTCTACTGACAGAGTTGAACCTTTCTTTTCATAGAGCAGTTTTGAAACACTCTTTTTGTAGAATCTGCAAGAGGATATTTGCATAGCTTTGAGGATTTCGTGGGAAACGGGATTGTCTTCAGGTAAAATCTAGACAGAAGCATTCTCAGAAACTTCTTTGGGATGTTTGCATTCAAGTCACAGAGTAGAACATTCCCTTTGGTAGAGCAGGTTTGAAACACTCTTTTTGTAGTATCTGGAAGTGGACATTTGGAGCGCTTTCAGGCCTATGTTGGAAAGGGAAATATCTTCCCGTAACAACTAGGCAGAAGCATTCTCAGAAACTTATTTGAGATGTGTGTACTCAACTAAGAGAATTGAACCACCGTTTTGAAGGAGCAGTTTTGAAACACTCTTTTTCTGGAATCTGCAAGAGGATATTTGCCTAGCCTTGAGGATTTCGTTGGAAACGGGATTGTCTTCAGATCAAATCTAGACAGAAGCATTCTCAGAAACTTCTTTGGGATGTTTGCATTCAAGTCACAGAGTAGAACATTCCCTTTGGTAGAGCAGGTTTGAAACACTCTTTTTTTAGTATATGGAAGTGGACATTTGGAGCGCTTTCAGGCCTACGTTGGAAAAGGAAATATCTTCCCATAACAACTAGACAGAAGCATTCTCAGAAACTAGTTTCTGATGTGTGTCCTCAACTAACACAGTTGAACATTTCTTTAGACAGAACAGTTTTGAAACACTCTTTTTGTGGAATCTGCAAGTGGCTATTTGGCTAGATTTGAGGATTTCGTTGGAAACGGGATTACATATAAAAAGCAGACAGCAGCATTCTCAGAAAGTTCTTTGTGATGATTGCATTCAAGTCACAGAATTGAACATTCCCTTTCACAGAGCAGGTTTGAAACACTCTTTTTGTAGTGTGTGTAAGTGGACATTTGGAGCACTTTCCGGCCTAAGGTGAAAAAGGAAATATCTTCCCATAAAAACTAGACAGAAGCACTCTCAGAAACTTATTCATGATGTGTGTCCTCAACTAAAGGAGTAGAACCTTTCTTTTCATAGAGAAGTTTTGAAACGCTCTTTTTGTGGAATCTGCAAGTGGATATTTGGCTAGTTTGGAGGATTTCGTTGGAAGCGGGAATTCATACAAATTGCAGACTGCAGCGTTCTGAGAAACATCTTTGTGATGTTTGTATTCAGGACACAGAGTTGAACATTCCCTATCATAGAGCAGGTTGGAATCACTCCTTTTGTAGTATCTGGAAGTGGACATTTGGAGCGCTTTCAGGCCTATGTTGGAAAAGGAAATATCTTCCCATAACAACTAGACAGAAGCATTCTCAGAAACTTATTTGAGATGTGTGTACTCAACTAAGAGAATTGAACCACCGTTTTGAAGGAGCAGTTTTGAAACACTCTTTTTCTGGAATCTGCAAGTGGATATTTGGCTAGCTTTGGGGATTTCGCTGGAAGCGGGAATACATATAAAAAGCACACAGCAGCGTTCTGAGAAACTGCTTTCTGATGTTTGCATTCAAGTCAAAAGTTGAACACTCCCTTTCATAGAGCAGTCCTGAAACACTCCTTTTGTAGTATCTGGAACTGGACTTTTGGAGCCCTTTCAGGGCTAAGGTGAAAAAGGAAATATCTTCCCATAAAAACTGGACAGAAGCATTCTCAGAAACTTGTTTATGCTGTATCTACTCAACTAACAAAGTTGAACCTTTCTTTTGATAGAGCAGTTTTGAAATGCTCTTTTTGTGGAATCTGCAAGTGGATATTTGGCTAGTTTTGAGGATTTCGCTGGAAGCGGGAATTCATACAAATTGCAGACTGCAGCGTTCTGAGAAACATCTTTGTGATGTTTGTATTCAGGACAGAGAGTTGAACATTCCCTATCATAGAGCAGGTTGGAATCACTCCTTTTGTAGTATCTGGAAGTGGACATTTGGAGCGCTTTCAGGCCTATGTTGAAAAAGGAAATATCTTCCCATAACAACTAGACACAAGCATTCTCAGAAACTTGTTTGTGATGTGTGCCCTCTACTGACAGAGTTGAACCTTTCTTTTCATAGAGCAGTTTTGAAACACTCTTTTTGTAGAATCTGCAAGAGGATATTTGCATAGCTTTGAGGATTTCGTGGGAAACGGGATTGTCTTCAGGTAAAATCTAGACAGAAGCATTCTCAGAAACTTCTTTGGGATGTTTGCATTCAAGTCACAGAGTAGAACATTCCCTTTGGTAGAGCAGGTTTGAAACACTCTTTTTGTAGTATCTGGAAGTGGACATTTGGAGCGCTTTCAGGCCTATGTTGGAAAGGGAAATATCTTCCCGTAACAACTAGGCAGAAGCATTCTCAGAAACTTATTTGAGATGTGTGTACTCAACTAAGAGAATTGAACCACCGTTTTGAAGGAGCAGTTTTGAAACACTCTTTTTCTGGAATCTGCAAGAGGATATTTGCCTAGCCTTGAGGATTTCGTTGGAAACGGGATTGTCTTCAGATCAAATCTAGACAGAAGCATTCTCAGAAACTTCTTTGGGATGTTTGCATTCAAGTCACAGAGTAGAACATTCCCTTTGGTAGAGCAGGTTTGAAACACTCTTTTTTTAGTATATGGAAGTGGACATTTGGAGCGCTTTCAGGCCTACGTTGGAAAAGGAAATATCTTCCCATAACAACTAGACAGAAGCATTCTCAGAAACTAGTTTCTGATGTGTGTCCTCAACTAACACAGTTGAACATTTCTTTAGACAGAACAGTTTTGAAACACTCTTTTTGTGGAATCTGCAAGTGGCTATTTGGCTAGATTTGAGGATTTCGTTGGAAACGGGATTACATATAAAAAGCAGACAGCAGCATTCTCAGAAAGTTCTTTGTGATGATTGCATTCAAGTCACAGAATTGAACATTCCCTTTCACAGAACAGGTTTGAAACACTCTTTTTGTAGTGTGTGTAAGTGGACATTTGGAGCACTTTCTGGCCTAAGGTGAAAAAGGAAATATCTTCCCATAAAAACTAGACAGAAGCATTCTCAGAAACTTACTCGTGATGTGTGTCCTCAACTAAAGGAGTAGAACCTTTCTTTTCATAGAGAAGTTTTGAAACGCTCTTTTTGTGGAATCTGCAAGTGGATATTTGGCTAGTTTGGAGGATTTCGTTGGAAGCGGGAATTCATACAAATTGCAGACTGCAGCGTTCTGAGAAACATCTTTGTGATGTTTGTATTCAGGACACAGAGTTGAACATTCCCTATCATAGAGCAGGTTTGAATCACTCCTTTTGTAGTATCTGGAAGTGGACATTTGGAGCGCTTTCAGGCCTATGTTGGAAAAGGAAATATCTTCCCATAACAACTAGACAGAAGCATTCTCAGAAACTTATTTGAGATGTGTGTACTCAACTAAGAGAATTGAACCACCGTTTTGAAGGAGCAGTTTTGAAACACTCTTTTTCTGGAATCTGCAAGTGGATATTTGGCTAGCTTTGGGGATTTCGCTGGAAGCGGGAATACATATAAAAAGCACACAGCAGCGTTCTGAGAAACTGCTTTCTGATGTTTGCATTCAAGTCAAAAGTTGAACACTCCCTTTCATAGAGCAGTCCTGAAACACTCCTTTTGTAGTATCTGGAACTGGACTTTTGGAGCGCTTTCAGGGCTAAGGTGAAAAAGGAAATATCTTCCCATAAAAACTGGACAGAAGCATTCTCAGAAACTTGTTTATGCTGTATCTACTCAACTAACAAAGTTGAACCTTTCTTTTGATAGAGCAGTTTTGAAATGCTCTTTTTCTGGAATCTGCAAGTGGATATTTGGCTAGTTGTGAGGATTTCGTTGGAAGCTGGAATTCATACAAATTGCAGACTGCAGCGTTCTGAGAAACATCTTTGTGATGTTTGTATTCAGGACAGAGAGTTGAACATTCCCTATCATAGAGCAGGTTGGAATCACTCCTTTTGTAGTATCTGGAAGTGGACATTTGGAGCGCTTTCAGGACTATGTTGAAAAAGGAAATATCTTCCCATAACAACTAGACACAAGCATTCTCAGAAACTTGTTTGTGATGTGTGCCCTCTACTGACAGAGTTGAACCTTTCTTTTCATAGAGCAGTTTTGAAACACTCTTTTTGTAGAATCTGCAAGAGGATATTTGCATAGCTTTGAGGATTTCGTGGGAAACGGGATTGTCTTCAGGTAAAATCTAGACAGAAGCATTCTCAGAAACTTCTTTGGGATGTTTGCATTCAAGTCACAGAGTAGAACATTCCCTTTGGTAGAGCAGGTTTGAAACACTCTTTTTGTAGTATCTGGAAGTGGACATTTGGAGCGCTTTCAGGCCTATGTTGGAAAGGGAAATATCTTCCCGCAACAACTAGGCAGAAGCATTCTCAGAAACTTGTTTGTGATGTGTGCCCTCTACTGACAGAGTTGAACATTTCTTTTCATAGAGCAGTTTCGAAACACTCTTTTTGTAGAATCTGCAAGAGGATATTTGCATAGCTTTGAGGATTTCGTTGGAAACGGGATTGTCTTCAGGTAAAATCTAGACAGAAGCATTCTCAGAAACTTCCTTGGGATGTTTGCATTCAAGTCACAGAGTAGAACATTCCCTTTGGTAGAGCAGGTTTGAAACACTCTTTTTGTAGTATCTGGAAGTGGACATTTGGAGCGCTTTCAGGCCTACGTTGGAAAAGGAAATATCTTCCCATAACAACTAGACAGAAGCATTCTCAGAAACTAGTTTCTGATGTGTGTCCTCAACTAACACAGTTGAACATTTCTTTAGACAGAACAGTTTTGAAACACTCTTTTTGTGGAATCTGCAAGTGGCTATTTGGCTAGATTTGAGGATTTCGTTGGAAACGGGATTACATATAAAAAGCAGACAGCAGCATTCTCAGAAAGTTCTTTGTGATGATTGCATTCAAGTCACAGAATTGAACATTCCCTTTCACAGAGCAGGTTTGAAACACTCTTTTTGTAGTGTGTGTAAGTGGACATTTGGAGCACTTTCCGGCCTAAGGTGAAAAAGGAAATATCTTCCCATAAAAACTAGACAGAAGCACTCTCAGAAACTTACTCGTGATGTGTGTCCTCAACTAAAGGAGTAGAACCTTTCTTTTCATAGAGAAGTTTTGAAACGCTCTTTTTGTGGAATCTGCAAGTGGATATTTGGCTACTTTGGAGGATTTCGTTGGAAGCGGGAATTCATACAAATTGCAGACTGCAGCGTTCTGAGAAACTGCTTTCTGATGTTTGCATTCAAGTCAAAAGTTGAACACTCCCTTTGATAGAGCAGTCCTGAAACACTCCTTTTGTAGTATCTGGAACTGGACTTTTGGAGCGCTTTCAGGGCTAAGGTGAAAAAGGAAATATCTTCCCATAAAAACTGGACAGAAGCATTCTCAGAAACTTATTTGAGATGTGTGTACTCAACTAAGAGAATTGAACCACCGTTTTGAAGGAGCAGTTTTGAAACACTCTTTTTCTGGAATCTGCAAGTGGATATTTGGCTAGCTTTGGGGATTTCGCTGGAAGCGGGAATACATATAAAAAGCACACAGCAGCGTTCTGAGAAACTGCTTTCTGATGTTTGCATTCAAGTCAAAAGTTGAACACTCCCTTTCATAGAGCAGTCCTGAAACACTCCTTTTGTAGTATCTGGAACTGGACTTTTGGAGCGCTTTCAGGGCTAAGGTGAAAAAGGAAATATCTTCCCATAAAAACTGGACAGAAGCATTCTCAGAAACTTGTTTATGCTGTATCTACTCAACTAACAAAGTTGAACCTTTCTTTTGATAGAGCAGTTTTGAAATGCTCTTTTTGTGGAATCTGCAAGTGGATATTTGGCTAGTTTTGAGGATTTCGTTGGAAGCGGGAATTCATACAAATTGCAGACTGCAGCGTTCTGAGAAACATCTTTGTGATGTTTGTATTCAGGACAGAGAGTTGAACATTCCCTATCATAGAGCAGGTTGGAATCACTCCTTTTGTAGTATCTGGAAGTGGACATTTGGAGCGCTTTCAGGCCTATGTTGAAAAAGGAAATATCTTCCCATAACAACTAGACACAAGCATTCTCAGAAACTTGTTTGTGATGTGTGCCCTCTACTGACAGAGTTGAACCTTTCTTTTCATAGAGCAGTTTTGAAACACTCTTTTTGTAGAATCTGCAAGAGGATATTTGCATAGTTTTGAGGATTTCGTGAGAAACGGGATTGTCTTCAGGTAAAATCTAGACAGAAGCATTCTCAGAAACTTTTTTGGGATGTTTGCATTCAAGTCACAGAGTAGAACATTCCCTTTGGTAGAGCAGGTTTGAAACACTCTTTTTGTAGTATCTGGAAGTGGACATTTGGAGCACTATCAGGCCCATGTTGGAAAGGGAAATATCTTCCCGTAACAACTAGGCAGAAGCATTCTCAGAAACTTATTTGAGATGTGTGTACTCAACTAAGAGAATTGAACCACCGTTTTGAAGGAGCAGTTTTGAAACACTCTTTTTCTGGAATCTGCAAGAGGATATTTGCCTAGCCTTGAGGATTTCGTTGGAAACGGGATTGTCTTCAGATAAAATCTAGACAGAAGCATTCTCAGAAACTTCTTTGGGATGTTTGCATTCAAGTCACAGAGTAGAACATTCCCTTTGGTAGAGCAGGTTTGAAACACTCTTTTTTTAGTATATGGAAGTGGACATTTGGAGCGCTTTCAGGCCTACGTTGGAAAAGGAAATATCTTCCCATAACAACTAGACAGAAGCATTCTCAGAAACTAGTTTCTGATGTGTGTCCTCAACTAACACAGTTGTACATTTCTTTAGACAGAACAGTTATGAAACACTCTTTTTGTGGAATCTGCAAGTGGATATTTGGCTAGATTTGAGGATTTCGTTGGAAACGGGATTACATATAAAAAGCAGTCAGCAGCATTCTCAGATAGTTCTTTGTGATGATTGCATTCAAGTCACAGAATTGAAAATTCCCTTTCACAGAGCAGGTTTGAAACACTCTTTTTGTAGTGTGTGTAAGTGGACATTTGGAGAGCTTTCTGGCCTAAGGTGAAAAAGGAAATATCTTCCCATAAAAACTAGACAGAAGCATTCTCAGAAACTTACTCGTGATGTGTGTCCTCAACTAAAGGAGTAGAACCTTTCTTTTCATAGAGAAGTTTTGAAACGCTCTTTTTGTGGAATCTGCAAGTGGATATTTGGCTAGTTTTGAGGATTTCGTTGGAAGCGGGAATTCATACAAATTGCAGACTGCAGCGTTCTGAGAAACATCTTTGTGATGTTTGTATTCAGGACACAGAGTTGAACATTCCCTATCATAGAGCAGGTTTGAATCACTCCTTTTGTAGTATCTGGAAGTGGACATTTGGAGCGCTTTCAGGCCTAT
The DNA here is from genome assembly GCF_000001405.40 of Homo sapiens. Classification (NCBI taxonomy): domain Eukaryota; kingdom Metazoa; phylum Chordata; class Mammalia; order Primates; family Hominidae; genus Homo; species Homo sapiens. The sequence goes on from NC_000018.10 coordinate 16,537,469, forward strand.
GTTGGAAAAGGAAATATCTTCCCATAACAACTAGACAGAAGCATTCTCAGAAACTTATTTGAGATGTGTGTACTCAACTAAGAGAATTGAACCACCGTTTTGAAGGAGCAGTTTTGAAACACTCTTTTTCTGGAATCTGCAAGTGGATATTTGGCTAGCTTTGGGGATTTCGCTGGGAAGCGGGAATACATATAAAAAGCACACAGCAGCGTTCTGAGAAACTGCTTTCTGATGTTTGCATTCAAGTCAAAAGTTGAACACTCCCTTTCATAGAGCAGTCCTGAAACACTCCTTTTGTAGTATCTGGAACTGGACTTTTGGAGCGCTTTCAGGGCTAAGGTGAAAAAGGAAATATCTTCCCATAAAAACTGGACAGAAGCATTCTCAGAAACTTGTTTATGCTGTATCTACTCAACTAACAAAGTTGAACCTTTCTTTTGATAGAGCAGTTTTGAAATGCTCTTTTTGTGGAATCTGCAAGTGGATATTTGGCTAGTTTTGAGGATTTCGTTGGAAGCGGGAATTCATACAAATTGCAGACTGCAGCGTTCTGAGAAACATCTTTGTGATGTTTGTATTCAGGACAGAGAGTTGAACATTCCCTATCATAGAGCAGGTTGGAATCACTCCTTTTGTAGTATCTGGAAGTGGACATTTGGAGCGCTTTCAGGCCTATGTTGAAAAAGGAAATATCTTCCCATAACAACTAGACACAAGCATTCTCAGAAACTTGTTTGTGATGTGTGCCCTCTACTGACAGAGTTGAACCTTTCTTTTCATAGAGCAGTTTTGAAACACTCTTTTTGTAGAATCTGCAAGAGGATATTTGCATAGCTTTGAGGATTTCGTGGGAAACGGGATTGTCTTCAGGTAAAATCTAGACAGAAGCATTCTCAGAAACTTCTTTGGGATGTTTGCATTCAAGTCACAGAGTAGAACATTCCCTTTGGTAGAGCAGGTTTGAAACACTCTTTTTGTAGTATCTGGAAGTGGACATTTGGAGCGCTTTCAGGCCTATGTTGGAAAGGGAAATATCTTCCCGTAACAACTAGGCAGAAGCATTCTCAGAAACTTATTTGAGATGTGTGTACTCAACTAAGAGAATTGAACCACCGTTTTGAAGGAGCAGTTTTGAAACACTCTTTTTCTGGAATCTGCAAGAGGATATTTGCCTAGCCTTGAGGATTTCGTTGGAAACGGGATTGTCTTCACATCAAATCTAGACAGAAGCATTCTCAGAAACTTCTTTGGGATGTTTGCATTCAAGTCACAGAGTAGAACATTCCCTTTGGTAGAGCAGGTTTGAAACACTCTTTTTTTAGTATATGGAAGTGGACATTTGGAGCGCTTTCAGGCCTACGTTGGAAAAGGAAATATCTTCCCATAACAACTAGACAGAAGCATTCTCAGAAACTAGTTTCTGATGTGTGTCCTCAACTAACACAGTTGAACATTTCTTTAGACAGAACAGTTTTGAAACTCTCTTTTTGTGGAATCTGCAAGTGGCTATTTGGCTAGATTTGAGGATTTCGTTGGAAACGGGATTACATATAAAAAGCAGACAGCCAGCATTCTCAGTAAAGTTCTTTGTGATGATTGCATTCAAGTCACAGAATTGAACATTCCCTTTCACAGAGCAGGATTGAAACACTCTTTTTGTAGTGTGTGTAAGTGGACATTTGGAGCGCTTTCCGGCCTAAGGTGAAAAAGGAAATATCTTCCCATAAAAACTAGACAGAAGCATTCTCAGAAACTTACTCGTGATGTGTGTCCTCAACTAAAGGAGTAGAACCTTTCTATTCATAGAGAAGTTTTGAAACGCTCTTTTTGTGGAATCTCCAAGTGGATATTTGGCTAGTTTTGAGGATTTCGTTGGAAGCGGGAATTCATACAAATTGCAGACTGCAGCGTTCTGAGAAACATCTTTGTGATGTTTGTATTCAGGACACAGAGATGAACATTCCCTATCATAGAGCAGGTTGGAATCACTCCTTTTGTAGTATCTGGAAGTGGACATTTGGAGCGCTTTCAGGCCTATGTTGAAAAAGGAAATATCTTCCCATAACAACTAGACACAAGCATTCTCAGAAACTTGTTTGTGATGTGTGCCCTCTACTGACAGAGTTGAACCTTTCTTTTCATAGAGCAGTTTTGAAACACTCTTTTTGTAGAATCTGCAAGAGGATATTTGCATAGCTTTGAGGATTTCGTGGGAAACGGGATTGTCTTCAGGTAAAATCTAGACAGAAGCATTCTCAGAAACTTCTTTGGGATGTTTGCATTCAAGTCACAGAGTAGAACATTCCCTTTGGTAGAGCAGGTTTGAAACCCTCTTTTTGTAGTATCTGGAAGTGGACATTCGGAGCGCTATCAGGCCCATGTTGGAAAGGGAAATATCTTCCCGTAACAACTAGGCAGAAGCATTCTCAGAAACTTATTTGAGATGTGTGTACTCAACTAAGAGAATTGAACCACCGTTTTGAAGGTGCAGTTTTGAAACACTCTTTTTCTGGAATCTGCAAGAGTATATTTGCCTAGCCTTGAGGATTTCGTTGGAAACGGGATTGTCTTCAGATAAAATCTAGACAGAAGCATTCTCAGAAACTTCTTTGGGATGTTTGCATTCAAGTCACAGAGTAGAACATTCCCTTTGGTAGAGCAGGTTTGAAACACTCTTTTTGTAGTATCTGGAAGTGGACATTTGGAGCGCTTTCAGGCCTACGTTGGAAAAGGAAATATCTTCCCATAACAACTAGACAGAAGCATTCTCAGAAACTAGTTTCTGATGTGTGTCCTCAACTAACACAGTTGAACTTTTCTTTAGACAGAACAGTTTTGAAACACTCTTTTTGTGGAATCTGCAAGTGGATATTTGGCTAGATTTGAGGATTTCGTTGGAAACGGGATTACATATAAAAAGCAGACAGCAGCATTCTCAGAAAGTTCTTTGTGATGATTGCATTCAAGTCACAGAATTGAACATTCCCTTTCACAGAGCAGGTTTGAAACACTCTTTTTGTAGTGTGTGTAAGTGGACATTTGGAGCGCTTTCCGGCCTAAGGTGAAAAAGGACATATCTTCCCATAAAAACTAGACAGAAGCATTCTCAGAAACTTACTCGTGATGTGTGTCCTCAACTAAAGGAGTAGAACCTTTCTTTTCATAGAGAAGTTTTGAAACGCTCTTTTTGTGGAATCTGCAAGTGGATATTTGGCTAGTTTGGAGGATTTCGTTGGAAGCGGGAATTCATACAAATTGCAGACTGCAGCGTTCTGAGAAACATCTTTGTGATGTTTGTATTCAGGACACAGAGTTGAACATTCCCTATCATAGAGCAGGTTTGAATCACTCCTTTTGTAGTATCTGGAAGTGGACATTTGGAGCGCTTTCAGGCCTATGTTGGAAAAGGAAATATCTTCCCATAACAACTAGACAGAAGCATTCTCAGAAACTTATTTGAGATGTGTGTACTCAACTAAGAGAATTGAACCACCGTTTTGAAGGAGCAGTTTTGAAACACTCTTTTTCTGGAATCTGCAAGTGGATATTTGGCTAGCTTTGGGGATTTCGCTGGAAGCGGGAATACATATAAAAAGCACACAGCAGCGTTCTGAGAAACTGCTTTCTGATGTTTGCATTCAAGTCAAAAGTTGAACACTCCCTTTCATAGTGCAGTCCTGAAACACTCCTTTTGTAGTATCTGGAACTGGACTTTTGGAGCGCTTTCAGGGCTAAGGTGAAAAAGGAAATATCTTCCCATAAAAACTGGACAGAAGCATTCTCAGAAACTTGTTTATGCTGTATCTACTCAACTAACAAAGTTGAACCTTTCTTTTGATAGAGCAGTTTTGAAATGCTCTTTTTGTGGAATCTGCAAGTGGATATTTGGCTAGTTTTGAGGATTTCGTTGGAAGCGGGAACTCATACAAATTGCAGACTGCAGCGTTCTGAGAAACATCTTTGTGATGTTTGTATTCAGGACAGAGAGTTGAACATTCCCTATCATAGAGCAGGTTGGAATCACTCCTTTTGTAGTATCTGGAAGTGGACATTTGGAGCGCTTTCAGGCCTATGTTGAAAAAGGAAATATCTTCCCATAACAACTAGACACAAGCATTCTCAGAAACTTGTTTGTGATGTGTGCCCTCTACTGACAGAGTTGAACCTTTCTTTTCATAGAGCAGTTTTGAAACACTCTTTTTGTAGAATCTGCAAGAGGATATTTGCATAGCTTTGAGGATTTCGTAGGAAACGGGATTGTCTTCAGGTAAAATCTAGACAGAAGCATTCTCAGAAACTTCTTTGGGATGTTTGCATTCAAGTCACAGAGTAGAACATTCCCTTTGGTAGAGCAGGTTTGAAACACTCTTTTTGTAGTATCTGGAAGTGGACATTTGGAGCGCTTTCAGGCCTATGTTGGAAAAGGAAATATCTTCCCATAACAACTAGACAGAAGCATTCTCAGAAACTAGTTTCTGATGTGTGTCCTCAACTAACACAGTTGAACATTTCTTTAGACAGAACAGTTTTGAAACTCTCTTTTTGTGGAATCTGCAAGTGGCTATTTGGCTAGATTTGAGGATTTCGTTGGAAACGGGATTACATATAAAAAGCAGACAGCAGCATTCTCAGAAAGTTCTTTGTGATGATTGCATTCAAGTCACAGAATTGAACATTCCCTTTCACAGAGCAGGTTTGAAACACTCTTTTTGTAGTGTGTGTAAGTGGACATTTGGAGCACTTTCCGGCCTAAGGTGAAAAAGGAAATATCTTCCCATACAAACTAGACAGAAGCATTCTCAGAAACTTACTCGTGATGTGTGTCCTCAACTAAAGGAGTAGAACCTTTCTTTCATAGAGAAGTTTTGAAACGCTCTTTTTGTGGAATCTGCAAGTGGATATTTGGCTAGTTTGGAGGATTTCGTTGGAAGCGGGAATTCATACAAATTGCAGACTGCAGCGTTCTGAGAAACATCTTTGTGATGTTTGTATTCAGGACACAGAGTTGAACATTCCCTATCATAGAGCAGGTTGGAATCACTCCTTTTGTAGTATCTGGAAGTGGACATTTGGAGCGCTTTCAGGCCTATGTTGGAAAAGGAAATATCTTCCCATAACAACTAGACAGAAGCATTCTCAGAAACTTATTTGAGATGTGTGTACTCAACTAAGAGAATTGAACCACCGTTTTGAAGGAGCAGTTTTGAAACACTCTTTTTCTGGAATCTGCAAGTGGATATTTGGCTAGCTTTGGGGATTTCGCTGGAGGCGGGAATACATATAAAAAGCACACAGCAGCGTTCTGAGAAACTGCTTTCTGATGTTTGCATTCAAGTCAAAAGTTGAACACTCCCTTTCATAGAGCAGTCCTGAAACACTCCTTTTGTAGTATCTGGAACTGGACTTTTGGAGCGCTTTCAGGGCTAAGGTGAAAAAGGAAATATCTTCCCATAAAAACTGGACAGAAGCATTCTCAGAAACTTGTTTATGCTGTATCTACTCAACTAACAAAGTTGAACCTTTCTTTTGATAGAGCAGTTTTGAAATGCTCTTTTTGTGGAATCTGCAAGTGGATATTTGGCTAGTTTTGAGGATTTCGTTGGAAGCGGGAATTCATACAAATTGCAGACTGCAGCGTTCTGAGAAACATCTTTGTGATGTTTGTATTCAGGACAGAGAGTTGAACATTCCCTATCATAGAGCAGGTTGGAATCACTCCTTTTGTAGTATCTGGAAGTGGACATTTGGAGCGCTTTCAGGCCTATGTTGAAAAAGGAAATATCTTCCCATAACAACTAGACACAAGCATTCTCAGAAACTTGTTTGTGATGTGTGCCCTCTACTGACAGAGTTGAACCTTTCTTTTCATAGAGCAGTTTTGAAACACTCTTTTTGTAGAATCTGCAAGAGGATATTTGCATAGCTTTGAGGATTTCGTGGGAAACGGGATTGTCTTCAGGTAAAATCTAGACAGAAGCATTCTCAGAAACTTCTTTGGGATGTTTGCATTCAAGTCACAGAGCAGAACATTCCCTTTGGTAGAGCAGGTTTGAATCACTCCTTTTGTAGTATCTGGAAGTGGACATTTGGAGCGCTTTCAGGCCCATGTTGGAAAGGGAAATATCTTCCCGTAACAACTAGGCAGAAGCATTCTCAGAAACTTATTTGAGATGTGTGTACTCAACTAAGAGAATTGAACCACCGTTTTGAAGGAGCAGTTTTGAAACACTCTTTTTCTGGAATCTGCAAGAGTATATTTGCCTAGCCTTGAGGATTTCGTTGGAAACGGGATTGTCTTCAGAGAAAATCTAGACAGAAGCATTCTCAGAAACTTCTTTGCGATGTTTGCATTCAAGTCACAGAGTAGAACATTCCCTTTGGTAGAGCAGGTTTGAAACACTCTTTTTTTAGTATATGGAAGTGGACATTTGGAGCGCTTTCAGGCCTACGTTGGAAAAGGAAATATCTTCCCATAACAACTAGACAGAAGCATTCTCAGAAACTAGTTTCTGATGTGTGTCCTCAACTAACACAGTTGTACATTTCTTTACACAGAACAGTTTTGAAACACTCTTTTTGTGGAATCTGCAAGTGGATATTGGGCTAGATTTGAGGATTTCGTTGGAAACGGGATTACATATAAAAAGCAGTCAGCAGCATTCTCAGAAAGTTCTTTGTGATGATTGCATTCAAGTCACAGAATTGAACATTCCCTTTCACAGAGCAGGTTTGAAACACTCTTTTTGTAGTGTGTGTAAGTGGACATTTGGAGCGCTTTCCGGCCTAAGGTGAAAAAGGACATATCTTCCCATAAAAACTAGACAGAAGCATTCTCAGAAACTTACTCGTGATGTGTGTCCTCAACTAAAGGAGTAGAACCTTTCTATTCATAGAGAAGTTTTGAAACGCTCTTTTTGTGGAATCTCCAAGTGGATATTTGGCTAGTGTTGAGGATTTCGTAGGAAGCGGGAATTCATACAAATTGCAGACTGCAGCGTTCTGAGAAACATCTTTGTGATGTTTGTATTCAGGACACAGACATGAACATTCCCTATCATAGAGCAGGTTGGAATCACTCCTTTTGTAGTATCTGGAAGTGGACATTTGGAGCGCTTTCAGGCCTATGTTGAAAAAGGATATATCTTCCCATAACAACTAGACACAAGCATTCTCAGAAACTTGTTTGTGATGTGTGCCCTCTACTGACAGAGTTGAACCTTTCTTTTCATAGAGCAGTTTTGAAACACTCTTTTTGTAGAATCCGCAAGAGGATATTTGCATAGCTTTGAGGATTTCGTGGGAAACGGGATTGTCTTCAGGTAAAATCTAGACAGAAGCATTCTCAGAAACTTCTTTGGGATGTTTGCATTCAAGTCACAGAGTAGAACATTCCCTTTGGTAGAGTAGGTTTGAAACACTCTTTTTGTAGTATCTGGAAGTGGACATTTGGAGCGCTTTCAGGCCCATGTTGGAAAGGGAAATATCTTCCCGTAACAACTAGGCAGAAGCATTCTCAGAAACGTATTTGAGATGTGTGGACTCAACGAAGAGAATTGAACCACCGTTTTGAAGGAGCAGTTTTGAAACACTCTTTTTCTGGAATCTGCAAGAGTATATTTGCCTAGCCTTGAGGATTTCGTTGGAAACGGGATTGTCTTCAGATCAAATCTAGACAGAAGCATTCTCAGAAACTTCTTTGGGATGTTTGCATTCAAGTCACAGAGTAGAACATTCCCTTTGGTAGAGCAGGTTTGAAACACTCTTTTTTTAGTATATGGAAGTGGACATTTGGAGCGCTTTCAGGCCTACGTTGGAAAAGGAAATATCTTCCCATAACAACTAGACAGAAGCATTCTCAGAAACTAGTTTCTGATGTGTGTCCTCAACTAAAACAGTTGTACATTTCTTTACACAGAACAGTTTTGAAACACTCTTTTTGTGGAATCTGCAAGTGGATATTGGGGTAGATTTGAGGATTTCGTTGGAAACGGGATTACATATAAAAAGCAGACAGCAGCAGTCTCAGAAAGTTCTTTGTGATGATTGCATTCAAGTCACAGAATTGAACATTCCCTTTCACAGAGCAGGTTTGAAACACTCTTTTTGTAGTGTGTGTAAGTGGACATTTGGAGCGCTTTCCGGCCTAAGGCGAAAAAGGAAATATCTTCCCATAAAAACTAGACAGAAGCATTCTCAGAAACTTACTCGTGATGTGTGTCCTCAACTAAAGGAGTAGAACCTTTCTATTCATAGAGAAGTTTTGAAACGCTCTTTTTGTGGAATCTCCAAGTGGATATTTGGCTAGTTTTGAGGATTTCGTTGGAAGCGGGAATTCATACAAATTGCAGACTGCAGCGTTCTGAGAAACATCTTTGTGATGTTTGTATTCAGGACACAGAGATGAACATTCCCTATCATAGAGCATGTTGGAATCACTCCTTTTGTAGTATCTGGAAGTGGACATTTGGAGCGCTTTCAGGCCTATGTTGAAAAAGGAAATATCTTCCCATAACAACTAGACACAAGCATTCTCAGAAACTTGTTTGTGATGTGTGCCCTCTACTGACAGAGTTGAACCTTTCTTTTCATAGAGCAGTTTTGAAACACTCTTTTATAGAATCCGCAAGAGGATATTTGCATAGCTTTGAGGATTTCGTGGGAAACGGGATTGTCTTCAGGTAAAATGTAGACAGAAGCATTCTCAGAAACTTTTTTGGGATGTTTGCATTCAAGTCACAGAGTAGAACATTCCCTTTGGTAGAGCAGGTTTGAAACACTCTTTTTGTAGTATCTGGAAGTGGACATTTGGAGCACTATCAGGCCCATGTTGGAAAGGGAAATATCTTCCCGTAACAACTAGGCAGAAGCATTCTCAGAAACTTATTTGAGATGTGTGTACTCAACTAAGAGAATTGAACCACCGTTTTGAAGGAGCAGTTTTGAAACACTCTTTTTCTGGAATCTGCAAGAGGATATTTGCCTAGCTTTGAGGATTCCGTTGGAAACGGGATTGTCTTCAGATCAAATCTAGACAGAAGCATTCTCAGAAACTTCTTTGGGATGTTTGCATTCAAGTCACAGAGTAGAACATTCCCTTTGGTAGAGCAGGTTTGAAACACTCTTTTTTTCGTATATGGAAGTGGACATTTGGAGCGCTTTCAGGCCTACTTTGGAAAAGGAAATATCTTCCCATAACAACTAGACAGAAGCATTCTCAGAAACTAGTTTCTGATGTGTGTCCTCAACTAACACAGTTGAACATTTCTTTAGACAGAACAGTTTTGAAACACTCTTTTTGTGGAATCTGCAAGTGGCTATTTGGCTAGATTTGAGGATTTCGTTGGAAACGGGATTACATATAAAAAGCAGACAGCAGCATTCTCAGAAAGTTCTTTGTGATGATTGCATTCAAGTCACAGAATTGAACATTCCCTTTCACAGAGCAGGTTTGAAACACTCTTTTTGTAGTGTGTGTAAGTGGACATTTGGAGCACTTTCCGGCCTAAGGTGAAAAAGGAAATATCTTCCCATAAAAACTAGACAGAAGCATTCTCAGAAACTTACTCGTGATGTGTGTCCTCAACTAAAGGAGTAGAAACTTTCTTTTCATAGAGAAGTTTTGAAACGCTCTTTTTGTGGAATCTGCAAGTGGATATTTGGCTAGTTTGGAGGATTTCGTTGGAAGCGGGAATTCATACAAATTGCAGACTGCAGCGTTCTGAGAAACATCTTTGTGATGTTTGTATTCAGGACACAGAGTTGAACATTCCCTATCATAGAGCAGGTTTGAATCACTCCTTTTGTAGTATCTGGAAGTGGACATTTGGAGCGCTTTCAGGCCTATGTTGGAAAAGGAAATATCTTCCCATAACAACTAGACAGAAGCATTCTCAGAAACTTATTTGAGATGTGTGTACTCAACTAAGAGAATTGAACCACCGTTTTGAAGGAGCAGTTTTGAAACACTCTTTTTCTGGAATCTGCAAGTGGATATTTGGCTAGCTTTGGGGATTTCGCTGGAAGCGGGAATACATATAAAAAGCACACAGCAGCGTTCTGAGAAACTGCATTCTGATGTTTGCATTCAAGTCAAAAGTTGAACACTCCCTTTCATAGAGCAGTCCTGAAACACTCCTTTTGTAGTATCTGGAACTGGACTTTTGGAGCGCTTTCAGGGCTAAGGTGAAAAAGGAAATATCTTCCCATAAAAACTGGAGAGAATCATTCTCAGAAACTTGTTTATGCTGTATCTACTCAACTAACATAGTTGAACCTTTCTTTTGATAGAGCAGTTTTGAAATGCTCTTTTTGTGGAATCTGCAAGTGGATATTTGGCTAGTTTGGAGGATTTCGTTGGAAGCGGGAATTCATACAAATTGCAGACTGCAGCGTTCTGAGAAACATCTTTGTGATGTTTGTATTCAGGACACAGAGTTGAACATTCCCTATCATAGAGCAGGTTTGAATCACTCCTTTTGTAGTATCTGGAAGTGGACATTTGGAGCGCTTTCAGGCCTATGTTGGAAAAGGAAATATCTTCCCATAACAACTAGACAGAAGCATTCTCAGAAACTTATTTGAGATGTGTGTACTCAACTAAGAGAATTGAACCACCGTTTTGAAGGAGCAGTTTTGAAACACTCTTTTCCTGGAATCTGCAAGTGGATATTTGGCTAGCTTTGGGGATTTCGCTGGAAGCGGGAATACATATAAAAAGCACACAGCAGCGTTCTGAGAAACTGCTTTCTGATGTTTGCATTCAAGTCAAAAGTTGAACACTCCCTTTCATAGTGCAGTCCTGAAACACTCCTTTTGTAGTATCTGGAACTGGACTTTTGGAGCGCTTTCAGGGCTAAGGTGAAAAAGGAAATATCTTCCCATAAAAACTGGACAGAAGCATTCTCAGAAACTTGTTTATGCTGTATCTACTCAACTAACAAAGTTGAACCTTTCTTTTGATAGAGCAGTTTTGAAATGGTCTTTTTGTGGAATCTGCAAGTGGATATTTGGCTAGTTTTGAGGATTTCGTTGGAAGCGGGAATTCATACAAATTGCAGACTGCAGCGTTCTGAGAAACATCTTTGTGATGTTTGTATTCAGGACAGAGAGTTGAACATTCCCTCTCATAGAGCAGGTTGGAATCACTCCTTTTGTAGTATCTGGAAGTGGACATTTGGAGCGCTTTCAGGCCTATGTTGAAAAAGGAAATATCTTCCCATAACAACTAGACACAAGCATTCCCAGAAACTTGTTTGTGATGTGTGCCCTCTACTGACAGATTTGAACCTTTCTTTTCATAGAGCAGTTTTGAAACACTCTTTTTGTAGAATCTGCAAGAGGATATTTGCATAGCTTTGAGGATTTCGTGGGAAACGGGATTGTCTTCAGGTAAAATCTGGACAGAAGCATTCTCAGAAACTTCTTTGGGATGTTTGCATTCAAGTCACAGAGTAGAACATTCCCTTTGGTAGAGCAGGTTTGAAACACTCTTTTTGTAGTATCTGGAAGTGGACATTTGGAGCGCTTTCAGGCCTATGTTGGAAAGGGAAATATCTTCCCGTAACAACTAGGCAGAAGCATTCTCAGAAACGTATTTGAGATGTGTGTACTCAACTAAGAGAATTGAACCACCGTTTTGAAGGAGCAGTTTTGAAACACTCTTTTTCTGGAATCTGCAAGAGGATATTTGCCTAGCCTTGAGGATTTCGTAGGAAACGGGATTTTCTTCAGATAAAATCTAGACAGAAGCATTCTCAGAAACTTCTTTGGGATGTTTGCATTCAAGTCACAGAGTAGAACATTCCCTTTGGTAGAGCAGGGTTGAAACACTCTTTTTTTAGTATATGGAAGTGGACATTTGGAGCGCTTTCAGGCCTACGTTGGAAAAGGAAATATCTTCCCATAACAACTAGACAGAAGCATTCTCAGAAACTAGTTTCTGATGTGTGTCCTCAACTAACACAGTTGAACATTTCTTTAGACAGAACAGTTTTGAAACACTCTTTTTGTGGAATCTGCAAGTGGATATTTGGCTAGATTTGAGCATTTCGTTGGAAACGGGATTACATATAAAAAGCAGACAACGGCATTCTCAGAAAGTTCTTTGTGATGATTGCATTCAAGTCACAGAATTGAACATTCCCTTTCACAGAGCAGGTTTGAAACACTCTTTTTGAAGTGTGTGTAAGCGGACATTTGGAGCGCTTTCCGGCCTAAGGTGAAAAAGGAAATATCTTCCCATAAAAAGTAGACAGAAGCATTCTCAGAAACTTACTCGTGATGTGTGTACTCAACTAAAGGAGTAGAAACTTTCTTTTCATAGAGAAGTTTTGAAACGCTCTTTTTGTGGAATCTGCAAGTGGATATTTGGCTAGTTTTGAGGATTTCGTTGGAAGCGGGAATTCATACAAATTGCAGACTGCAGCGTTCTGAGAAACATCTTTGTGATGTTTGTATTCAGGACACAGAGTTGAACATTCCCTATCATAGAGCAGGTTTGAATCACTCCTTTTGTAGTATCTGGAAGTGGACATTTGGAGCGCTTTCAGGCCTATGTTGGAAAAGGAAATATCTTCCCATAACAACTAGACAGAAGCATTCTCAGAAACTTATTTGAGATGTGTGTACTCAACTAAGAGAATTGAACCACCGTTTTGAAGGAGCAGTTTTGAAACACTCTTTTTCTGGAATCTGCAAGTGGATATTTGGCTAGCTTAGGGGATTTCGCTGGAAGCGGGAATACATATAAAAAGCACACAGCAGCGTTCTGAGAAACTTCTTTCTGATGTTCGCATTCAAGTCAAAAGTTGAACACTCCCTGTCATAGAGCAGTCTTGAAACTCCCCTTTTGTGGTATCTGGAAGTGGACATTTGGAGTGCTTTCAGGGCTAAGGTGAAAAAGGAAATATCTTCCCATAAAAACTGGACAGAAGCATTCTCAGAAACTTGTTTATGCTGTAACTACTCAGCTAACAAGTTGAACCTTTCTTTTGATAGAGCAGTTTTGAAATGCTCTTTTTGTGGAGTCTGCAAGTGGATATTTGGTTAGTTTTGAGGAATTCGTTGGAAGCGGGAATTCATACAAATTGCAGACTGCAGCGTTCTGAGAAACATCTTTGTGATGTTTGTATTCAGGACACAGAGTTGAACATTCCCTATCATAGAGCAGGTTGGAATCACTCCTTTTGTAGTATCTGGAAGTGGACATTTGGAGCGCTTTCAGGCCTATGTTGAAAAAGGAAATATCTTCCCATAACAAGTAGACACAAGCATTCTCAGAAACTTGTTTGTGATGTGTGCCCTCTACTGACAGAGTTGAACCTTTCTTTTCATAGAGCAGTTTCGAAACACTCTTTTTGTAGAATCTGCAAGAGGATATTTGCATAGCTTTGAGGATTTCGTGGGAAACGGGATTGTCTTCAGGTAAAATCTAGACAGAAGCATTCTCAGAAAATTCTTCGGGATGTTTGCATTCAAGTCACAGAGTAGAACATTCCCTTTGGTAGAGCAGGTTTGAAACACTCTTTTTGTAGTATCTGGAAGTGGACATTTGGAGCGCTTTCAGGCCTATGTTGGAAAGGGAAATATCTTCCCGTAACAACTAGGCAGAAGCATTCTCAGAAACTTATTTGAGATGTGTGTACTCAACTAAGAGAATTGAACCACCGTTTTGAAGGAGCAGTTTTGAAACACTCTTTTTCTGGAATCTGCAATTGGATATTTGGCTAGCTTTGGGGATTTCGCTGGAAGCGGGAATACATATAAAAAGCACACAGCAGCGTTCTGAGAAACTTCTTTCTGATGTTCGCATTCAAGTCAAAAGTTGAACACTCCCTTTCATAGAGCAGTCTTGAAACTCCCCTTTTGTGGTATCTGGAAGTGGACATTTGGAGTGCTTTCAGGGCTAAGGTGAAAAAGGAAATATCTTCCCATAAAAACTGGACAGAAGCATTCTCAGAAACTTGTTTATGCTGTATCTACTCAGCTAACAAAGTTGAACCTTTCTTTTGATAGAGCAGTTTTGAAATGCTCTTTTTGTGGAGTCTGCAAGTGGATATTTGGTTAGTTTGGAGGATTGCGTTGGAAGCGGGAATTCATACAAATTGCAGACTGCAGCGTTCTGAGAAACATCTTTGTGATGTTTGTATTCAGGACAGAGAGTTGAACATTCCCTATCATAGAGCAGGTTGGAATCACTCCTTTTGTAGTATCTGGAAGTGGACATTTGGAGCGCTTTCAGGCCTATGTTGAAAAAGGAAATATCTTCCCATAACAACTAGACACAAGCATTCTCAGAAACTTGTTTGTGATGTGTGCCCTCTACTGACAGAGTTGAACCTTTCTTTTCATAGAGCAGTTTTGAAACACTCTTTTTGTAGAATCTGCAAGAGGATATTTGCATAGCTTTGAGGATTTCGTGGGAAACGGGATTGTCTTCAGGTAAAATCTAGACAGAAGCATTCTCAGAAACTTCTTTGGGATGTTTGCATTCAAGTCACAGAGTAGAACATTCCCTTTGGTAGAGCAGGTTTGAAACACTCTTTTTGTAGTATCTGGAAGTGGACATTTGGAGCGCTTTCACGCCCATGTTGGAAAGGGAAATATCTTCCCGTAACAACTAGGCAGAAGCATTCTCAGAAACTTATTTGAGAGATGTGTGTACTCAACTAAGAGAATTGAACCACCGTTTTGAAGGAGCAGTTTTGAAACACTCTTTTTCTGGAATCTGCAAGAGAATATTTGCCTAGCCTTGAGGATTTCGTTGGAAACGGCATTGTCTTCAGAGAAAATCTAGACAGAAGCATTCTCAGAAACTTCTTTGGGATGTTTGCATTCAAGTCACAGAGTAGAACATTCCCTTTGGTAGAGCAGGTTTGAAACACTCTTTTTTTAGTATATGGAAGTGGACATTTGGAGCGCTTTCAGGCCTACGTTGGAAAAGGAAATATCTTCCCATAACAACTAGACAGAAGCATTCTCAGAAACTAGTTTCTGATGTGTGTCCTCAACTAACACAGTTGTACATTTCTTTAGACAGAACAGTTTTGAAACACTCTTTTTGTGGAATCTGCAAGTGGATATTGGGCTAGATTTGAGGATTTCGTTGGAAACGGGATTACATATAAAAAGCAGTCAGCAGCATTCTCAGAAAGTTCTTTGTGATGATTGCATTCAAGTCACAGAATTGAACATTCCCTTTCACAGAGCAGGTTTGAAACACTCTTTTTGTAGTGTGTGTAAGTGGACATTTGGAGTGCTTTCCGGCCTAAGGTGAAAAAGGACATATCTTCCCATAAAAACTAGACAGAAGCATTCTCAGAAACTTACTCGTGATGTGTGTCCTCAACTAAAGGAGTAGAACCTTTCTATTCATAGAGAAGTTTTGAAACGCTCTTTTTGTGGAATCTCCAAGTGGATATTTGGTTAGTTTTGAGGATTTCGTTGGAAGCGGGAATTCATACAACTTGCAGACTGCAGCGTTCTGAGAAACATCTTTGTGATGTTTGTATTCAAGACACAGAGATGAACATTCCCTATCATAGAGCATGTTGGAATCACTCCTTTTGTAGTATCTGGAAGTGGACATTTGGAGCGCTTTCAGGCCTATGTTGAAAAAGGAAATATCTTCCCATAACAACTAGACACAAGCGTTCTCAGAAACTTGTTTGTGATGTGTGCCCTCTACTGACAGAGTTGAACCTTTCTTTTCATAGAGCAGTTTTGAAACACTCTTTTTGTAGAATCTGCAAGAGGATATTTGCATAGCTTTGAGGATTTCGTGGGAAACGGGATTGTCTTCAGGTAAAATCTAGACAGAAGCATTCTCAGAAACTTCTTTGGGATGTTTGCATTCAAGTCACAGAGTAGAACATTCCCTTTGGTAGAGCAGGTTTGAAACACTCTTTTTGTAGTATCTGGAAGTGGACATTTGGAGCGCTTTCAGGCCCATGTTGGAAAGGGAAATATCTTCCCGTAACAACTAGGCAGAAGCATTCTCAGAAACTTATTTGAGATGTGTGTACTCAACTAAGAGAATTGAACCACCGTTTTGAAGGAGCAGTTTTGAAACCCTCTTTTTCTGGAATCTGCAAGAGTATATTTGCCTAGCCTTGAGGATTTCGTTGGAAACGGGATTGTCTTCAGATAAAATCTAGACAGAAGCATTCTCAGAAACTTCTTTGGGATGTTTGCATTCAAGTCACAGAGTAGAACATTCCCTTTGGTAGAGCAGGTTTGAAACACTCTTTTTTTAGTATATGGAAGTGGACATTTGGAGCGCTTTCAGGCCTACGTTGGAAAAGGAAATATCTTCCCATAACAACTAGACAGAAGCATTCTCAGAAACTAGTTTCTGATGTGTGTCCTCAACTAACACAGTTGTACATTTCTTTATACAGAACAGTTTTGAAACACTCTTTTTGTGGAATCTGCAAGTGGATATTGGGCTAGATTTGAGGATTTCGTTGGAAACGGGATTACATATAAAAAGCAGACAGCAGCATTCTCAGAAAGTTCTTTGTGATGATTGCATTCAAGTCACAGAATTGAACATTCCCTTTCACAGAGCAGGTTTGAAACACTCTTTTTGTAGTGTGTGTAAGTGGACATTTGGAGCGCTTTCCGGCCTAAGGTGAAAAAGGACATATCTTCCCATAAAAACTAGACAGAAGCATTCTCAGAAACTTACTCGTGATGTGTGTCCTCAACTAAAGGAGTAGAACCTTTCTATTCATAGAGAAGTTTTGAAACGCTCTTTTTGTGGAATCTCCAAGTGGATATTTGGCTAGTTTTGAGGATTTCGTTGGAAGCGGGAATTCATCCAAATTGCAGACTGCAGCGTTCTGAGAAACATCTTTGTGATGTTTGTATTCAGGACACAGAGATGAACATTCCCTATCATAGAGCAGGTTGGAATCACTCCTTTTGTAGAATCTGGAAGTGGACATTTGGAGCGCTTTCAGGCCTATGTTGAAAAAGGAAATATCTTCCCATAACAACTAGACACAAGCATTCTCAGAAACTTGTTTGTGATGTGTGCCCTCTACTGACAGAGTTGAACCTTTCTTTTCATAGAGCAGTTTTGAAACACTCTTTTTGTAGAATCCGCAAGAGGATATTTGCATAGCTTTGAGGATTTCGTGGGAAACGGGATTGTCTTCAGGTAAAATCTAGACAGAAGCATTCTCAGAAACTTCTTTGGGATGTTTGCATTCAAGTCACAGAGTAGAACATTCCCTTTGGTAGAGCAGGTTTGAAACACTCTTTTTGTAGTATCTGGAAGTGGACATTTGGAGCGCTTCAGGCCCATGTTGGAAAGGGAAATATCTTCCCGTAACAACTAGGCAGAGCATTCTCAGCAAACTTATTTGAGATGTGTGTACTCAACTAAGAGAATTGAACCACCGTTTTGAAGGAGCAGTTTTGAAACACTCTTTTTCTGGAATCTGCAAGAGTATATTTGCCTAGCCTTGAGGATTTCGTTGGAAACGGGATTGTCTTCAGAGAAAATCTAGACAGAAGCATTCTCAGAAACTTCTTTGGGATGTTTGCATTCAAGTCACAGAGTAGAACATTCTCTTTGGTAGAGCAGGTTTGAAACACTCTTTTTTTAGTATCTGGAAGTGGACATTTGGAGCGCTTTCAGGCCTACGTTGGAAAAGGAAATATCTTCCCATAACAACTAGACAGAAGCATTCTCAGAAACTAGTTTCTGATGTGTGTCCTCAACTAACACAGTTGTACATTTCTTTAGACAGAACAGTTTTGAAACACTCTTTTTGTGGAATCTGCAAGTGGATATTGGGCTAGATTTGAGGATTTCGTTGGAAACGGGATTACATATAAAAAGCAGTCAGCAGCATTCTCAGAAAGTTCTTTGTGATGATTGCATTCAAGTCACAGAATTGAACATTCCCTTTCACAGAGCAGGTTTGAAACACTCTTTTTGTAGTGTGTGTAAGTGGACATTTGGAGCGCTTTCCGGCCTAAGGTGAAAAAGGACATATCTTACCATAAAAACCAGACAGAAGCATTCTCAGAAACTTACTCGTGATGTGTGTCCTCAACTAAAGGAGTAGAAACTTTCTATTCATAGAGAAGTTTTGAAACGCTCTTTTTGTGGAATCTCCAAGTGGATATGTGGCTAGTTTTGAGGATTTCGTTGGAAGCGGGAATTCATACAAATTGCAGACTGCAGCGTTCTGAGAAACATCGTTGTGATGTTTGTATTCAGGACACAGAGTTGAACATTCCCTATCATAGAGCAGGTTTGAATCACTCCTTTTGTAGTATCTGGAAGTGGACATTTGGAGCGCTTTCAGGCCTATGTTGGAAAAGGAAATATCTTCCCATAACAACTAGACAGAAGCATTCTCAGAAACTTACTCGTGATGTGTGTCCTCAACTAAAGGTGTAGAACCTTTCTTTTCATAGAGAAGTTTTGAAACGCTCTTTTTGTGGAATCTGCAAGTGGATATTTGGCTAGCTTTGGGGATTTTGCTGGAAGCGGGAATACATATAAAAAGCACACAGCAGCGTTCTGAGAAACTGCTTTCTGATGTTTGCATTCAAGTCAAAAGTTGAACACTCCCTTTCATAGAGCAGTCTTGAAACACCCCTTTTGTAGTATCTGGAACTGGACATTTGGAGCGCTTTCAGGGCTAAGGTGAAAAAGGAAATATCTTCCCATAAAAACTGGACAGAAGCATTCTCAGAAACTTGTTTATGCTGTATCTACTCAACTAACAAAGTTGAACCTTTCTTTTGATAGAGCAGTTTTGAAATGCTCTTTTTGTGGAATCTACAAGTGGATATTTGGCTAGGTTTGAGGATTTCGTTGGAAGCGGGAATTCATACAAATTGCAGACTGCAGCGTTCTGAGAAACATCTTTGTGATGTTTGTATTCAGGACACAGAGTTGAATATTCCCTATCATAGAGCAGGTTGGAATCACTCCTTTTGTAGTATCTGGAAGTGGACATTTGGAGCGCTTTCAGGCCTATGTTGAAAAAGGAAATATCTTCCCATAACAACTAGGCAGAAGCATTCTCAGAAACTTATTTGAGATGTGTGTACTCAACTAAGAGAATTGAACCACCGTTTTGAAGGAGCAGTTTTGAAACTCTCTTTTTCTGGAATCTGCAAGTGGATATTTGGCTAGCTTTGGGGATTTCGCTGGAAGCGGGAATACATATAAAAAGCACACAGCAGCGTTCTGAGAAACTGCTTTCTGATGTTTGCATTCAAGTCAAAAGTTGAACACTCCCTTTCATAGAGCAGTCCTGAAACACCCCTTTTGTAGTATCTGGAACTGGACTTTTGGAGCGATTTCAGGGCTAAGGTGAAAAAGGAAATATCTTCCCATAAAAACTGGACAGAAGCATTCTCAGAAACTTGTTTATGCTGTATCTACTCAACTAACAAAGTTGAACCTTTCTTTTGATAGAGCAGTTTTGAAATGGTCTTTTTGTGGAATCTGCAAGTGGATATTTGGCTAGTTTTGAGGATTTCGTTGGAAGCGGGAATTCATACAAATTGCAGACTGCAGCGTTCTGAGAAACATCTTTGTGATGTTTGTATTCAGGACACAGAGTTGAACATTCCCTATCATAGAGCAGGTTGGAATCACTCCTTTTGTAGTATCTGGAAGTGGACATTTGGAGCGCTTTCAGGCCTATTTTGGAAAGGGAAATATCTTCCCGTAACAACTATGCAGAAGCATTCTCAGAAACTTGTTTGTGATGTGTGCCCTCTACTGACAGAGTTGAACCTTTCTTTTCATAGAGCAGTTTTGAAACACTCTTTTTGTAGAATCTGCAAGAGGATATTTGCATAGCTTTGAGGATTTCGTGGGAAACGGGATTGTCTTCAGGTAAAATCTAGACAGAAGCATTCTCAGAAACTTCTTTGGGATGTTTGCATTCAAGTCACAGAGTAGAACATTCCCTTTGGTAGAGCAGGTTTGAAACACTCTTTTTGTAGTATCTGGAAGTGGACATTTGGAGCGCTTTCAGGCCCATGTTGGAAAGGGAAATATCTTCCCGTAACAACTAGGCAGAAGCATTCTCAGAAACTTATTTGAGATGTGTGTACTCAACTAAGAGAATTGAACCACCGTTTTGAAGGAGCAGTTTTGAAACACTCTTTTTCTGGAATCTGCAAGAGTATATTTGCCTAGCCTTGAGGATTTCGTTGGAAACGGGATTGTCTTCAGAGAAAATCTAGACAGAAGCATTCTCAGAAACTTCTTTGGGATGTTTGCATTCAAGTCACAGAGTAGAACATTCCCTTTGGTAGAGCAGGTTTGAAACACTCTTTTTTTAGTATATGGAAGTGGACATTTTGATCGCTTTGAGGCCTACGTTGGAAAAGGAAATATCTTCCCATAACAACTAGACAGAAGCATTCTCAGAAACTAGTTTCTGATGTGTGTCCTCAACTAACACAGTTGAACATTTCTTTAGACAGAACAGTTTTGAAACACTCTTTTTGTGGAATCTGCAAGTGGCTATTTGGCTAGATTTGAGGATTTCGTTGGAAACGGGATTACATATAAAAAGCAGTCAGCAGCATTCTCAGAAAGTTCTTTGTGATGATTGCATTCAAGTCACAGAATTGAACATTCCCTTTCACAGAGCAGGTTTGAAACACTCTTTTTGTAGTGTGTGTAAGTGGACATTTGGAGCACTTACCGGCCTAAGGTGAAAAAGGAAATATCTTCCCATAAAAACTAGACAGAAGCATTCTCAGAAACTTACTCGTGATGTGTGTCCTCAACTAAAGGAGTAGAACCTTTCTTTTCATAGAGAAGTTTTGAAACGCTCTTTTTGTGGAATCTGCAAGTGGATATTTGGCTAGTTTTGAGGATTTCGTTGGAAGCGGGAATTCATACAAATTGCAGACTGCAGCGTTCTGAGAAACATCTTTGTGATGTTTGTATTCAGGACACAGAGTTGAACATTCCCTATCATAGAGCAGGTTGGAATCACTCCTTTTGTAGTATCTGGAAGTGGACATTTGGAGCGCTTTCAGGCCTATGTTGGAAAAGGAAATATCTTCCCATAACAACTAGACAGAAGCATTCTCAGAAACTTATTTGAGATGTGTGTACTCAACTAAGAGAATTGAACCACCGTTTTGAAGGAGCAGTTTTGAAACTCTCTTTTTCTGGAATCTGCAAGTGGATATTTGGCTAGCTTTGGGGATTTCGCTGGAAGCGGGAATACATATAAAAAGCACACAGCAGCGTTCTGAGAAACTGCTTTCTGATGTTTGCATTCAAGTCAAAAGTTGAACACTCCCTTTCATAGAGCAGTCTTGAAACACCCCTTTTGTAGTATCTGGAACTGGACTTTTGGAGCGATTTCAGGGCTAAGGTGAAAAAGGAAATATCTTCCCATAAAAACTGGACAGAAGCATTCTCAGAAACTTGGTTATGCTGTATCTACTCAACTAACAAAGTTGAACCTTTCTTTTGATAGAGCAGTTTTGAAATGGTCTTTTTGTGGAATCTGCAAGTGGATATTTGGCTAGTTTTGAGGATTTCGTTGGAAGCGGGAATTCATACAAATTGCAGACTGCAGCGTTCTGAGAAACATCTTTGTGATGTTTGTATTCAGGACACAGAGTTGAACATTCCCTATCATAGAGCAGGTTGGAATCACTCCTTTTGTAGTATCTGGAAGTGGACATTTGGAGCGCTTTCAGGCCTATTTTGGAAAGGGAAATATCTTCCCGTAACAACTATGCAGAAGCATTCTCAGAAACTTGTTTGTGATGTGTGCCCTCTACTGACAGAGTTGAACCTTTCTTTTCATAGAGCAGTTTTGAAACACTCTTTTTGTAGAATCTGCAAGAGGATATTTGCATAGCTTTGAGGATTTCGTGGGAAACGGGATTGTCTTCAGGTAAAATCTAGACAGAAGCATTCTCAGAAACTTCTTTGGGATGTTTGCATTCAAGTCACAGAGTAGAACATTCCCTTTGGTAGAGCAGGTTTGAAACACTCTTTTTGTAGTATCTGGAAGTGGACATTTGGAGCGCTTTCAGGCCCATGTTGGAAAGGGAAATATCTTCCCGTAACAACTAGGCAGAAGCATTCTCAGAAACTTATTTGAGATGTGTGTACTCAACTAAGAGAATTGAACCACCGTTTTGAAGGAGCAGTTTTGAAACACTCTTTTTCTGGAATCTGCAAGAGTATATTTGCCTAGCCTTGAGGATTTCGTTGGAAACGGGATTGTCTTCAGAGAAAATCTAGACAGAAGCATTCTCAGAAACTTCTTTGGGATGCTTGCATTCAAGTCACAGAGTAGAACATTCCCTTTGGTAGAGCAGGTTTGAAACACTCTTTTTGTAGTATCTGGAAGTGGACATTTGGAGCGCTTTCAGGCCTACGTTGGAAAAGGAAATATCTTCCCATAACAACTAGACAGAAGCATTCTCAGAAACTAGTTTCTGATGTGTGTCCTCAACTAACACAGTTGAACATTTCTTTAGACAGAACAGTTTTGAAACACTCTTTTTGTGGAATCTGCAAGTGGCTATTTGGCTAGATTTGAGGATTTCGTTGGAAACGGGATTACATATAAAAAGCAGTCAGCAGCATTCTCAGAAAGTTCTTTGTGATGATTGCATTCAAGTCACAGAATTGAACATTCCCTTTCACAGAGCAGGTTTGAAACACTCTTTTTGTAGTGTGTGTAAGTGGACATTTGGAGCACTTACCGGCCTAAGGTGAAAAAGGAAATAATCTTCCCATAAAAACTAGACAGAAGCATTCTCAGAAACTTACTCGTGATGTGTGTCCTCAACTAAAGGAGTAGAACCTTTCTTTTCATAGAGAAGTTTTGAAACGCTCTTTTTGTGGAATCTGCAAGTGGATATTTGGCTAGTTTTGAGGATTTCGTTGGAAGCGGGAATTCATACAAATTGCAGACTGCAGTGTTCTGAGAAACATCTTTGTGATGTTTGTATTCAGGACACAGAGTTGAACATTCCCTATCATAGAGCAGGTTTGAATCACTCCTTTTGTAGTATCTGGAAGTGGACATTTGGAGCGCTTTCAGGCCTATGTTGGAAAAGGAAATATCTTCCCATAACAACTAGACAGAAGCATTCTCAGAAACTTATTTGAGATGTGTGTACTCAACTAAGAGAATTGAACCACCGTTTTGAAGGAGCAGTTTTGAAACACTCTTTTTCTGGAATCTGCAAGTGGATATTTGGCTAGCTTTGGGGATTTCGCTGGAAGCGGGAATACATATAAAAAGCACACAGCAGCGTTCTGAGAAACTGCTTTCTGATGTTTGCATTCAAGTCAAAAGTTGAACACTCCCTTTCATAGAGCAGTCCTGAAACAATCCTTTTGTAGTATCTGGAACTGGACTTTTGGAGCGCTTTCAGGGCTAAGGTGAAAAAGGAAATATCTTCCCATAAAAACTGGACAGAAGCATTCTCAGAAACTTGTTTATGCTGTATCTACTCTACTAAAAAAGTTGAACCTTTCTTTTGATAGAGCAGTTTTGAAATGCTCTTTTTGTGGAATCTGCAATTGGATATTTGGCTAGATTTGAGGATTTCGTTGGAAGCTGGAATACATACAAATTGCAGACTGCAGCGTTCTGAGAAACATCTTTGTGATGTTTGTATTCAGGACAGAGAGTTGAACATTCCCTATCATAGAGCAGGTTGGAATCACTCCTTTTGTAGTATCTGGAAGTGGACATTTGGAGCGCTTTCAGGCCTATGTTGAAAAAGGAAATATCTTCCCATAACAACTAGACACAAGCATTCTCAGAAACTTGTTTGTGATGTGTGCCCTCTACTGACAGAGTTGAACCTTTCTTTTCATAGAGCAGTTTTGAAACACTCTTTTTGTAGAATCTGCAAGAGGATATTTGCATAGCTTTGAGGATTTCGTGGGAAACGGGATTGTCTTCAGGTAAAATCTAGACAGAAGCATTCTCAGAAACTTCTTTGGGATGTTTGCATTCAAGTCACAGAGTAGAACATTCCCTTTGGTAGAGCAGGTTTGAAACACTCTTTTTGTAGTATCTGGAAGTGGACATTTGGAGCGCTTTCAGGCCTATGTTGGAAAGGGAAATATCTTCCCGTAACAACTAGGCAGAAGCATTCTCAGAAACTTATTTGAGATGTGTGTACTCAACTAAGAGAATTGAACCACCGTTTTGAAGGAGCAGTTTTGAAACACTCTTTTTCTGGAATCTGCAAGAGGATATTTGCCTAGCCTTGAGGATTTCGTTGGAAACGGGATTGTCTTCAGATCAAATCTAGACAGAAGCATTCTCAGAAACTTCTTTGGGATGTTTGCATTCAAGTCACAGAGTAGAACATTCCCTTTGGTAGAGCAGGTTTGAAACACTCTTTTTTTAGTATATGGAAGTGGACATTTGGAGCGCTTTCAGGCCTACGTTGGAAAAGGAAATATCTTCCCATAACAACTAGACAGAAGCATTCTCAGAAACTAGTTTCTGATGTGTGTCCTCAACTAACACAGTTGAACATTTCTTTAGACAGAACAGTTTTGAAACACTCTTTTTGTGGAATCTGCAAGTGGCTATTTGGCTAGATTTGAGGATTTCGTTGGAAACGGGATTACATATAAAAAGCAGACAGCAGCATTCTCAGAAAGTTCTTTGTGATGATTGCATTCAAGTCACAGAATTGAACATTCCCTTTCACAGAGCAGGTTTGAAACACTCTTTTTGTAGTGTGTGTAAGTGGACATTTGGAGCACTTTCCGGCCTAAGGTGAAAAAGGAAATATCTTCCCATAAAAACTAGACAGAAGCACTCTCAGAAACTTACTCGTGATGTGTGTCCTCAACTAAAGGAGTAGAACCTTTCTTTTCATAGAGAAGTTTTGAAACGCTCTTTTTGTGGAATCTGCAAGTGGATATTTGGCTAGTTTGGAGGATTTCGTTGGAAGCGGGAATTCATACAAATTGCAGACTGCAGCGTTCTGAGAAACATCTTTGTGATGTTTGTATTCAGGACACAGAGTTGAACATTCCCTATCATAGAGCAGGTTGGAATCACTCCTTTTGTAGTATCTGGAAGTGGACATTTGGAGCGCTTTCAGGCCTATGTTGGAAAAGGAAATATCTTCCCATAACAACTAGACAGAAGCATTCTCAGAAACTTATTTGAGATGTGTGTACTCAACTAAGAGAATTGAACCACCGTTTTGAAGGAGCAGTTTTGAAACACTCTTTTTCTGGAATCTGCAAGTGGATATTTGGCTAGCTTTGGGGATTTCGCTGGAAGCGGGAATACATATAAAAAGCACACAGCAGCGTTCTGAGAAACTGCTTTCTGATGTTTGCATTCAAGTCAAAAGTTGAACACTCCCTTTCATAGAGCAGTCCTGAAACACTCCTTTTGTAGTATCTGGAACTGCACTTTTGGAGCGCTTTCAGGGCTAAGGTGAAAAAGGAAATATCTTCCCATAAAAACTGGACAGAAGCATTCTCAGAAACTTGTTTATGCTGTATCTACTCAACTAACAAAGTTGAACCTTTCTTTTGATAGAGCAGTTTTGAAATGCTCTTTTTGTGGAATCTGCAAGTGGATATTTGGCTAGTTTTGAGGATTTCGTTGGAAGCGGGAATTCATACAAATTGCAGACTGCAGCGTTCTGAGAAACATCTTTGTGATGTTTGTATTCAGGACAGAGAGTTGAACATTCCCTATCATAGAGCAGGTTGGAATCACTCCTTTTGTAGTATCTGGAAGTGGACATTTGGAGCGCTTTCAGGCCTATTTTGGAAAGGGAAATATCTTCCCGTAACAACTATGCAGAAGCATTCTCAGAAACTTGTTTGTGATGTGTGCCCTCTACTGACAGAGTTGAACCTTTCTTTTCATAGAGCAGTTTTGAAACACTCTTTTTGTAGAATCTGCAAGAGGATATTTGCATAGCTTTGAGGATTTCGTGGGAAACGGGATTGTCTTCAGGTAAAATCTAGACAGAAGCATTCTCAGAAACTTCTTTGGGATGTTTGCATTCAAGTCACAGAGTAGAACATTCCCTTTGGTAGAGCAGGTTTGAAACACTCTTTTTGTAGTATCTGGAAGTGGACATTTGGAGCGCTTTCAGGCCTATGTTGGAAAGGGAAATATCTTCCCGTAACAACTAGGCAGAAGCATTCTCAGAAACTTATTTGAGATGTGTGTACTCAACTAAGAGAATTGAACCACCGTTTTGAAGGAGCAGTTTTGAAACACTCTTTTTCTGGAATCTGCAAGAGGATATTTGCCTAGCCTTGAGGATTTCGTTGGAAACGGGATTGTCTTCAGATCAAATCTAGACAGAAGCATTCTCAGAAACTTCTTTGGGATGTTTGCATTCAAGTCACAGAGTAGAACATTCCCTTTGGTAGAGCAGGTTTGAAACACTCTTTTTGTAGTATCTGGAAGTGGACATTTGGAGCGCTTTCAGGCCTACGTTGGAAAAGGAAATATCTTCCCATAACAACTACACAGAAGCATTCTCAGAAACTAGTTTCTGATGTGTGTCCTCAACTAACACAGTTGAACATTTCTTTAGACAGAACAGTTTTGAAACACTCTTTTTGTGGAATCTGCAAGTGGCTATTTGGCTAGATTTGAGGATTTCGTTGGAAACGGGATTACATATAAAAAGCAGTCAGCAGCATTCTCAGAAAGTTCTTTGTGATGATTGCATTCAAGTCACAGTAATTGAACATTCCCTTTCACAGAGCAGGTTTGAAACACTCTTTTTGTAGTGTGTGTAAGTGGACATTTGGAGCACTTACCGGCCTAAGGTGAAAAAGGAAATAATCTTCCCATAAAAACTAGACAGAAGCATTCTCAGAAACTTACTCGTGATGTGTGTCCTCAACTAAAGGAGTAGAACCTTCCTTTTCATAGAGAAGTTTTGAAACGCTCTTTTTGTGGAATCTGCAAGTGGATATTTGGCTAGTTTTGAGGATTTCGTTGGAAGCGGGAATTCATACAAATTCCAGACTGCAGCGTTCTGAGAAACATCTTTGTGATGTTTGTATTCAGGACACAGAGTTGAACATTCCCTATCATAGAGCAGGTTTGAATCACTCCTTTTGTAGTATCTGGAAGTGGACATTTGGAGCGCTTTCAGGCCTATGTTGGAAAAGGAAATATCTTCCCATAACAACTAGACAGAAGCATTCTCAGAAACTTATTTGAGATGTGTGTACTCAACTAAGAGAATTGAACCACCCTTTTGAAGGAGCAGTTTTGAAACACTCTTTTTCTGGAATCTGCAAGTGGATATTTGGCTAGCTTTGGGGATTTCGCTGGAAGCGGGAATACATATAAAAAGCACACAGCAGCGTTCTGAGAAACTGCTTTCTGATGTTTGCATTCAAGTCAAAAGTTGAACACTCCCTTTCATAGAGCAGTCCTGAAACACTCCTTTTGTAGTATCTGGAACTGGACTTTTGGAGTGCTTTCAGGGCTAAGGTGAAAAAGGAAATATCTTCCCATAAAAACTGGACAGAAGCATTCTCAGAAACTTGTTTATGCTGTATCTACTCAACTAACAAAGTTGAACCTTTCTTTTGATAGAGCAGTTTTGAAATGCTCTTTTTGTGGAATCTGCAAGTGGATATTTGGCTAGTTTTGAGGATTTCGTTGGAAGCGGGAATTCATACAAATTGCAGACTGCAGCGTTCTGAGAAACATCTTTGTGATGTTTGTATTCAGGACACAGAGTTGAACATTCCCTATCATAGAGCAGGTTGGAATCACTCCTTTTGTAGTATATGGAAGTGGACATTTGGAGCGCTTTCAGGCCTATGTTGAAAAAGGAAATATCTTCCCATAACAACTAGACACAAGCATTCTCAGAAACTTGTTTGTGATGTGTGCCCTCTACTGACAGAGTTGAACCTTTCTTTTCATAGAGCAGTTTTGAAAAACTCTTTTTGTAGAATCTGCAAGAGGATATTTGCATAGCTTTGAGGATTTCGTGGGAAACGGGATTGTCTTCAGGTAAAATCTAGACAGAAGCATTCTCAGAAACTTCTTTGGGATGTTTGCATTCAAGTCACAGAGTAGAACATTCCCTTTGGTAGAGCAGGTTTGAAACACTCTTTTTGTAGTATCTGGAAGTGGACATTTGGAGCGCTTTCAGGCCTATGTTGGAAAGGGAAATATCTTCCCGTAACAACTAGGCAGAAGCATTCTCAGAAACTTATTTGAGATGTGTGTACTCAACTAAGAGAATTGAACCACCGTTTTGAAGGAGCAGTTTTGAAACACTCTTTTTCTGGAATCTGCAAGAGGATATTTGCCTAGCCTTGAGGATTTCGTTGGAAACCGGATTGTCTTCAGATCAAATCTAGACAGAAGCATTCTCAGAAACTTCTTTGAGATGTTTGCATTCAAGTCACAGAGTAGAACATTCCCTTTGGTAGAGCAGGTTTGAAACACTCTTTTTTTAGTATATGGAAGTGGACATTTGGAGCGCTTTCAGGCCTACGTTGGAAAAGGAAATATCTTCCCATAACAACTAGACAGAAGCATTCTCAGAAACTAGTTTCTGATGTGTGTCCTCAACTACCGCAGTTGTACATTTCTTTACACAGAACAGTTTTGAAACACTCTTTTTGTGGAATCTGCAAGTGGATATTGGGGTAGATTTGAGGATTTCGTTGGAAACGGGATTACATATAAAAAGCAGACAGCAGCATTCTCAGAAAGTTCTTTGTGATGATTGCATTCAAGTCACAGAATTGAACATTCCCTTTCATAGAGCAGGTTTGAAACACTCTTTTTGTAGTGTGTGTAAGTGGACATTTGGAGCGCTTTCCGGCCTAAGGTGAAAAAGGACATATCTTCCCATAAAAACTAGACAGAAGCATTCTCAGAAACTTACTCGTGATGTGTGTCCTCAACTAAAGGAGTAGAACCTTTCTATTGATAGAGAAGTTTTGAAACGCTCTTTTTGTGGAATCTCCAAGTGGATATTTGGCTAGTTTTGAGGATTTCGTTGGAAGCGGGAATTCATACAAATTGCAGACTGCAGCGTTCTGAGAAACATCTTTGTGATGTTTGTATTCAAGACACAGAGATGAACATTCCCTATCATAGAGCATGTTGGAATCACTCCTTTTGTAGTATCTGGAAGTGGACATTTGGAGCGCTTTCAGGCCTATGTTGAAAAAGGAAATATCTTCCCATAACAACTAGACACAAGCATTCTCAGAAACTTGTTTGTGATGTGTGCCCTCTACTGACAGAGTTGAACCTTTCTTTTCATAGAGCAGTTTTGAAACACTCTTTTATAGAATCCGCAAGAGGATATTTGCATAGCTTTGAGGATTTCGTGGGAAACGGGATTGTCTTCAGGTAAAATGTAGACAGAAGCATTCTCAGAAACTTCTTTGGGATGTTTGCATTCAAGTCACAGAGTAGAACATTCCCTTTGGTAGAGCAGGTTTGAAACACTCTTTTTGTAGTATCTGGAAGTGGACATTTGGAGCGCTTTCAGGCCCATGTTGGAAAGGGAAATATCTTCCCGTAACAACTAGGCAGAAGCATTCTCAGAAACTTATTTGAGATGTGTGTACTCAACTAAGAGAATTGAACCACCGTTTTGAAGGAGCAGTTTTGAAACACTCTTTTTCTGGAATCTGCAAGAGTATATTTGCCTAGCCTTGAGGATTTCGTTGGAAACGGGATTGTCTTCAGAGAAAATCTAGACAGAAGCATTCTCAGAAACTTCTTTGGGATGTTTGCATTCAAGTCACAGAGTAGAACATTCCCTTTGGTAGAGCAGGTTTGAAACACTCTTTTTGTAGTATCTGGAAGTGGACATTTGGAGCGCTTTCAGGCCTACGTTGGAAAAGGAAATATCTTCCCATAACAACTAGACAGAAGCATTCTCAGAAACTAGTTTCTGATGTGTGTCCTCAACTAACACAGTTGAACATTTCTTTAGACAGAACAGTTTTGAAACACTCTTTTTGTGGAATCTGCAAGTGGCTATTTGGCTAGATTTGAGGATTTCGTTGGAAACGGGATTACATATAAAAAGCCGTCAGCAGCATTCTCAGAAAGTTCTTTGTGATGATTGCATTCAAGTCACAGAATTGAACATTCCCTTTCACAGAGCAGGTTTGAAACACTCTTTTTGTAGTGTGTGTAAGTGGACATTTGGAGCACTTACCGGCCTAAGGTGAAAAAGGAAATATCTTCCCATAAAAACTAGACAGAAGCATTCTCAGAAACTTACTCGTGATGTATGTCCTCAACTAAAGGAGTAGAACCTTTCTTTTCATAGAGAAGTTTTGAAACGCTCTTTTTGTGGAATCTGCAAGTGGATATTTGGCTAGTTTTGAGGATTTCGTTGGAAGCGGGAATTCATACAAATTGCAGACTGCAGCGTTCTGAGAAACATCTTTGTGATGTTTGTATTCAGGACACAGAGTTGAACATTCCCTATCATAGAGCAGGTTTGAATCACTCCTTTTGTAGTATCTGGAAGTGGACATTTGGAGCGCTTTCAGGCCTATGTTGGAAAAGGAAATATCTTCCCATAACAACTAGACAGAAGCATTCTCAGAAACTTATTTGAGATGTGTGTACTCAACTAAGAGAATTGAACCACCGTTTTGAAGGAGCAGTTTTGAAACTCTCTTTTTCTGGAATCTGCAAGTGGATATTTGGCTAGCTTTGGGGATTTCGCTGGAAGCGGGAATACATATAAAAAGCACACAGCAGCGTTCTGAGAAACTGCTTTCTGATGTTTGCATTCAAGTCAAAAGTTGAACACTCCCTTTCATAGAGCAGTCTTGAAACACCCCTTTTGTAGTATCTCGACCTGGACTTTTGGAGCGATTTCAGGGCTAAGGTGAAAAAGGAAATATCTTCCCATAAAAACTGGACAGAAGCATTCTCAGAAACTTGGTTATGCTGTATCTACTCAACTAACAAAGTTGAACCTTTCTTTTGATAGAGCAGTTTTGAAATGGTCTTTTTGTGGAATCTGCAAGTGGATATTTGGCTAGTTTTGAGGATTTCGTTGGAAGCGGGAATTCATACAAATTGCAGACTGCAGCGTTCTGAGAAACATCTTTGTGATGTTTGTATTCAGGACACAGAGTTGAACATTCCCTATCATAGAGCAGGTTGGAATCACTCCTTTTGTAGTATCTGGAAGTGGACATTTGGAGCGCTTTCAGGCCTATTTTGGAAAGGGAAATATCTTCCCGGTAACAACTATGCAGAAGCATTCTCAGAAACTTGTTTGTGATGTGTGCCCTCTACTGACACAGTTGATCCTTTCTTTTCATAGAGCAGTTTCGAAACACTCTTTTTGTAGAATCTGCAAGAGGATATTTGCCTAGCTTTGAGGATTTCGTGGGAAACGGCATTGTCTTCAGGTAAAATCTAGACAGAAGCATTCTCAGAAACTTCTTTGGGATGTTTGCATTCAAGTCACAGAGTAGAACATTCCCTTTGGTAGAGCAGGTTTGAAACACTCTTTTTGTAGTATCTGGAAGTGGACATTTGGAGCGCTTTCAGGCCCATGTTGGAAAGGGAAATATCTTCCCGTAACAACTAGGCAGAAGCATTCTCAGAAACTTATTTGAGATGTGTGTACTCAACTAAGAGAATTGAACCACCGTTTTGAAGGAGCAGTTTTGAAACACTCTTTTTCTGGAATCTGCAAGAGTATATTTGCCTAGCCTTGAGGATTTCATTGGAAACGGGATTGTCTTTAGATCAAATCTAGACAGAAGCATTCTCAGAAACTTCTTTGGGATGTTTGCATTCAAGTCACAGAGTAGAACATTCCCTTTGGTAGAGCAGGTTTGAAACACTCTTTTTTTAGTATATGGAAGTGGACATTTGGAGCGCTTTCAGGCCTACGTTGGAAAAGGAAATATCTTCCCATAACAACTAGACAGAAGCATTCTCAGAAACTAGTTTCTGATGTGTGTCCTCAACTAACACAGTTGAACATTTCTTTAGACAGAACAGTTTTGAAACACTCTTTTTGTGGAATCTGCAAGTGGCTATTTGGCTAGATTTGAGGATTTCGTTGGAAACGGGATTACATATAAAAAGCAGTCAGCAGCATTCTCAGAAAGTTCTTTGTGATGATTGCATTCAAGTCACAGAATTGAACATTCCCTTTCACAGAGCAGGTTTGAAACACTCTTTTTGTAGTGTGTGTAAGTGGACATTTGGAGCACTTACCGGCCTAAGGTGAAAAAGGAAATATCTTCCCATAAAAACTAGACAGAAGCATTCTCAGAAACTTACTCGTGATGTGTGTCCTCAACTAAAGGAGTAGAACCTTTCTTTTCATAGAGAAGTTTTGAAACGCTCTTTTTGTGGAATCTGCAAGTGGATATTTGGCTAGTTTTGAGGATTTCGTTGGAAGCGGGAATTCATACAAATTGCAGACTGCAGCGTTCTGAGAAACATCTTTGTGATGTTTGTATTCAGGACACAGAGTTGAACATTCCCTATCATAGAGCAGGTTGGAATCACTCCTTTTGTAGTATCTGGAAGTGGACATTTGGAGCGCTTTCAGGCCTATGTTGGAAAAGGAAATATCTTCCCATAACAACTAGACAGAAGCATTCTCAGAAACTTATTTGAGATGTGTGTACTCAACTAAGAGAATTGAACCACCGTTTTGAAGGAGCAGTTTTGAAACTCTCTTTTTCTGGAATCTGCAAGTGGATATTTGGCTAGCTTTGGGGATTTCGCTGGAAGCGGGAATACATATAAAAAGCACACAGCAGCGTTCTGAGAAACTGCTTTCTGATGTTTGCATTCAAGTCAAAAGTTGAACACTCCCTTTCATAGAGCAGTCTTGAAACACCCGTTTTGTAGTATCTGGAACTGGACTTTTGGAGCGATTTCAGGGCTAAGGTGAAAAAGGAAATATCTTCCCATAAAAACTGGACAGAAGCATTCTCAGAAACTTGTTTATGCTGTATCTACTCAACTAACAAAGTTGAACCTTTCTTTTGATAGAGCAGTTTTGAAATGGTCTTTTTGTGGAATCTGCAAGTGGATATTTGGCTAGTTTTGAGGATTTCGTTGGAAGCGGGAATTCATACAAATTGCAGACTGCAGCGTTCTGAGAAACATCTTTGTGATGTTTGTATTCAGGACACAGAGTTGAACATTCCCTATCATAGAGCAGGTTGGAATCACTCCTTTTGTAGTATCTGGAAGTGGACATTTGGAGCGCTTTCAGGCCTATTTTGGAAAGGGAAATATCTTCCCGTAACAACTATGCAGAAGCATTCTCAGAAACTTGTTTGTGATGTGTGCCCTCTACTGACAGAGTTGAACCTTTCTTTTCATAGAGCAGTTTTGAAACACTCTTTTTGTAGAATCTGCAAGAGGATATTTGCATAGCTTTGAGGATTTCGTGGGAAACGGGATTGTCTTCAGGTAAAATCTAGACAGAAGCATTCTCAGAAACTTCTTTGGGATGTTTGCATTCAAGTCACAGAGTAGAACATTCCCTTTGGTAGAGCAGGTTTGAAACACTCTTTTTGTAGTATCTGGAAGTGGACATTTGGAGCGCTTTCAGGCCCATGTTGGAAAGGGAAATATCTTCCCGTAACAACTAGGCAGAAGCATTCTCAGAAACTTATTTGAGATGTGTGTACTCAACTAAGAGAATTGAACCACCGTTTTGAAGGAGCAGTTTTGAAACACTCTTTTTCTGGAATCTGCAAGAGTATATTTGCCTAGCCTTGAGGATTTCG
Organism: Homo sapiens; assembly: GCF_000001405.40. Classification (NCBI taxonomy): domain Eukaryota; kingdom Metazoa; phylum Chordata; class Mammalia; order Primates; family Hominidae; genus Homo; species Homo sapiens. Next base: position 16,571,232 of record NC_000018.10, read on the forward strand.
TTGGAAACGGGATTGTCTTCAGAGAAAATCTAGACAGAAGCATTCTCAGAAACTTCTTTGGGATGTTTGCATTCAAGTCACAGAGTAGAACATTCCCTTTGGTAGAGCAGGTTTGAAACACTCTTTTTGTAGTATATGGAAGTGGACATTTGGATCGCTTTCAGGCCTACGTTGGAAAAGGAAATATCTTCCCATAACAACTAGACAGAAGCATTCTCAGAAACTAGTTTCTGATGTGTGTCCTCAACTAACACAGTTGAACATTTCTTTAGACAGAACAGTTTTGAAACACTCTTTTTGTGGAATCTGCAAGTGGCTATTTGGCTAGATTTGAGGATTTCGTTGGAAACGGGATTACATATAAAAAGCAGTCAGCAGCATTCTCAGAAAGTTCTTTGTGATGATTGCATTCAAGTCACAGAATTGAACATTCCCTTTCACAGAGCAGGTTTGAAACACTCTTTTTGTAGTGTGTGTAAGTGGACATTTGGAGCACTTACCGGCCTAAGGTGAAAAAGGAAATATCTTCCCATAAAAACTAGACAGAAGCATTCTCAGAAACTTACTCGTGATGTGTGTCCTCAACTAAAGGAGTAGAACCTTTCTTTTCATAGAGAAGTTTTGAAACGCTCTTTTTGTGGAATCTGCAAGTGGATATTTGGCTAGTTTTGAGGATTTCGTTGGAAGCGGGAATTCATACAAATTGGCAGACTGCAGCGTTCTGAGAAACATCTTTGTGATGTTTGTATTCAGGACACAGAGTTGAACGTTCCCTATCATAGAGCAGGTTTGAATCACTCCTTTTGTAGTATCTGGAAGTGGACATTTGGAGCGCTTTCCGGCCTCAGGTGAAAAAGGAAATATCTTCCCATAAAAACTAGACAGAAGCATTCTCAGAAACTTACTCGTGATGTGTGTCCTCAACTAAAGGGGTAGAACCTTTCTTTTGATAGAGCAGTTTTGAAACACTCTTTTTGTAGAATCTGCAAGTGGATATTTCGATAGCTTTGTGGATTTCGTTGGAAACGGGAATATCCTCATATAAAAATCTAGAGAGAAGCGTTCTGAGAAACTGCTTTCTGATGTTTGCATTCAAGTCAAAAGTTGAACACTCCCTTTCATAGAGCAGTCCTGAAACACCCCTTTTGTAGTATCTGGAACTGGACTTTTGGAGCGATTTCAGGGCTAAGGTGAAAAAGGAAATATCTTCCCATAAAAACTGGACAGAAGCATTCTCAGAAACTTGTTTATGCTGTATCTACTCAGCTAACAAAGTTGAACCTTTCTTTTGATAGAGCAGTTTTGAAATGCTCTTTTTGTGGAGTCTGCAAGTGGATATTTGGTTAGTTTTGAGGATTGCGTTGGAAGCGGGAATTCATACAAATTGCAGACTGCAGCGTTCTGAGAAACATATTTGTGATGTTTGTATTCAGGACACAGAGTTGAACATTCCCTATCATAGAGCAGGTTTGAATCACTCCTTTTGTAGTATCTGGAAGTGAACATTTGGAGCGCTTTCCGGCCTCAGGTGAAAAAGGAAATATCTTCCCATAAAAACTAGACAGAAGCATTCTCAGAAACTTGTTTGTGATGTGTGCCCTCTACTGACAGAGTTGAACCTTTCTTTTCATAGAGCAGTTTTGAAACACTCTTTTTGTAGAATCCGCAAGAGGATATTTGCATAGATTTGAGGATTTCGTGGGAAACGGGATTGTCTTCAGGTAAAATCTAGACAGAAGCATTCTCAGAAACTTCTTTGGGATGTTTGCATTCAAGTCACAGAGTAGAACATTCCCTTTGGTAGAGCAGGTTTGAAACACTCTTTTTGTAGTATCTGGAAGTGGACATTTGGAGCGCTTTCAGGCCCATGTTGGAAAGGGAAATATCTTCCCGTAACAACTAGGCAGAAGCATTCTCAGAAACTTATTTGAGATGTGTGTACTCAACTAAGAGAATTGAACCACCGTTTTGAAGGAGCAGTTTTGAAACACTCTTTTTCTGCAATCTGCAAGAGTATATTTGCCTAGCCTTGAGGATTTCGTTGGAAACGGGATTGTCTTCAGAGAAAATCTAGACAGAAGCATTCTCAGAAACTTCTTTGGGATGCTTGCATTCAAGTCACAGAGTAGAACATTCCCTTTGGTAGAGCAGGTTTGAAACACTCTTTTTGTAGTATCTGGAAGTGGACATTTGGAGCGCTTTCAGGCCTACGTTGGAAAAGGAAATATCTTCCCATAACAACTAGACAGAAGCATTCTCAGAAACTAGTTTCTGATGTGTGTCCTCAACTAACACAGTTGAACATTTCTTTAGACAGAACAGTTTTGAAACACTCTTTTTGTGGAATCTGCAAGTGGCTATTTGGCTAGATTTGAGGATTTCGTTGGAAACGGGATTACATATAAAAAGCAGTCAGCGGCATTCTCAGAAAGTTCTTTGTGATGATTGCATTCAAGTCACAGAATTGAACATTCCCTTTCACAGAGCAGGTTTGAAACACTCTTTTTGTAGTGTGTGTAAGTGGACATTTGGAGCACTTACCGGCCTAAGGTGAAAAAGGAAATATCTTCCCATAAAAACTAGACAGAAGCATTCTCAGAAACTTACTCGTGATGTGTGTCCTCAACTAAAGGAGTAGAACCTTTCTTTTCATAGAGAAGTTTTGAAACGCTCTTTTTGTGGAATCTGCAAGTGGATATTTGGCTAGTTTTGAGGATTTCGTTGGAAGCGGGAATTCATACAAATTGCAGACTGCAGCGTTCTGAGAAACATCTTTGTGATGTTTGTATTCAGGACACAGAGTTGAACATTCCCTATCATAGAGCAGGTTTGAATCACTCCTTTTGTAGTATCTGGAAGTGGACATTTGGAGCGCTTTCCGGCCTATGTTGGAAAAGGAAATATCTTCCCATAACAACTAGACAGAAGCATTCTCAGAAACTTATTTGAGATGTGTGTACTCAACTAAGAGAATTGAACCACCGTTTTGAAGGAGCAGTTTTGAAACTCTCTTTTTCTGGAATCTGCAAGTGGATATTTGGCTAGCTTTGGGGATTTCGCTGGAAGCGGGAATACATATAAAAAGCACACAGCAGCGTTCTGAGAAACTGCTTTCTGATGTTTGCATTCAAGTCAAAAGTTGAACACTCCCTTTCATAGAGCAGTCTTGAAACACCCCTTTTGTAGTATCTGGAACTGGACTTTTGGAGCGATTTCAGGGCTAAGGTGAAAAAGGAAATATCTTCCCATAAAAACTGGACAGAAGCATTCTCAGAAACTTGCTTATGCTGTATCTACTCAACTAACAAAGTTGAACCTTTCTTTTGATAGAGCAGTTTTGAAATGGTCTTTTTGTGGAATCTGCAAGTGGATATTTGGCTAGTTTTGAGGATTTCGTTGGAAGCGGGAATTCATACAAATTGCAGACTGCAGCGTTCTGAGAAACATCTTTGTGATGTTTGTATTCAGGACACAGATTTGAACATTCCCTATCATAGAGCAGGTTGGGATCACTCCTTTTGTAGTATCTGGAAGTGGACATTTGGAGCGCTTTCAGGCCTATGTTGAAAAAGGAAAAATCTTCCCATAACAACTAGACAGAAGCATTCTCAGAAACTTGTTTGTGATGTGTGCCCTCTACTGACAGAGTTGAACCTTTCTTTTCATAGAGCAGTTTTGAAACACTCTTTTTGTAGAATCTGCAAGAGGATATTTGCATAGCTTTGAGGATTTCGTGGGAAACGGGATTGTCTTCAGGTAAAATCTAGACAGAAGCATTCTCAGAAACTTCTTTGGGATGTTTGCATTCAAGTCACAGAGTAGAACATTCCCTTTGGTAGAGCAGGTTTGAAACACTCTTTTTGTAGTATCTGGAAGTGGACATTTGGAGCGCTTTCAGGCCCATGTTGGAAAGGGAAATATCTTCCCGTAACAACTAGGCAGAAGCATTCTCAGAAACTTATTTGAGATGTGTGTACTCAACTAAGAGAATTGAACCACCGTTTTGAAGGAGCAGTTTTGAAACACTCTTTTTCTGGAATCTGCAAGAGGATATTTGCCTAGCCTTGAGGATTTCGTTGGAAACGGGATTGTCTTCAGAGAAAATCTAGACAGAAGCATTCTCAGAAACTTCTTTGGGATGCTTGCATTCAAGTCACAGAGTAGAACATTCCCTTTGGTAGAGCAGGTTTGAAACACTCTTTTTTTAGTATCTGGAAGTGGACATTTGGAGCGCTTTCAGGCCTACGTTGGAAAAGGAAATATCTTCCCATAACAACTAGACAGAAGCATTCTCAGAAACTCGTTTCTGATGTGTGTCCTCAACTAACACAGTTGAACATTTCTTTAGACAGAACAGTTTTGAAACACTCTTTTTGTGGAATCTGCAAGTGGCTATTTGGCTAGATTTGAGGATTTCGTTGGAAACGGGATTACATATAAAAAGCAGTCAGCAGCATTCTCAGAAAGTTCTTTGTGATGATTGCATTCAAGTCACAGAATTGAACATTCCCTTTCACAGAGCAGGTTTGAAACACTCTTTTTGTAGTGTGTGTAAGTGGACATTTGGAGCACTTACCGGCCTAAGGTGAAAAAGGAAATATCTTCCCATAAAAACTAGACAGAAGCATTCTCAGAAACTTACTCGTGATGTGTGTCCTCAACTAAAGGAGTAGAACCTTTCTTTTCATAGAGAAGTTTTGAAACGCTCTTTTTGTGGAATCTGCAAGTGGATATTTGGCTAGTTTTGAGGATTTCGTTGGAAGCGGGAATTCATACAAATTGCAGACTGCAGCGTTCTGAGAAACATCTTTGTGATGTTTGTATTCAGGACACAGAGTTGAACATTCCCTATCATAGAGCAGGTTGGAATCACTCCTTTTGTAGTATCTGGAAGTGGACATTTGGAGCGCTTTCAGGCCTATGTTGGAAAAGGAAATATCTTCCCATAACAACTAGACAGAAGCATTCTCAGAAACTTATTTGAGATGTGTGTACTCAACTAAGAGAATTGAACCACCGTTTTGAAGGAGCAGTTTTGAAACTCTCTTTTTCTGGAATCTGCAAGTGGATATTTGGCTAGCTTTGGGGATTTCGCTGGAAGCGGGAATACATATAAAAAGCACACAGCAGCGTTCTGAGAAACTGCTTTCTGATGTTTGCATTCAAGTCAAAAGTTGAACACTCCCTTTCATAGAGCAGTCTTGAAACACCCCTTTTGTAGTATCTGGAACTGGACTTTTGGAGCGATTTCAGGGCTAAGGTGAAAAAGGAAATATCTTCCCATAAAAACTGGACAGAAGCATTCTCAGAAACTTGTTTATGCTGTATCTACTCAACTAACAAAGTTGAACCTTTCTTTTGATAGAGCAGTTTTGAAATGGTCTTTTTGTGGAATCTGCAAGTGGATATTTGGCTAGTTTTGAGGATTTCGTTGGAAGCGGGAATTCATACAAATTGCAGACTGCAGCGTTCTGAGAAACATCTTTGTGATGTTTGTATTCAGGACACAGAGTTGAACATTCCCTATCATAGAGCAGGTTGGAATCACTCCTTTTGTAGTATCTGGAAGTGGACATTTGGAGCGCTTTCAGGCCTATTTTGGAAAGGGAAATATCTTCCCGTAACAACTATGCAGAAGCATTCTCAGAAACTTGTTTGTGATGTGTGCCCTCTACTGACAGAGTTGAACCTTTCTTTTCATAGAGCAGTTTTGAAACACTCTTTTTGTAGAATCTGCAAGAGGATATTTGCATAGCTTTGAGGATTTCGTGGGAAACGGGATTGTCTTCAGGTAAAATCTAGACAGAAGCATTCTCAGAAACTTCTTTGGGATGTTTGCATTCAAGTCACAGAGTAGAACATTCCCTTTGGTAGAGCAGGTTTGAAACACTCTTTTTGTAGTATCTGGAAGTGGACATTTGGAGCGCTTTCAGGCCCATGTTGGAAAGGGAAATATCTTCCCGTAACAACTAGGCAGAAGCATTCTCAGAAACTTATTTGAGATGTGTGTACTCAACTAAGAGAATTGAACCACCGTTTTGAAGGAGCAGTTTTGAAACACTCTTTTTCTGGAATCTGCAAGAGTATATTTGCCTAGCCTTGAGGATTTCGTTGGAAACGGGATTGTCTTCAGAGAAAATCTAGACAGAAGCATTCTCAGAAACTTCTTTGGGATGCTTGCATTCAAGTCACAGAGTAGAACATTCCCTTTGGTAGAGCAGGTTTGAAACACTCTTTTTGTAGTATCTGGAAGTGGACATTTGGAGCGCTTTCAGGCCTACGTTGGAAAAGGAAATATCTTCCCATAACAACTAGACAGAAGCATTCTCAGAAACTAGTTTCTGATGTGTGTCCTCAACTAACACAGTTGAACATTTCTTTAGACAGAACAGTTTTGAAACACTCTTTTTGTGGAATCTGCAAGTGGCTATTTGGCTAGATTTGAGGATTTCGTTGGAAACGGGATTACATATAAAAAGCAGTCAGCGGCATTCTCAGAAAGTTCTTTGTGATGATTGCATTCAAGTCACAGAATTGAACATTCCCTTTCACAGAGCAGGTTTGAAACACTCTTTTTGTAGTGTGTGTAAGTGGACATTTGGAGCACTTACCGGCCTAAGGTGAAAAAGGAAATATCTTCCCATAAAAACTAGACAGAAGCATTCTCAGAAACTTACTCGTGATGTGTGTCCTCAACTAAAGGGGTAGAACCTTTCTTTTCATAGAGAAGTTTTGAAACGCTCTTTTTGTGGAATCTGCAAGTGGATATTTGGCTAGTTTTGAGGATTTCGTTGGAAGCGGGAATTCATACAAATTGCAGACTGCAGCGTTCTGAGAAACATCTTTGTGATGTTTGTATTCAGGACACAGAGTTGAACATTCCCTATCATAGAGCAGGTTTGAATCACTCCTTTTGTAGTATCTGGAAGTGGACATTTGGAGCGCTTTCAGGCCTATGTTGGAAAAGGAAATATCTTCCCATAACAACTAGACAGAAGCATTCTCAGAAACTTATTTGAGATGTGTGTACTCAACTAAGAGAATTGAACCACCGTTTTGAAGGAGCAGTTTTGAAACACTCTTTTTCTGGAATCTGCAAGTGGATATTTGGCTAGCTTTGGGGATTTCGCTGGAAGCGGGAATACATATAAAAAGCACACAGCAGCGTTCTGAGAAACTGCTTTCTGATGTTTGCATTCAAGTCAAAAGTTGAACACTCCCTTTCATAGAGCAGTCCTGAAACACTCCTTTTGTAGTATCTGGAACTGGACTTTTGGAGCGCTTTCAGGGCTAAGGTGAAAAAGGAAATATCTTCCCATAAAAACTGGACAGAATCATTCTCAGAAACTTGTTTATGCTGTATCTACTCAACTAACATAGTTGAACCTTTCTTTTGATAGAGCAGTTTTGAAATGCTCTTTTTGTGGAATCTGCAAGTGGATATTTGGCTAGTTTGGAGGATTTCGTTGGAAGCGGGAATTCATACAAATTGCAGACTGCAGCGTTCTGAGAAACATCTTTGTGATGTTTGTATTCAGGACACAGAGTTGAACATTCCCTATCATAGAGCAGGTTTGAATCACTCCTTTTGTAGTATCTGGAAGTGGACATTTGGAGCGCTTTCAGGCCTATGTTGGAAAAGGAAATATCTTCCCATAACAACTAGACAGAAGCATTCTCAGAAACTTATTTGAGATGTGTGTACTCAACTAAGAGAATTGAACCACCGTTTTGAAGGAGCAGTTTTGAAACACTCTTTTTCTGGAATCTGCAAGTGGATATTTGGCTAGCTTTGGGGATTTCGCTGGAAGCGGGAATACATATAAAAAGCACACAGCAGCGTTCTGAGAAACTGCTTTCTGATGTTTGCATTCAAGTCAAAAGTTGAACACTCCCTTTCATAGAGCAGTCTTGAAACACCCCTTTTGTAGTATCTGGAACTGGACTTTTGGAGCGATTTCAGGGCTAAGGTGAAAAAGGAAATATCTTCCCATAAAAACTGGACAGAAGCATTCTCAGAAACTTGGTTATGCTGTATCTACTCAACTAACAAAGTTGAACCTTTCTTTTGATAGAGCAGTTTTGAAATGGTCTTTTTGTGGAATCTGCAAGTGGATATTTGGCTAGTTTTGAGGATTTCGTTGGAAGCGGGAATTCATACAAATTGCAGACTGCAGCGTTCTGAGAAACATCTTTGTGATGTTTGTATTCAGGACACAGAGTTGAACATTCCCTATCATAGAGCAGGTTGGAATCACTCCTTTTGTAGTATCTGGAAGTGGACATTTGGAGCGCTTTCAGGCCTATTTTGGAAAGGGAAATATCTTCCCGTAACAACTATGCAGAAGCATTCTCAGAAACTTGTTTGTGATGTGTGCCCTCTACTGACAGAGTTGAACCTTTCTTTTCATAGAGCAGTTTTGAAACACTCTTTTTGTAGAATCTGCAAGAGGATATTTGCATAGCTTTGAGGATTTCGTGGGAAACGGGATTGTCTTCAGGTAAAATCTAGACAGAAGCATTCTCAGAAACTTCTTTGGGATGTTTGCATTCAAGTCACAGAGTAGAACATTCCCTTTGGTAGAGCAGGTTTGAAACACTCTTTTTGTAGTATCTGGAAGTGGACATTTGGAGCGCTTTCAGGCCCATGTTGGAAAGGGAAATATCTTCCCGTAACAACTAGGCAGAAGCATTCTCAGAAACTTATTTGAGATGTGTGTACTCAACCTAAGAGAATTGAACCACCGTTTTGAAGGAGCAGTTTTGAAACACTCTTTTTCTGGAATCTGCAAGAGTATATTTGCCTAGCCTTGAGGATTTCGTTGGAAACGGGATTGTCTTCAGAGAAAATCTAGACAGAAGCATTCTCAGAAACTTCTTTGGGATGCTTGCATTCAAGTCACAGAGTAGAACATTCCCTTTGGTAGAGCAGGTTTGAAACACTCTTTTTGTAGTATCTGGAAGTGGACATTTGGAGCGCTTTCAGGCCTACGTTGGAAAAGGAAATATCTTCCCATAACAACTAGACAGAAGCATTCTCAGAAACTAGTTTCTGATGTGTGTCCTCAACTAACACAGTTGAACATTTCTTTAGACAGAACAGTTTTGAAACACTCTTTTTGTGGAATCTGCAAGTGGCTATTTGGCTAGATTTGAGGATTTCGTTGGAAACGGGATTACATATAAAAAGCAGTCAGCAGCATTCTCAGAAAGTTCTTTGTGATGATTGCATTCAAGTCACAGAATTGAACATTCCCTTTCACAGAGCAGGTTTGAAACACTCTTTTTGTAGTGTGTGTAAGTGGACATTTGGAGCACTTACCGGCCTAAGGTGAAAAAGGAAATAATCTTCCCATAAAAACTAGACAGAAGCATTCTCAGAAACTTACTCGTGATGTGTGTCCTCAACTAAAGGAGTAGAACCTTTCTTTTCATAGAGAAGTTTTGAAACGCTCTTTTTGTGGAATCTGCAAGTGGATATTTGGCTAGTTTTGAGGATTTCGTTGGAAGCGGGAATTCATACAAATTGCAGACTGCAGCGTTCTGAGAAACATCTTTGTGATGTTTGTATTCAGGACACAGAGTTGAACATTCCCTATCATAGAGCAGGTTGGAATCACTCCTTTTGTAGTATCTGGAAGTGGACATTTGGAGCGCTTTCAGGCCTATGTTGGAAAAGGAAATATCTTCCCATAACAACTAGACAGAAGCATTCTCAGAAACTTATTTGAGATGTGTGTACTCAACTAAGAGAATTGAACCACCGTTTTGAAGGAGCAGTTTTGAAACACTCTTTTTCTGGAATCTGCAAGTGGATATTTGGCTAGCTTTGGGGATTTTGCTGGAAGCGGGAATACATATAAAAAGCACACAGCAGCGTTCTGAGAAACTGCTTTCTGATGTTTGCATTCAAGTCAAAAGTTGAACACTCCCTTTCATAGAGCAGTCCTGAAACAATCCTTTTGTAGTATCTGGAACTGGACTTTTGGAGCGCTTTCAGGGCTAAGGTGAAAAAGGAAATATCTTCCCATAAAAACTGGACAGAAGCATTCTCAGAAACTTGTTTATGCTGTATCTACTCTACTAAAAAAGTTGAACCTTTCTTTTGATAGAGCAGTTTTGAAATGCTCTTTTTGTGGAATCTGCAATTGGATATTTGGCTAGATTTGAGGATTTCGTTGGAAGCTGGAATACATACAAATTGCAGACTGCAGCGTTCTGAGAAACATCTTTGTGATGTTTGTATTCAGGACACAGAGTTGAACATTCCCTATCATAGAGCAGGTTGGAATCACTCCTTTTGTAGTATCTGGAAGTGGACATTTGGAGCGCTTTCAGGCCTATGTTGAAAAAGGAAATATCTTCCCATAACAACTAGACACAAGCATTCTCAGAAACTTGTTTGTGATGTGTGCCCTCTACTGACAGAGTTGAACCTTTCTTTTCATAGAGCAGTTTTGAAACACTCTTTTTGTAGAATCTGCAAGAGGATATTTGCATAGCTTTGAGGATTTCGTGGGAAACGGGATTGTCTTCAGGTAAAATCTAGACAGAAGCATTCTCAGAAACTTCTTTGGGATGTTTGCATTCAAGTCACAGAGTAGAACATTCCCTTTGGTAGAGCAGGTTTGAAACACTCTTTTTGTAGTATCTGGAAGTGGACATTTGGAGCGCTTTCAGGCCCATGTTGGAAAGGGAAATATCTTCCCGTAACAACTAGGCAGAAGCATTCTCAGAAACTTATTTGAGATGTGTGTACTCAACTAAGAGAATTGAACCACCGTTTTGAAGGAGCAGTTTTGAAACACTCTTTTTCTGCAATCTGCAAGAGTATATTTGCCTAGCCTTGAGGATTTCGTTGGAAACGGGATTGTCTTCAGAGAAAATCTAGACAGAAGCATTCTCAGAAACTTCTTTGGGATGCTTGCATTCAAGTCACAGAGTAGAACATTCCCTTTGGTAGAGCAGGTTTGAAACACTCTTTTTGTAGTATCTGGAAGTGGACATTTGGAGCGCTTTCAGGCCTACGTTGGAAAAGGAAATATCTTCCCATAACAACTAGACAGAAGCATTCTCAGAAACTAGTTTCTGATGTGTGTCCTCAACTAACAGAGTTGAACATTTCTTTAGACAGAACAGTTTTGAAACACTCTTTTTGTGGAATCTGCAAGTGGCTATTTGGCTAGATTTGAGGATTTCGTTGGAAACGGGATTACATATAAAAAGCAGTCAGCAGCATTCTCAGAAAGTTCTTTGTGATGATTGCATTCAAGTCACAGAATTGAACATTCCCTTTCACAGAGCAGGTTTGAAACACTCTTTTTGTAGTGTGTGTAAGTGGACATTTGGAGCACTTACCGGCCTAAGGTGAAAAAGGAAATAATCTTCCCATAAAAACTAGACAGAAGCATTCTCAGAAACTTACTCGTGATGTGTGTCCTCAACTAAAGGAGTAGAACCTTTCTTTTCATAGAGAAGTTTTGAAACGCTCTTTTTGTGGAATCTGCAAGTGGATATTTGGCTAGTTTTGAGGATTTCGTTGGAAGCGGGAATTCATACAAATTGCAGACTGCAGCGTTCTGAGAAACATCTTTGTGATGTTTGTATTCAGGACACAGAGTTGAACATTCCCTATCATAGAGCAGGTTTGAATCACTCCTTTTGTAGTATCTGGAAGTGGACATTTGGAGCGCTTTCAGGCCTATGTTGGAAAAGGAAATATCTTCCCATAACAACTAGACAGAAGCATTCTCAGAAACTTATTTGAGATGTGTGTACTCAACTAAGAGAATTGAACCACCGTTTTGAAGGAGCAGTTTTGAAACTCTCTTTTTCTGGAATCTGCAAGTGGATATTTGGCTAGCTTTGGGGATTTCGCTGGAAGCGGGAATACATATAAAAAGCACACAGCAGCGTTCTGAGAAACTGCTTTCTGATGTTTGCATTCAAGTCAAAAGTTGAACACTCCCTTTCATAGAGCAGTCTTGAAACACCCCTTTTGTAGTATCTGGAACTGGACTTTTGGAGCGATTTCAGGGCTAAGGTGAAAAAGGAAATATCTTCCCATAAAAACTGGACAGAAGCATTCTCAGAAACTTGTTTATGCTGTATCTACTCAACTAACAAAGTTGAACCTTTCTTTTGATAGAGCAGTTTTGAAATGGTCTTTTTGTGGAATCTGCAAGTGGATATTTGGCTAGTTTTGAGGATTTCGTTGGAAGCGGGAATTCATACAAATTGCAGACTGCAGCGTTCTGAGAAACATCTTTGTGATGTTTGTATTCAGGACACAGAGTTGAACATTCCCTATCATAGAGCAGGTTGGAATCACTCCTTTTGTAGTATCTGGAAGTGGACATTTGGAGCGCTTTCAGGCCTATTTTGGAAAGGGAAATATCTTCCCGTAACAACTATGCAGAAGCATTCTCAGAAACTTGTTTGTGATGTGTGCCCTCTACTGACAGAGTTGAACCTTTCTTTTCATAGAGCAGTTTTGAAACACTCTTTTTGTAGAATCTGCAAGAGGATATTTGCATAGCTTTGAGGATTTCGTGGGAAACGGGATTGTCTTCAGGTAAAATCTAGACAGAAGCATTCTCAGAAACTTCTTTGGGATGTTTGCATTCAAGTCACAGAGTAGAACATTCCCTTTGGTAGAGCAGGTTTGAAACACTCTTTTTGTAGTATCTGGAAGTGGACATTTGGAGCGCTTTCAGGCCTATGTTGGAAAGGGAAATATCTTCCCGTAACAACTAGGCAGAAGCATTCTCAGAAACTTATTTGAGATGTGTGTACTCAACTAAGAGAATTGAACCACCATTTTGAAGGAGCAGTTTTGAAACACTCTTTTTCTGGAATCTGCAAGAGGATATTTGCCTAGCCTTGAGGATTTCGTTGGAAACGGGATTGTCTTCAGATCAAATCTAGACAGAAGCATTCTCAGAAACTTCTTTGGGATGTTTGCATTCAAGTCACAGAGTAGAACATTCCCTTTGGTAGAGCAGGTTTGAAACACTCTTTTTTTAGTATATGGAAGTGGACATTTGGAGCGCTTTCAGGCCTACGTTGGAAAAGGAAATATCTTCCCATAACAACTAGACAGAAGCATTCTCAGAAACTAGTTTCTGATGTGTGTCCTCAACTAACACAGTTGAACATTTCTATAGACAGAACAGTTTTGAAACACTCTTTTTGTGGAATCTGCAAGTGGCTATTTGGCTAGATTTGAGGATTTCGTTGGAAACGGGATTACATATAAAAAGCAGTCAGCAGCATTCTCAGAAAGTTCTTTGTGATGATTGCATTCAAGTCACAGAATTGAACATTCCCTTTCACAGAGCAGGTTTGAAACACTCTTTTTGTAGTGTGTGTAAGTGGACATTTGGAGCGCTTTCCGGCCTAAGGTGAAAAAGGAAATATCTTCCCATAAAAACTAGACAGAAGCATTCTCAGAAACTTACTCGTGATGTGTGTCCTCAACTAAAGGAGTAGAACCTTTCTTTTCATAGAGAAGTTTTGAAACGCTCTTTTTGTGGAATCTGCAAGTGGATATTTGGCTAGTTTTGAGGATTTCGTTGGAAGCGGGAATTCATACAAATTGCAGACTGCAGCGTTCTGAGAAACATCTTTGTGATGTTTGTATTCAGGACACAGAGTTGAACATTCCCTATCATAGAGCAGGTTTGAATCACTCCTTTTGTAGTATCTGGAAGTGGACATTTGGAGCGCTTTCAGGCCTATGATGGAAAAGGAAATATCTTCCCATAACAACTAGACAGAAGCATTCTCAGAAACTTATTTGAGATGTGTGTACTCAACTAAGAGAATTGAACCACCGTTTTGAAGGAGCAGTTTTGAAACACTCTTTTTCTGGAATCTGCAAGTGGATATTTGGCTAGCTTTGGGGATTTCGCTGGAAGCGGGAATACATATAAAAAGCACACAGCAGCGTTCTGAGAAACTGCTTTCTGATGTTTGCATTCAAGTCAAAAGTTGAACACTCCCTTTCATAGAGCAGTCCTGAAACACTCCTTTTGTAGTATCTGGAACTGGACTTTTGGAGCGCTTTCAGGGCTAAGGTGAAAAAGGAAATATCTTCCCATAAAAACTGGACAGAAGCATTCTCAGAAACTTGTTTATGCTGTATCTACTCTACTAACAAAGTTGAACCTTTCTTTTGATAGAGCAGTTTTGAAATGCTCTTTTTGTGGAATCTGCAAGTGGATATTTGGCTAGTTTTGAGGATTTCGTTGGAAGCTGGAATTCATACAAATTGCAGACTGCAGCGTTCTGAGAAACATCTTTGTGATGTTTGTATTCAGGACACAGAGTTGAACATTCCCTATCATAGAGCAGGTTGGAATCACTCCTTTTGTAGTATCTGGAAGTGGACATTTGGAGCGCTTTCAGGCCTATTTTGGAAAGGGAAATATCTTCCCGTAACAACTAGGCAGAAGCATTCTCTGAAACTTTTTTGAGATGTGTGTACTCAACTAAGAGAATTGAACCACCGTTTTGAAGGAGCAGTTTTGAAACACTCTTTTTCTGGAATCTGCTAGAGGATATTTGCCTAGCTTTGAGGATTTCGTTGGAAACGGGATTGTCTTCAGATCAAATCTAGACAGAAGCATTCTCAGAAACTTCTTTGGGATGTTTGCATTCAAGTCACAGAGTAGAACATTCCCTTTGGTAGAGCAGGTTTGAAACACTCTTTTTTTAGTATATGGAAGTGGACATTTGGAGCGCTTTCAGGCCTACGTTGGAAAAGGAAATATCTTCCCATAACAACTAGACAGAAGCATTCTCAGAAACTAGTTTCTGATATGTGTCCTCAACTAACACAGTTGAACTTTTCTTTAGACAGAACAGTTTTGAAACACTCTTTTTGTGGAATCTGCAAGTGGTTATTGGGCTACATTTGAGGATTTCGTTGGAAACGGGATTACATATAAAAAACAGTCAGCAGCATTCTCAGAAAGTTCTTTGTGATGATTGCATTCAAGTCACAGAATTGAACATTCCCTTTCACAGAGCAGGTTTGAAACACTCTTTTTGTAGTGTGTGTAAGTGGACATTTGGAGCGCTTTCCGGCCTAAGGTGAAAAAGGACATATCTTCCCATAAAAACTAGACAGAAGCATTCTCAGAAACTTACTCGTGATGTGTGTCCTCAACTAAAAGAGTAGAACCTTTCTATTCATAGAGAAGTTTTGAAACGCTCTTTTTGTGGAATCTCCAAGTGGATATTTGGCTAGTTTTGAGGATTTCGTTGGAAGCGGGAATTCATACAATTTGCAGACTGCAGCGTTCTGAGAAACATCTTTGTGATGTTTGTATTCAAGACACAGAGATGAACATTCCCTATCATAGAGCAGGTTGGAATCACTCCTTTTGTAGTATCTGGAAGTGGACATTTGGAGCGCTTTCAGGCCTATGTTGAAAAAGGAAATATCTTCCCATAACAACTAGACACAAGCATTCTCAGAAACTTGTTTGTGATGTGTGCCCTCTACTGACAGAGTTGAACCTTTCTTTTCATAGAGCAGTTTTGAAACACTCTTTTTGTAGAATCTGCAAGAGGATATTTGCATAGCTTTGAGGATTTCGTGGGAAACGGGATTGTCTTCAGGTAAAATCTAGACAGAAGCATTCTCAGAAACTTCTTTGGGATGTTTGCATTCAAGTCACAGAGTAGAACATTCCCTTTGGTAGAGCAGGTTTGAAACACTCTTTTTGTAGTATCTGGAAGTGGACATTTGGAGCGCTTTCAGGCCCATGTTGGAAAGGGAAATATCTTCCCGTAACAACTAGGCAGAAGCATTCTCAGAAACTTATTTGAGATGTGTGTACTCAACTAAGAGAATTGAACCACCGTTTTGAAGGAGCAGTTTTGAAACACTCTTTTTCTGGAATCTGCAAGAGGATATTTGCCTAGCCTTGAGGATTTCGTTGGAAACGGGATTGTCTTCAGAGAAAATCTAGACAGAAGCATTCTCAGAAACTTCTTTGGGATGTTTGCATTCAAGTCACAGAGTAGAACATTCCCTTTGGTAGAGCAGGTTTGAAACACTCTTTTTGTAGTATCTGGAAGTGGACATTTGGAGCGCTTTCAGGCCTACGTTGGAAAAGGAAATATCTTCCCATAACAACTAGACAGAAGCATTCTCAGAAACTAGTTTCTGATGTGTGTCCTCAACTAACACAGTTGAACATTTCTTTAGACAGAACAGTTTTGAAACACTCTTTTTGTGGAATCTGCAAGTGGCTATTTGGCTAGATTTGAGGATTTCGTTGGAAACGGGATTACATATAAAAAGCAGTCAGCAGCATTCTCAGAAAGTTCTTTGTGATGATTGCATTCAAGTCACAGAATTGAACATTCCCTTTCACAGAGCAGGTTTGAAACACTCTTTTTGTAGTGTGTGTAAGTGGACATTTGGAGCACTTACCGGCCTAAGGTGAAAAAGGAAATATCTTCCCATAAAAACTAGACAGAAGCATTCTCAGAAACTTACTCGTGATGTGTGTCCTCAACTAAAGGAGTAGAACCTTTCTTTTCATAGAGAAGTTTTGAAACGCTCTTTTTGTGGAATCTGCAAGTGGATATTTGGCTAGTTTTGAGGATTTCGTTGGAAGCGGGAATTCATACAAATTGCAGACTGCAGCGTTCTGAGAAACATCTTTGTGATGTTTGTATTCAGGACACAGAGTTGAACATTCCCTATCATAGAGCAGGTTTGAATCACTCCTTTTGTAGTATCTGGAAGTGGACATTTGGAGCGCTTTCAGGCCTATGTTGGAAAAGGAAATATCTTCCCATAACAACTAGACAGAAGCATTCTCAGAAACTTATTTGAGATGTGTGTACTCAACTAAGAGAATTGAACCACCGTTTTGAAGGAGCAGTTTTGAAACACTCTTTTTCTGGAATCTGCAAGTGGATATTTGGCTAGCTTTGGGGATTTCGCTGGAAGCGGGAATACATATAAAAAGCACACAGCAGCGTTCTGAGAAACTGCTTTCTGATGTTTGCATTCAAGTCAAAAGTTGAACACTCCCTTTCATAGAGCAGTCCTGAAACACTCCTTTTGTAGTATCTGGAACTGGACTTTTGGAGCGCTTTCAGGGCTAAGGTGAAAAAGGAAATATCTTCCCATAAAAACTGGACAGAAGCATTCTCAGAAACTTGTTTATGCTGTATCTACTCAACTAACAAAGTTGAACATTTCTTTTGATAGAGCAGTTTTGAAATGCTCTTTTTGTGGAATCTGCAAGTGGATATTTGGCTAGTTTTGAGGATTTCGTTGGAAGCGGGAATTCATACAAATTGCAGACTGCAGCGTTCTGAGAAACATCTTTGTGATGTTTGTATTCAGGACAGAGAGTTGAACATTCCCTATCATAGAGCAGGTTGGAATCACTCCTTTTGTAGTATCTGGAAGTGGACATTTGGAGCGCTTTCAGGCCTATGTTGAAAAAGGAAATATCTTCCCATAACAACTAGACACAAGCATTCTCAGAAACTTGTTTGTGATGTGTGCCCTCTACTGACAGAGTTGAACCTTTCTTTTCATAGAGCAGTTTTGAAACACTCTTTTTGTAGAATCTGCAAGAGGATATTTGCATAGTTTTGAGGATTTCGTGAGAAACGGGATTGTCTTCAGGTAAAATCTAGACAGAAGCATTCTCAGAAACTTCTTTGGGATGTTTGCATTCAAGTCACAGAGTAGAACATTCCCTTTGGTAGAGTAGGTTTGAAACACTCTTTTTGTAGTATCTGGAAGTGGACATTTGGAGCGCTTTCAGGCCTATGTTGGAAAGGGAAATATCTTCCCGTAACAACTAGGCAGAAGCATTCTCAGAAACTTATTTGAGATGTGTGTACTCAACTAAGAGAATTGAATCACCGTTTTGAAGGAGCAGTTTGAAACACTCTTTTTCTGGAATCTGCAAGAGGATATTTGCCTAACCTTGAGGATTTCGTTGGAAACGGGATTGTCTTTAGATCAAATCTAGACAGAAGCATTCTCAGAAACTTCTTTGGGATGTTTGCATTCAAGTCACAGAGTAGAACATTCCCTTTGGTAGAGCAGGTTTGAAACACTCTTTTTTTAGTATATGGAAGTGGACATTTGGAGCGCTTTCAGGCCTACGTTGGAAAAGGAAATATCTTCCCATAACAACTAGACAGAAGCATTCTCAGAAACTAGTTTCTGATGTGTGTCCTCAACTAACACAGTTGCACATTTCTTTAGACAGAACAGTTTTGAAACACTCTTTTTGTGGAATCTGCAAGTGGCTATTTGGCTAGATTTGAGGATTTCGTTGGAAACGGGATTACATATAAAAAGCAGACATCAGCATTCTCAGTAAACTTCTTTGTGATGATTGCATTCAAGTCACAGAATTGAACATTCCCTTTCACAGAGCAGGTTTGAAACACTCTTTTTGTAGTGTGTGTAAGTGGACATTTGGAGCACTTTCCGGCCTAAGGTGAAAAAGGAAATATCTTCCCATAAAAACTAGACAGTAGCATTCTCAGAAACTTACTCGTGATGTGTGTCCTCAACTAAAGGAGTAGAACCTTTCTTTTCATAGAGAAGTTTTGAAACGCTCTTTTTGTGGAATCTGCAAGTGGATATTGGGCTAGTTTTGAGGATTTCGTTGGAAGCGGGAATTCATACAAACTGCAGACTGCAGCGTTCTGAGAAACATCTTTGTGATGTTTGTATTCAGGACACAGAGTTGAACATTCCCTATCATAGAGCAGGTTTGAATCACTCCTTTTGTAGTATCTGGAAGTGGACATTTGGAGCGCTTTCAGGCCTATGTTGGAAAAGGAAATATCTTCCCATAACAACTAGACAGAAGCATTCTCAGAAACTTATTTGAGATGTGTGTACTCAACTAAGAGAATTGAACCACCGTTTTGAAGGAGCAGTTTGAAACACTCTTTTTCTGGAATCTGCAAGTGGATATTTGGCTAGCTTTGGGGATTTCGCTGGAAGCGGGAATACATATAAAAAGCACACAGCAGCGTTCTGAGAAACTGCTTTCTGATGTTTGCATTCAAGTCAAAAGTTGAACACTCCCTTTCATAGAGCAGTCCTGAAACACTCCTTTTGTAGTATCTGGAACTGGACTTTTGGAGCGCTTTCAGGGCTAAGGTGAAAAAGGAAATATCTTCCCATAAAAACTGGACAGAAGCATTCTCAGAAACTTGTTTATGCTGTATCTACTCAACTAACAAAGTTGAACCTTTCTTTTGATAGAGCAGTTTTGAAATGGTCTTTTTGTGGAATCTGCAAGTGGATATTTGGCTAGTTTTGAGGATTTCGTTGGAAGCGGGAATTCATACAAATTGCAGACTGCAGCGTTCTGAGAAACATCTTTGTGATGTTTGTATTCAGGACAGAGAGTTGAACATTCCCTATCATAGAGCAGGTTGGAATCACTCCTTTTGTAGTATCTGGAAGTGGACATTTGGAGCGCTTTCAGGCCTATGTTGAAAAAGGAAATATCTTCCCATAACAACTAGACACAAGCATTCTCAGAAACTTGTTTGTGATGTGTGCCCTCTACTGACAGAGTTGAACCTTTCTTTTCATAGAGCAGTTTTGAAACACTCTTTTTGTAGAATCTGCAAGAGGATATTTGCATAGCTTTGAGGATTTCGTGGGAAACGGGATTGTCTTCAGGTAAAATCTAGACAGAAGCATTCTCAGAAACTTCTTTGGGATGTTTGCATTCAAGTCACAGAGTAGAACATTCCCTTTGGTAGAGCAGGTTTGAAACACTCTTTTTGTAGTATCTGGAAGTGGACATTTGGAGCGCTTTCAGGCCTATGTTGGAAAGGGAAATATCTTCCGGTAACAACTAGGCAGAAGCATTCTCAGAAACTTATTTGAGATGTGTGTACTCAACTAAGAGAATTGAACCACCGTTTTGAAGGAGCAGTTTTGAAACACTCTTTTTCTGGAATCTGCAAGAGGATATTTGCCTAGCTTTGAGGATTTCGTCGGAAACGGGATTGTGTTCAGATCAAATCTAGACAGAAGCATTCTCAGAAACTTCTTTGGGATGTTTGCATTCAAGTCACAGAGTAGAACATTCCCTTTGGTAGAGCAGGTTTGAAACACTCTTTTTTTAGTATATGGAAGTGGACATTTGGAGCGCTTTCAGGCCTATGTTGGAAAAGGAAATATCTTCCCATAACAACTAGACAGAAGCATTCTCAGAAACTAGTTTCTGATGTGTGTCCTCAACTAACACAGTTGAACTTTTCTTTAGACAGAACAGTTTTGAAACACTCTTTTTGTGGAATCTGCAAGTGGATATTTGGCTAGATTTGAGGATTTCGTTGGAAACGGGATTACATATAAAAAGCAGACAGCAGCATTCTCAGAAAGTTCTTTGTGATGATTGCATTCAAGTCACAGAATTGAACATTCCCTTTCACAGAGCAGGTTTGAAACACTCTTTATGTAGTGTGTGTAAGTGGACATTTGGAGCGCTTTCCGGCCTAAGGTGAAAAAGGAAATATCTTCCCATAAAAACTAGACAGAAGCATTCTCAGAAACTTACTCGTGATGTGTGTCCTCAACTAAAGGAGTAGAACCTTTCTATTCATAGAGAAGTTTTGAAAGGCTCTTTTTGTGGAATCTCCAAGTGGATATTTGGCTAGTTTTGAGGATTTCGTTGGAAGCGGGAATTCATACAAATTGCAGACTGCAGCGTTCTGAGAAACATCTTTGTGATGTTTGTATTCAGGACACAGAGATGAACATTCCCTATCATAGAGCAGGTTGGAATCACTCCTTTTGTAGTATCTGGAAGTGGACATTTGGAGCGCTTTCAGGCCTATGTTGAAAAAGGAAATATCTTCCCATAACAACTAGACACAAGCATTCTCAGAAACTTGTTTGTGATGTGTGCCCTCTACTGACAGAGTTGAACCTTTCTTTTCATAGAGCAGTTTTGAAACACTCTTTTTGTAGAATCTGCAAGAGGATATTTGCATAGCTTTGAGGATTTCGTGGGAAACGTGATTGTGTTCAGGTAAAATCTAGACAGAAGCATTCTCAGAAACTTCTTTGGGATGTTTGCATTCAAGTCACAGAGTAGAACATTCCCTTTGGTAGAGCAGGTTTGAAACCCACTTTTTGTAGTATCTGGAAGTGGACATTTTGAGCGCATTCAGGCCCATGTTGGAAAGGGAAATATCTTCCCGTAACAACTAGGCAGAAGCATTCTCAGAAACTTATTTGAGATGTGTGTACTCAACTAAGAGAATTGAACCACCGTTTTGAAGGAGCAGTTTTGAAACACTCTTTTTCTGGAATCTGCAAGAGGATATTTGCCTAGCCTTGAGGATTTCGTTGGAAACGGGATTGTCTTCAGATAAAATCTAGACAGAAGCATTCTCAGAAACTTCTTTGGGATGTTTGCATTCAAGTCACAGAGTAGAATATTCCCTTTGGTAGAGCAGGTTTGAAACACTCTTTTTTTAGTATATGGAAGTGGACATTTGGAGCGCTTTCAGGCCTACGTTGGAAAAGGAAATATCTTCCCATAACAACTAGACAGAAGCATTCTCAGAAACTAGTTTCTGATGTGTGTCCTCAACTAACACAGTTGAACTTTTCTTTAGACAGGACAGTTTTGAAACACTCTTTTTGTGGAATCTGCAAGTGGATATTTAGCTAGATTTGAGGATTTCGTTGGAAACGGGATTACATATAAAAAGCAGACAGCAGCATTCTCAGAAAGTTCTTTGTGATGATTGCATTCAAGTCACAGAATTGAACATTCCCTTTCAAAGAGCAGGTTTGAAACACTCTTTATGTAGTGTGTGTAAGTGGACATTTGGAGCGCTTTCCGGCCTAAGGTGAAAAAGGAAATATCTTCCCATAAAAACTAGACAGAAGCATTCTCAGAAACTTACTCGTGATGTGTGTCCTCAACTAAAGGAGTAGAACCTTTCTATTCATAGAGAAGTTTTGAAATGCTCTTTTTGTGGAATCTCCAAGTGGATATTTGGCTAGTTTTGAGGATTTCGTTGGAAGCGGGAATTCATACAAATTGCAGACTGCAGCGTTCTGAGAAACATCTTTGTGATGTTTGTATTCAGGACACAGAGATGAACATTCCCTATGATAGAGCAGGTTGGAATCACTCCTTTTGTAGTATCTGGAAGTGGACATTTGGAGCGCTTTCAGGCCTATGTTGAAAAAGGAAATATCTTCCCATAACAACTAGACACAAGCATTCTCAGAAACTTGTTTGTGATATGTGCCCTCTACTGACAGAGCTGAACCTTTCTTTTCATAGAGCAGTTTTGAAACACTCTTTTTGTAGAATCTGCAAGAGGATATTTGCATAGATTTGAGGATTTCGTGGGAAACGGGATTGTCTTCAGGTAAAATCTAGACAGAAGCATTCTCAGAAACTTCTTTGGGATGTTTGCATTCAAGTCACAGAGTAGAACATTATCTTTGGTAGAGCAGGTTTGAAACCCTCTTTTTGTAGTATCTGGAAGTGGACATTTGGAGCGCTTTCAGGCCCATGTTGGAAAGGGAAATATCTTCCCGTAACAACTAGGCAGAAGCATTCTCAGAAACTTATTTGAGATGTGTGTACTCAACTAAGCAGAATTGAACCACCGTTTTGAAGGAGCAGTTTTGAAACACTCTTTTTCTGGAATCTGCAAGAGTATATTTGCCTAGCCTTGAGGATTTCGTTGGAAACGGGATTGTCTTCAGAGAAAATCTAGACAGAAGCATTCTCAGAAACTTCTTTGGGATGCTTGCATTCCAGTCACAGAGTAGAACATTCCCTTTGGTAGAGCAGGTTTGAAACACTCTTTTTTTAGTATCTGGAAGTGGACATTTGGAGCGCTTTCAGGCCTACGTTGGAAAAGGAAATATCTTCCCATAACAACTAGACAGAAGCATTCTCAGAAACTAGTTTCTGATGTGTGTCCTCAACTAACACAGTTGAACATTTCTTTAGACAGAACAGTTTTGAAACACTCTTTTTGTGGAATCTGCAAGTGGCTATTTGGCTAGATTTGAGGATTTCGTTGGAAACGGGATTACATATAAAAAGCAGTCAGCAGCATTCTCAGAAAGTTCTTTGTGATGATTGCATTCAAGTCACAGTAATTGAACATTCCCTTTCACAGAGCAGGTTTGAAACACTCTTTTTGTAGTGTGTGTAAGTGGACATTTGGAGCACTTACCGGCCTAAGGTGAAAAAGGAAATAATCTTCCCATAAAAACTAGACAGAAGCATTCTCAGAAACTTACTCGTGATGTGTGTCCTCAACTAAAGGAGTAGAACCTTTCTTTTCATAGAGAAGTTTTGAAACGCTCTTTTTGTGGAATCTGCAAGTGGATATTTGGCTAGTTTTGAGGATTTCGTTGGAAGCGGGAATTCATACAAATTGCAGACTGCAGCGTTCTGAGAAACATCTTTGTGATGTTTGTATTCAGGACACAGAGTTGAACATTCCCTATCATAGAGCAGGTTTGAATCACTCCTTTTGTAGTATCTGGAAGTGGACATTTGGAGCGCTTTCAGGCCTATGTTGGAAAAGGAAATATCTTCCCATAACAACTAGACAGAAGCATTCTCAGAAACTTATTTGAGATGTGTGTACTCAACTAAGAGAATTGAACCACCGTTTTGAAGGAGCAGTTTTGAAACACTCTTTTTCTGGAATCTGCAAGTGGATATTTGGCTAGCTTTGGGGATTTCGCTGGAAGCGGGAATACATATAAAAAGCACACAGCAGCGTTCTGAGAAACTGCTTTCTGATGTTTGCATTCAAGTCAAAAGTTGAACACTCCCTTTCATAGTGCAGTCCTGAAACACTCCTTTTGTAGTATCTGGAACTGGACTTTTGGAGCGCTTTCAGGGCTAAGGTGAAAAAGGAAATATCTTCCCATAAAAACTGGACAGAAGCATTCTCAGAAACTTGTTTATGCTGTATCTACTCAACTAACAAAGTTGAACCTTTCTTTTGATAGAGCAGTTTTGAAATGCTCTTTTTGTGGAATCTGCAAGTGGATATTTGGCTAGTTTTGAGGATTTCGTTGGAAGCGGGAATTCATACAAATTGCAGACTGCAGCGTTCTGAGAAACATCTTTGTGATGTTTGTATTCAGGACACAGAGATGAACATTCCCTATCATAGAGCAGGTTGGAATCACTCCTTTTGTAGTATCTGGAAGTGGACATTTGGAGCGCTTTCAGGCCCTATGTTGAAAAAGGAAATATCTTCCCATAACAACTAGACACAAGCATTCTCAGAAACTTGTTTGTGATGTGTGCCCTCTGCTGACAGAGTTGAACCTTTCTTTTCATAGAGCAGTTTTGAAACACTCTTTTTGTAGAATCTGCAAGAGGATATTTGCATAGCTTTGAGGATTTCGTGGGAAACGGGATTGTCTTCAGGTAAAATCTAGACAGAAGCATTCTCAGAAACTTCTTTGGGATGTTTGCATTCAAGTCACAGAGTAGAACATTCCCTTTGGTAGAGCAGGTTTGAAACCCTCTTTTTGTAGTATCTGGAAGTGGACATTTGGAGCGCTTTCAGGCCCATGTTGGAAAGGGAAATATCTTCCCGTAACAACTAGGCAGAAGCATTGTCAGAAACTTATTTGAGATGTGTGTACTCAACTAAGAGAATTGAACCACCGTTTTGAAGGAGCAGTTTTGAAACACTCTTTTTCTGGAATCTGCAAGAGTATATTTTCCTAGCCTTGAGGATTTCGTTGGAAACGGGATTGTCTTCAGATAAAATCTAGACAGAAGCATTCTCAGAAACTTCTTTGGGATGTTTGCATTCAAGTCACAGAGTAGAACATTCCCTTTGGTAGAGCAGGTTTGAAACACTCTTTTTTTAGTATATGGAAGTGGACATTTGGAGCGCTTTCAGGCCTACATTGGAAAAGGAAATATCTTCCCATAACAACTAGACAGAAGCATTCTCAGAAACTAGTTTCTGATGTGTGTCCTCAACTAACACAGTTGTACATTTCTTTACACAGAACAGTTTTGAAACACTCTTTTTGTGGAATCTGCAAGTGGATATTGGGCTAGATTTGAGGATTTCGTTGGAAACGGGATTACATATAAAAAGCAGTCAGCAGCATTCTCAGAAAGTTCTTTGTGATGATTGCATTCAAGTCACAGAATTGAACATTACCTTTCACAGAGCAGGTTTGAAACACTCTTTTTGTAGTGTGTGTAAGTGGACATTTGGAGCGCTTTCCGGCCTAAGGTGAAAAAGGACATATCTTCCCATAAAAACTAGACAGAAGCATTCTCAGAAACTTACTCGTGATGTGTGTCCTCAACTAAAGGAGTAGAACCTTTCTATTCATAGAGAAGTTTTGAAACGCTCTTTTTGTGGAATCTCCAAGTGGATATTTGGCTAGTGTTGAGGATTTCGTAGGAAGCGGGAATTCATACAAATTGCAGACTGCAGCGTTCTGAGAAACATCTTTGTGATGTTTGTATTCAGGACACAGAGATGAACATTCCCTATCATAGAGCAGGTTGGAATCACTCCTTTTGTAGTATCTGGAAGTGGACATTTGGAGCGCTTTCAGGCCTATGTTGAAAAAGGAAATATCTTCCCATAACAACTAGACACAAGCATTCTCAGAAACTTGTTTGTGATGTGTGCCCTCTACTGACAGAGTTGAACCTTTCTTTTCATAGAGCAGTTTTGAAACACTCTTTTTGTAGAATCTGCAAGAGGATATTTGCATAGCTTTGAGGATTTCGTGGGAAACGGGATTGTCTTCAGGTAAAATGTAGACAGAAGCATTCTCAGAAACTTCTTTGGGATGTTTGCATTCAAGTCACAGAGTAGAACATTCCCTTTGGTAGAGCAGGTTTGAAACACTCTTTTTGTAGTATCTGGAAGTGGACATTTGGAGCGCTTTCAGGCCCATGTTGGAAAGGGAAATATCTTCCCGTAACAACTAGGCAGAAGCATTCTCAGAAACTTATTTGAGATGTGTGTACTCAACTAAGAGAATTGAACCACCGTTTTGAAGGAGCAGTTTTGAAACACTCTTTTTCTGGAATCTGCAAGAGTATATTTGCCTAGCCTTGAGGATTTCGTTGGAAACGGGATTGTCTTCAGAGAAAATCTAGACAGAAGCATTCTCAGAAACTTCTTTGGGATGCTTGCATTCAAGTCACAGAGTAGAACATTCCCTTTGGTAGAGCAGGTTTGAAACACTCTTTTTGTAGTATCTGGAAGTGGACATTTGGAGCGCTTTCAGGCCTACGTTGGAAAAGGAAATATCTTCCCATAACAACTAGACAGAAGCATTCTCAGAAACTAGTTTCTGATGTGTGTCCTCAACTAACACAGTTGAACATTTCTTTAGACAGAACAGTTTTGAAACACTCTTTTTGTGGAATCTGCAAGTGGCTATTTGGCTAGATTTGAGGATTTCGTTGGAAACGGGATTACATATAAAAAGCAGTCAGCAGCATTCTCAGAAAGTTCTTTGTGATGATTGCATTCAAGTCACAGAATTGAACATTCCCTTTCACAGAGCAGGTTTGAAACACTCTTTTTGTAGTGTGTGTAAGTGGACATTTGGAGCACTTACCGGCCTAAGGTGAAAAAGGAAATAATCTTCCCATAAAAACTAGACAGAAGCATTCTCAGAAACTTACTCGTGATGTGTGTCCTCAACTAAAGGAGTAGAACCTTTCTTTTCATAGAGAAGTTTTGAAACGCTCTTTTTGTGGAATCTGCAAGTGGATATTTGGCTAGTTTTGAGGATTTCGTTGGAAGCGGGAATTCATACAAATTGCAGACTGCAGCGTTCTGAGAAACATCTTTGTGATGTTTGTATTCAGGACACAGAGTTGAACATTCCCTATCATAGAGCAGGTTTGAATCACTCCTTTTGTAGTATCTGGAAGTGGACATTTGGAGCGCTTTCAGGCCTATGTTGGAAAAGGAAATATCTTCCCATAACAACTAGACAGAAGCATTCTCAGAAACTTATTTGAGATGTGTGTACTCAACTAAGAGAATTGAACCACCGTTTTGAAGGAGCAGTTTTGAAACTCTCTTTTTCTGGAATCTGCAAGTGGATATTTGGCTAGCTTTGGGGATTTCGCTGGAAGCGGGAATACATATAAAAAGCACACAGCAGCGTTCTGAGAAACTGCTTTCTGATGTTTGCATTCAAGTCAAAAGTTGAACACTCCCTTTCATAGAGCAGTCTTGAAACACCCCTTTTGTAGTATCTGGAACTGGACTTTTGGAGCGATTTCAGGGCTAAGGTGAAAAAGGAAATATCTTCCCATAAAAACTGGACAGAAGCATTCTCAGAAACTTGTTTATGCTGTATCTACTCAACTAACAAAGTTGAACCTTTCTTTTGATAGAGAAGTTTTGAAATGGTCTTTTTGTGGAATCTGCAAGTGGATATTTGGCTAGTTTTGAGGATTTCGTTGGAAGCGGGAATTCATACAAATTGCAGACTGCAGCGTTCTGAGAAACATCTTTGTGATGTTTGTATTCAGGACACAGAGTTGAACATTCCCTATCATAGAGCAGGTTTGAATCACTCCTTTTGTAGTATCTGGAAGTGGACATTTGGAGCGCTTTCAGGCCTATGTTGGAAAAGGAAATATCTTCCCATAACAACTAGACAGAAGCATTCTCAGAAACTTATTTGAGATGTGTGTACTCAACTAAGAGAATTGAACCACCGTTTTGAAGGAGCAGTTTTGAAACTCTCTTTTTCTGGAATCTGCAAGTGGATATTTGGCTAGCTTTGGGGATTTCGCTGGAAGCGGGAATACATATAAAAAGCACACAGCAGCGTTCTGAGAAACTGCTTTCTGATGTTTGCATTCAAGTCAAAAGTTGAACACTCCCTTTCATAGAGCAGTCTTGAAACACCCCTTTTGTAGTATCTGGAACTGGACTTTTGGAGCGATTTCAGGGCTAAGGTGAAAAAGGAAATATCTTCCCATAAAAACTGGACAGAAGCATTCTCAGAAACTTGGTTATGCTGTATCTACTCAACTAACAAAGTTGAACCTTTCTTTTGATAGAGCAGTTTTGAAATGGTCTTTTTGTGGAATCTGCAAGTGGATATTTGGCTAGTTTTGAGGATTTCGTTGGAAGCGGGAATTCATACAAATTGCAGACTGCAGCGTTCTGAGAAACATCTTTGTGATGTTTGTATTCAGGACACAGAGTTGAACATTCCCTATCATAGAGCAGGTTGGAATCACTCCTTTTGTAGTATCTGGAAGTGGACATTTGGAGCGCTTTCAGGCCTATTTTGGAAAGGGAAATATCTTCCCGTAACAACTATGCAGAAGCATTCTCAGAAACTTGTTTGTGATGTGTGCCCTCTACTGACAGAGTTGAACCTTTCTTTTCATAGAGCAGTTTTGAAACACTCTTTTTGTAGAATCTGCAAGAGGATATTTGCATAGCTTTGAGGATTTCGTGGGAAACGGGATTGTCTTCAGGTAAAATCTAGACAGAAGCATTCTCAGAAACTTCTTTGGGATGTTTGCATTCAAGTCACAGAGTAGAACATTCCCTTTGGTAGAGCAGGTTTGAAACACTCTTTTTGTAGTATCTGGAAGTGGACATTTGGAGCGCTTTCAGGCCTATGTTGGAAAGGGAAATATCTTCCCGTAACAACTAGGCAGAAGCATTCTCAGAAACTTATTTGAGATGTGTGTACTCAACTAAGAGAATTGAACCACCGTTTTGAAGGAGCAGTTTTGAAACACTCTTTTTCTGGAATCTGCAAGAGGATATTTGCCTAGCCTTGAGGATTTCGTTGGAAACGGGATTGTCTTCAGATCAAATCTAGACAGAAGCATTCTCAGAAACTTCTTTGGGATGTTTGCATTCAAGTCACAGAGTAGAACATTCCCTTTGGTAGAGCAGGTTTGAAACACTCTTTTTTTAGTATATGGAAGTGGACATTTGGAGCGCTTTCAGGCCTACGTTGGAAAAGGAAATATCTTCCCATAACAACTAGACAGAAGCATTCTCAGAAACTAGTTTCTGATGTGTGTCCTCAACTAACACAGTTGCACATTTCTTTAGACAGAACAGTTTTGAAACACTCTTTTTGTGGAATCTGCAAGTGGCTATTTGGCTAGATTTGAGGATTTCGGTTGGAAACGGGATTACATATAAAAAGCAGACAGCAGCATTCTCAGAAAGTTCTTTGTGATGATTGCATTCAAGTCACAGAATTGAACATTCCCTTTCACAGAGCAGGTTTGAAACACTCTTTTTGTAGTGTGTGTAAGTGGACATTTGGAGCACTTTCCGGCCTAAGGTGAAAAAGGAAATATCTTCCCATACAAACTAGACAGAAGCATTCTCAGAAACTTACTCGTGATGTGTGTCCTCAACTAAAGGAGTAGAACCTTTCTTTTCATAGAGAAGTTTTGAAACGCTCTTTTTGTGGAATCTGCAAGTGGATATTTGGCTAGTTTGGAGGATTTCGTTGGAAGCGGGAATTCATACAAATTGCAGACTGCAGCGTTCTGAGAAACATCTTTGTGATGTTTGTATTCAGGACACAGAGTTGAACATTCCCTATCATAGAGCAGGTTTGAATCACTCCTTTTGTAGTATCTGGAAGTGGACATTTGGAGCGCTTTCAGGCCTATGTTGGAAAAGGAAATATCTTCCCATAACAACTAGACAGAAGCATTCTCAGAAACTTATTTGAGATGTGTGTACTCAACTAAGAGAATTGAACCACCGTTTTGAAGGAGCAGTTTTGAAACACTCTTTTTCTGGATTCTGCAAGTGGATATTTGGCTAGCTTTGGGGATTTCGCTGGAAGCGGGAATACATATAAAAAGCACACAGCAGCGTTCTGAGAAACTGCTTTCTGATGTTTGCATTCAAGTCAAAAGTTGAACACTCCCTTTCATAGAGCAGTCTTGAAACACCCCTTTTGTAGTATCTGGAACTGGACTTTTGGAGCGATTTCAGGGCTAAGGTGAAAAAGGAAATATCTTCCCATAAAAACTGGACAGAAGCATTCTCAGAAACTTGGTTATGCTGTATCTACTCAACTAACAAAGTTGAACCTTTCTTTTGATAGAGCAGTTTTGAAATGGTCTTTTTGTGGAATCTGCAAGTGGATATTTGGCTAGTTTTGAGGATTTCGTTGGAAGCGGGAATTCATACAAATTGCAGACTGCAGCGTTCTGAGAAACATCTTTGTGATGTTTGTATTCAGGACAGAGAGTTGAACATTCCCTATCATAGAGCAGGTTGGAATCACTCCTTTTGTAGTATCTGGAAGTGGACATTTGGAGCGCTTTCAGGCCTATTTTGGAAAGGGAAATATCTTCCCGTAACAACTATGCAGAAGCATTCTCAGAAACTTGTTTGTGATGTGTGCCCTCTACTGACAGAGTTGAACCTTTCTTTTCATAGAGCAGTTTTGAAACACTCTTTTTGTAGAATCTGCAAGAGGATATTTGCATAGCTTTGAGGATTTCGTGGGAAACGGGATTGTCTTCAGGTAAAATCTAGACAGAAGCATTCTCAGAAACTTCTTTGGGATGTTTGCATTCAAGTCACAGAGTAGAACATTCCCTTTGGTAGAGCAGGTTTGAAACACTCTTTTTGTAGTATCTGGAAGTGGACATTTGGAGCGCTTTCAGGCCCATGTTGGAAAGGGAAATATCTTCCCGTAACAACTAGGCAGAAGCATTCTCAGAAACTTATTTGAGATGTGTGTACTCAACTAAGAGAATTGAACCACCGTTTTGAAGGAGCAGTTTTGAAACACTCTTTTTCTGGAATCTGCAAGAGTATATTTGCCTAGCCTTGAGATTTTCGTTGGAAACGGGATTGTCTTCAGAGAAAATCTAGACAGAAGCATTCTCAGAAACTTCTTTGAGATGTTTGCATTCAAGTCACAGAGTAGAACATTCCCTTTGGTAGAGCAGGTTTGAAACACTCTTTTTTTAGTATATGGAAGTGGACATTTGGAGCGCTTTCAGGCCTACGTTGGAAAAGGAAATATCTTCCCATAACAACTAGACAGAAGCATTCTCAGAAACTAGTTTCTGATGTGTGTCCTCAACTAACACACTTGTATATTTCTTTAGACAGAACAGTTTTGAAACACTCTTTTTGTGGAATCTGCAAGTGGATATTGGGCTAGATTTGAGGATTTCTTTGGAAACGGGATTACATGTAAAAAGCAGTCAGCAGCATTCTCAGAAAGTTCTTTGTGATGATTGCATTCAAGTCACAGAATTGAACATTCCCTTTCACAGAGCAGGTTTGAAACACTCTTTTTGTAGTGTGTGTAAGTGGACATTTGGAGCGCTTTCCGGCCTAAGGTGAAAAAGGAAATATCTTCCCA
Source organism: Homo sapiens (assembly GCF_000001405.40). Lineage (NCBI taxonomy): Eukaryota > Metazoa > Chordata > Mammalia > Primates > Hominidae > Homo > Homo sapiens. The sequence goes on from NC_000018.10 coordinate 16,602,646, forward strand.
TAAAAACTAGACAGAAGCATTCTCAGAAACTTACTCGTGATGTGTGTCCTCAACTAAAGGAGTAGAACCTTTCTTTTCATAGAGAAGTTTTGAAACGCTCTTTTTGTGGAATCTGCAAGTGGATATTTGGCTAGTTTTGAGGATTTCGTTGGAAGCGGGAATTCATACAAATTGCAGACTGCAGCGTTCTGAGAAACATCTTTGTGATGTTTGTATTCAGGACACAGAGTTGAACATTCCCTATCATAGAGCAGGTTGGAATCACTCCTTTTGTAGTATCTGGAAGTGGACATTTGGAGCGCTTTCAGGCCTATGTTGGAAAAGGAAATATCTTCCCATAACAACTAGACAGAAGCATTCTCAGAAACTTATTTGAGATGTGTGTACTCAACTAAGAGAATTGAACCACCGTTTTGAAGGAGCAGTTTTGAAACTCTCTTTTTCTGGAATCTGCAAGTGGATATTTGGCTAGCTTTGGGGATTTCGCTGGAAGCGGGAATACATATAAAAAGCACACAGCAGCGTTCTGAGAAACTGCTTTCTGATGTTTGCATTCAAGTCAAAAGTTGAACACTCCCTTTCATAGAGCAGTCCTGAAACACCCCTTTGGTAGTATCTGGAACTGGACTTTTGGAGCGATTTCAGGGCTAAGGTGAAAAAGGAAATATCTTCCCATAAAAACTGGACAGAAGCATTCTCAGAAACTTGTTTATGCTGTATCTACTCAACTAACAAAGTTGAACCTTTCTTTTGATAGAGCAGTTTTGAAATGGTCTTTTTGTGGAATCTGCAAGTGGATATTTGGCTAGTTTTGAGGATTTCGTTGGAAGCGGGAATTCATACAAATTGCAGACTGCAGCGTTCTGAGAAACATCTTTGTGATGTTTGTATTCAGGACACAGAGTTGAACATTCCCTATCATAGAGCAGGTTGGAATCACTCCTTTTGTAGTATCTGGAAGTGGACATTTGGAGCGCTTTCAGGCCTATTTTGGAAAGGGAAATATCTTCCCGTAACAACTATGCAGAAGCATTCTCAGAAACTTGTTTGTGATGTGTGCCCTCTACTGACAGAGTTGAACCTTTCTTTTCATAGAGCAGTTTTGAAACACTCTTTTTGTAGAATCTGCAAGAGGATATTTGCATAGCTTTGAGGATTTCGTGGGAAACGGGATTGTCTTCAGGTAAAATCTAGACAGAAGCATTCTCAGAAACTTCTTTGGGATGTTTGCATTCAAGTCACAGAGTAGAACATTCCCTTTGGTAGAGCAGGTTTGAAACACTCTTTTTGTAGTATCTGGAAGTGGACATTTGGAGCGCTTTCAGGCCCATGTTGGAAAGGGAAATATCTTCCCGTAACAACTAGGCAGAAGCATTCTCAGAAACTTATTTGAGATGTGTGTACTCAACTAAGAGAATTGAACCACCGTTTTGAAGGAGCAGTTTTGAAACACTCTTTTTCTGGAATCTGCAAGAGTATATTTGCCTAGCCTTGAGGATTTCGTTGGAAACGGGATTGTCTTCAGAGAAAATCTAGACAGAAGCATTCTCAGAAACTTCTTTGGGATGTTTGCATTCAAGTCACAGAGTAGAACATTCCCTTTGGTAGAGCAGGTTTGAAACACTCTTTTTTTAGTATCTGGAAGTGGACATTTGGAGCGCTTTCAGGCCTACGTTGGAAAAGGAAATATCTTCCCATAACAACTAGACAGAAGCATTCTCAGAAACTAGTTTCTGATGTGTGTCCTCAACTAACACAGTTGAACATTTCTTTAGACAGAACAGTTTTGAAACACTCTTTTTGTGGAATCTGCAAGTGGCTATTTGGCTAGATTTGAGGATTTCGTTGGAAACGGGATTACATATAAAAAGCAGTCAGCAGCATTCTCAGAAAGTTCTTTGTGATGATTGCATTCAAGTCACAGAATTGAACATTCCCTTTCACAGAGCAGGTTTGAAACACTCTTTTTGTAGTGTGTGTAAGTGGACATTTGGAGCACTTACCGGCCTAAGGTGAAAAAGGAAATATCTTCCCATAAAAACTAGACAGAAGCATTCTCAGAAACTTACTCGTGATGTGTGTCCTCAACTAAAGGAGTAGAACCTTTCTTTTCATAGAGAAGTTTTGAAACGCTCTTTTTGTGGAATCTGCAAGTGGATATTTGGCTAGTTTTGAGGATTTCGTTGGAAGCGGGAATTCATACAAATTGCAGACTGCAGCGTTCTGAGAAACATCTTTGTGATGTTTGTATTCAGGACACAGAGTTGAACATTCCCTATCATAGAGCAGGTTTGAATCACTCCTTTTGTAGTATCTGGAAGTGGACATTTGGAGCGCTTTCAGGCCTATGTTGGAAAAGGAAATATCTTCCCATAACAACTAGACAGAAGCATTCTCAGAAACTTATTTGAGATGTGTGTACTCAACTAAGAGAATTGAACCACCGTTTTGAAGGAGCAGTTTTGAAACACTCTTTTTCTGGAATCTGCAAGTGGATATTTGGCTAGCTTTGGGGATTTCGCTGGAAGCGGGAATACATATAAAAAGCACACAGCAGCGTTCTGAGAAACTGCTTTCTGATGTTTGCATTCAAGTCAAAAGTTGAACACTCCCTTTCATAGAGCAGTCCTGAAACACTCCTTTTGCAGTATCTGGAACTGGACTTTTGGAGCGCTTTCAGGGCTAAGGTGAAAAAGGAAATATCTTCCCATAAAAACTGGACAGAAGCATTCTCAGAAACTTGTTTATGCTGTATCTACTCAACTAACAAAGTTGAACCTTTCTTTTGATAGAGCAGTTTTGAAATGCTCTTTTTGTGGAATCTGCAAGTGGATATTTGGCTAGTTTTGAGGATTTCCTTGGAAGCGGGAATTCATACAAATTGCAGACTGCAGCGTTCTGAGAAACATCTTTGTGATGTTTGTATTCAGGACACAGAGTTGAACATTCCCTATCATAGAGCAGGTTGGAATCACTCCTTTTGTAGTATCTGGAAGTGGACATTTGGAGCGCTTTCAGGCCTATTTTGGAAAGGGAAATATCTTCCCGTAACAACTATGCAGAAGCATTCTCAGAAACTTGTTTGTGATGTGTGCCCTCTACTGACAGAGTTGAACCTTTCTTTTCATAGAGCAGTTTTGAAACACTCTTTTTGTAGAATCTGCAAGAGGATATTTGCATAGCTTTGAGGATTTCGTGGGAAACGGGATTGTCTTCAGGTAAAATCTAGACAGAAGCATTCTCAGAAACTTCTTTGGGATGTTTGCATTCAAGTCACAGAGTAGAACATTCCCTTTGGTAGAGCAGGTTTGAAACACTCTTTTTGTAGTATCTGGAAGTGGACATTTGGAGCGCTTTCAGGCCCATGTTGGAAAAGGAAATATCTTCCCGTAGCAACTAGGCAGAAGCATTCTCAGAAACTTATTTGAGATGTGTGTACTCAACTAAGAGAATTGAACCACCGTTTTGAAGGAGCAGTTTTGAAACACTCTTTTTCTGGAATCTGCAAGAGTATATTTGCCTAGCCTTGAGGATTTCGTTGGAAACGGGAATGTCTTCAGAGAAAATCTAGACAGAAGCATTCTCAGAAACTTCTTTGGGATGTTTGCATTCAAGTCACAGAGTAGAACATTCCCTTTGGTAGAGCAGGTTTGAAACACTCTTTTTTTAGTATATGGAAGTGGACATTTGGAGCGCTTTCAGGCCTACGTTGGAAAAGGAAATATCTTCCCATAACAACTAGACAGAAGCATTCTCAGAAACTAGTTTCTGATGTGTGTCCTCAACTAACACAGTTGAACATTTCTTTAGACAGAACAGTTTTGAAACACTCTTTTTGTGGAATCTGCAGGTGGATATTTGGCTAGATTTGAGGATTTCGTTGGAAACGGGATTACATATAAAAAGCAGTCAGCAGCATTCTCAGAAACTTCTTTGTGATGATTGCATTCAAGTCACAGAATTGAACATTCCCTTTCACAGAGCAGGTTTGAAACACTCTTTTTGTAGTGTGTGTAAGTGGACATTTGGAGCGCTTTCCGGCCTAAGGTGAACAAGGAAATATCTTCCCATAAAAACTAGACAGAAGCATTCTCAGAAACTTACTCGTGATGTGTGTCCTCAACTAAAGGAGTAGAACCTTTCTTTTCATAGAGAAGTTTTGAAACGCTCTTTTTGTGGACTCTGCAAGTGGATATTTGGCTAGTTTTGAGGATTTCGTTGGAAGCGGGAATTCATACAAATTGCAGACTGCAGCGTTCTGAGAAACATCTTTGTGATGTTTGTATTCAGGACACAGAGTTGAACATTCCCTATCATAGAGCAGGTTGGAATCACTCCTTTTGTAGTATCTGGAAGTGGACATTTGGAGCGCTTTCAGGCCTATGTTGGAAAAGGAAATATCTTCCCATAACAACTAGACAGAAGCATTCTCAGAAACTTATTTGAGATGTGTGTACTCAACTAAGAGAATTGAACCACCGTTTTGAAGGAGCAGTTTTGAAACACTCTTTTTCTGGAATCTGCAAGTGGATATTTGGCTAGCTTTGGGGATTTCGCTGGAAGCGGGAATACATATAAAAAGCACACAGCAGCGTTCTGAGAAACTGCTTTCTGATGTTTGCATTCAAGTCAAAAGTTGAACACTCCCTTTCATAGAGCAGTCTTGAAACACCCCTTTTGTAGTATCTGGAACTGGACTTTTGGAGCGATTTCAGGGCTAAGGTGAAAAAGGAAATATCTTCCCATAAAAACTGGACAGAAGCATTCTCAGAAACTTGTTTATGCTGTATCTACTCAACTAACAAAGTTGAACCTTTCTTTTGATAGAGCAGTTTTGAAATGGTCTTTTTGTGGAATCTGCAAGTGGATATTTGGCTAGTTTTGAGGATTTCGTTGGAAGCGGGAATTCATACAAATTGCAGACTGCAGCGTTCTGAGAAACATCTTTGTGATGTTTGTATTCAGGACACAGAGTTGAACATTCCCTATCATAGAGCAGGTTGGAATCACTCCTTTTGTAGTATCTGGAAGTGGACATTTGGAGCGCTTTCAGGCCTATTTTGGAAAGGGAAATATCTTCCCGTAACAACTATGCAGAAGCATTCTCAGAAACTTGTTTGTGATGTGTGCCCTCTACTGACAGAGTTGAACCTTTCTTTTCATAGAGCAGTTTTGAAACACTCTTTTTGTAGAATCTGCAAGAGGATATTTGCATAGCTTTGAGGATTTCGTGGGAAACGGGATTGTCTTCAGGTAAAATCTAGACAGAAGCATTCTCAGAAACTTCTTTGGGATGTTTGCATTCAAGTCACAGAGTAGAACATTCCCTTTGGTAGAGCAGGTTTGAAACACTCTTTTTGTAGTATCTGGAAGTGGACATTTGGAGCGCTTTCAGGCCCATGTTGGAAAGGGAAATATCTTCCCGTAACAACTAGGCAGAAGCATTCTCAGAAACTTATTTGAGATGTGTGTACTCAACTAAGAGAATTGAACCACCGTTTTGAAGGAGCAGTTTTGAAACACTCTTTTTCTGGAATCTGCAAGAGTATATTTGCCTAGCCTTGAGGATTTCGTTGGAAACGGGATTGTCTTCAGAGAAAATCTAGACAGAAGCATTCTCAGAAACTTCTTTGGGATGTTTGCATTCAAGTCACAGAGTAGAACATTCCCTTTGGTAGAGCAGGTTTGAAACACTCTTTTTGTAGTATCTGGAAGTGGACATTTGGAGCGCTTTCAGGCCTACGTTGGAAAAGGAAATATCTTCCCATAACAACTAGACAGAAGCATTCTCAGAAACTAGTTTCTGATGTGTGTCCTCAACTAACACAGTTGAACATTTCTTTAGACAGAACAGTTTTGAAACACTCTTTTTGTGGAATCTGCAAGTGGCTATTTGGCTAGATTTGAGGATTTCGTTGGAAACGGGATTACATATAAAAAGCAGTCAGCAGCATTCTCAGAAAGTTCTTTGTGATGATTGCATTCAAGTCACAGAATTGAACATTCCCTTTCACAGAGCAGGTTTGAAACACTCTTTTTGTAGTGTGTGTAAGTGGACATTTGGAGCACTTACCGGCCTAAGGTGAAAAAGGAAATATCTTCCCATAAAAACTAGACAGAAGCATTCTCAGAAACTTACTCGTGATGTGTGTCCTCAACTAAAGGAGTAGAACCTTTCTTTTCATAGAGAAGTTTTGAAACGCTCTTTTTGTGGAATCTGCAAGTGGATATTTGGCTAGTTTTGAGGATTTCGTTGGAAGCGGGAATTCATACAAATTGCAGACTGCAGCGTTCTGAGAAACATCTTTGTGATGTTTGTATTCAGGACACAGAGTTGAACATTCCCTATCATAGAGCAGGTTTGAATCACTCCTTTTGTAGTATCCGGAAGTGGACATTTGGAGCGCTTTCAGGCCTATGTTGGAAAAGGAAATATCTTCCCATAACAACTAGACAGAAGCATTCTCAGAAACTTATTTGAGATGTGTGTACTCAACTAAGAGAATTGAACCACCGTTTTGAAGGAGCAGTTTTGAAACACTCTTTTTCTGGAATCTGCAAGTGGATATTTGGCTAGCTTTGGGGATTTCGCTGGAAGCGGGAATACATATAAAAAGCACACAGCAGCGTTCTGAGAAACTGCTTTCTGATGTTTGCATTCAAGTCAAAAGTTGAACACTCCCTTTCATAGAGCAGTCCTGAAACACTCCTTTTGTAGTATCTGGAACTGGACTTTTGGAGCGCTTTCAGGGCTAAGGTGAAAAAGGAAATATCTTCCCATAAAAACTGGACAGAAGCATTCTCAGAAACTTGTTTATGCTGTATCTACTCAACTAACAAAGTTGAACCTTTCTTTTGATAGAGCAGTTTTGAAATGCTCTTTTTGTGGAATCTGCAAGTGGATATTTGGCTAGTTTTGAGGATTTCGCTGGAAGCGGGAATTCATACAAATTGCAGACTGCAGCGTTCTGAGAAACTGCTTTCTGATGTTTGCATTCAAGTCAAAAGTTGAACACTCCCTTTCATAGTGCTGTCCTGAAACACTCCTTTTGTAGTATCTGGAACTGGACTTTTGGAGCGCTTTCTGGCCTATGTTGAAAAAGGAAATATCTTCCCATAACAACTAGACACAAGCATTCTCAGAAACTTGTTTGTGATGTGTGCCCTCTACTGACAGAGTTGAACCTTTCTTTTCATAGAGCAGTTTTGAAATGCTCTTTTTGTGGAATCTGCAAGTGGATATTTGGCTAGTTTTGAGGATTTCGTTGGAAGCGGGAATTCATACAAATTGCAGACTGCAGCGTTCTGAGAAACATCTTTGTGATGTTTGTATTCAGGACAGAGAGTTGAACATTCCCTATCATAGAGCAGGTTGGAATCACTCCTTTTGTAGTATCTGGAAGTGGACATTTGGAGCGCTTTCAGGCCTATGTTGAAAAAGGAAATATCTTCCCATAACAACTAGACACAAGCATTCTCAGAAACTTGTTTGTGATGTGTGCCCTCTACTGACAGAGTTGAACCTTTCTTTTCATAGAGCAGTTTTGAAACACTCTTTTTGTAGAATCTGCAAGAGGATATTTGCATAGCTTTGAGGATTTCGTGGGAAACGGGATTGTCTTCAGGTAAAATCTAGACAGAAGCATTCTCAGAAACTTCTTTGGGATGTTTGCATTCAAGTCACAGAGCAGAACATTCCCTTTGGTAGAGCAGGTTTGAAACACTCTTTTTGTAGTATCTGGAAGTGGACATTTGGAGCGCTTTCAGGCCTATGTTGGAAAGGGAAATATCTTCCCGTAACAACTAGGCAGAAGCATTCTCAGAAACTTATTTGAGATGTGTGTACTCAACTAAGAGAATTGAACCACCGTTTTGAAGGAGCAGTTTTGAAACACTCTTTTTCTGGAATCTGCAAGAGGATATTTGCCTAGCCTTGAGGATTTCGTTGGAAACGGGATTGTCTTCAGATCAAATCTAGACAGAAGCATTCTCAGAAACTTCTTTGGGATGTTTGCATTCAAGTCACAGAGTAGAACATTCCCTTTGGTAGAGCAGGTTTGAAACACTCTTTTTTTAGTATATGGAAGTGGACATTTGGAGCGCTTTCAGGCCTACGTTGGAAAAGGAAATATCTTCCCATAACAACTAGACAGAAGCATTCTCAGAAACTAGTTTCTGATGTGTGTCCTCAACTAACACAGTTGAACATTTCTTTAGACAGAACAGTTTTGAAACACTCTTTTTGTGGAATCTGCAAGTGGCTATTTGGCTAGATTTGAGGATTTCGTTGGAAACGGGATTACATATAAAAAGCAGACAGCAGCATTCTCAGAAAGTTCTTTGTGATGATTGCATTCAAGTCACAGAATTGAACATTCCCTTTCACAGAGCAGGTTTGAAACACTCTTTTTGTAGTGTGTGTAAGTGGACATTTGGAGCACTTTCCGGCCTAAGGTGAAAAAGGAAATATCTTCCCTTAAAAACTAGACAGAAGCATTCTCAGAAACTTACTCGTGATGTGTGTCCTCAACTAAAGGAGTAGAACCTTTCTTTTCATAGAGAAGTTTTGAAACGCTCTTTTTGTGGAATCTGCAAGTGGATATTTGGCTAGTTTTGAGGATTTCGTTGGAAGCGGGAATTCATACAAATTGCAGACTGCAGCGTTCTGAGAAACATCTTTGTGATGTTTGTATTCAGGACAGAGAGTTGAACATTCCCTATCATAGAGCAGGTTGGAATCACTCCTTTTGTAGTATCTGGAAGTGGACATTTGGAGCGCTTTCAGGCCTATGTTGAAAAAGGAAATATCTTCCCATAACAACTAGACACAAGCATTCTCAGAAACTTATTTGAGATGTGTGTACTCAACTAAGAGAATTGAACCACCGTTTTGAAGGAGCAGTTTTGAAACACTCTTTTTCTGGAATCTGCAAGTGGATATTTGGCTAGCTTTGGGGATTTCGCTGGAAGCGGGAATACATATAAAAAGCACACAGCAGCGTTCTGAGAAACTGCTTTCTGATGTTTGCATTCAAGTCAAAAGTTGAACACTCCCTTTCATAGAGCAGTCTTGAAACACCCCTTTTGTAGTATCTGGAACTGGACTTTTGGAGCGATTTCAGGGCTAAGGTGAAAAAGGAAATATCTTCCCATAAAAACTGGACAGAAGCATTCTCAGAAACTTGTTTATGCTGTATCTACTCAGCTAACAAAGTTGAACTTTCTTTTGATAGAGCAGTTTTGAAATGGTCTTTTTGTGGAATCTGCAAGTGGATATTTGGCTAGTTTTGAGGATTTCGTTGGAAGCGGGAATTCATACAAATTGCAGACTGCAGCGTTCTGAGAAACATCTTTGTGATGTTTGTATTCAGGACACAGAGTTGAACATTCCCTATCATAGAGCAGGTTGGAATCACTCCTTTTGTAGTATCTGGAAGTGGACATTTGGAGCGCTTTCAGGCCTATTTTGGAAAGGGAAATATCTTCCCGTAACAACTATGCAGAAGCATTCTCAGAAACTTGTTTGTGATGTGTGCCCTCTACTGACAGAGTTGAACCTTTCTTTTCATAGAGCAGTTTTGAAACACTCTTTTTGTAGAATCTGCAAGAGGATATTTGCATAGCTTTGAGGATTTCGTGGGAAACGGGATTGTCTTCAGGTAAAATCTAGACAGAAGCATTCTCAGAAACTTCTTTGGGATGTTTGCATTCAAGTCACAGAGTAGAACATTCCCTTTGGTAGAGCAGGTTTGAAACACTCTTTTTGTAGTATCTGGAAGTGGACATTTGGAGCGCTTTCAGGCCCATGTTGGAAAGGGAAATATCTTCCCGTAACAACTAGGCAGAAGCATTCTCAGAAACTTATTTGAGATGTGTGTACTCAACTAAGAGAATTGAACCACCGTTTTGAAGGCGCAGTTTTGAAACACTCTTTTTCTGGAATCTGCAAGAGTATATTTGCCTAGCCTTGAGGATTTCGTTGGAAACGGGATTGTCTTCAGATAAAATCTAGACAGAAGCATTCTCAGAAACTTCTTTGGGATGTTTGCATTCAAGTCACAGAGTAGAACATTCCCTTTGGTAGAGCAGATTTGAAACACTCTTTTTTTAGTATATGGAAGTGGACATTTGGAGCGCTTTCAGGCCTACGTTGGAAAAGGAAATATCTTCCCATAACAACTAAACAGAAGCATTCTCAGAAACTAGTTTCTGATGTGTGTCCTCAACTAACACAGTTGAACTTTTCTTTAGACAGAACAGTTTTGAAACACTCTTTTTGTGGAATCTGCAAGTGGCTATTTGGCTAGATTTGAGGATTTCGTTGGAAACGGGATTACATATAAAAAGCAGTCAGCAGCATTCTCAGAAAGTTCTTTGTGATGATTGCATTCAAGTCACAGAATTGAACATTCCCTTTCACAGAGCAGGTTTGAAACACTCTTTTTGTAGTGTGTGTAAGTGGACATTTGGAGCACTTACCGGCCTAAGGTGAAAAAGGAAATATCTTCCCATAAAAACTAGACAGAAGCATTCTCAGAAACTTACTCGTGATGTGTGTCCTCAACTAAAGCAGTAGAACCTTTCTTTTCATAGAGAAGTTTTGAAACGCTCTTTTTGTGGAATCTGCAAGTGGATATTTGGCTAGTTTTGAGGATTTCGTTGGAAGCGGGAATTCATACAAATTGCAGACTGCAGCGTTCTGAGAAACTGCTTTCTGATGTTTGCATTCAAGTCAAAAGTTGAACACTCCCTTTCATAGTGCAGTCCTGAAACACTCCTTTTGTAGTATCTGGAACTGAACTTTTGGAGCGCTTTCAGGGCTAAGGTGAAAAAGGAAATATCTTCCCATAAAAACTGGACAGAAGCATTCTCAGAAACTTATTTGAGATGTGTCTACTCAACTAAGAGAATTGAACCACCGTTTTGAAGGAGCAGTTTTGAAACACTCTTTTTCTGGAATCTGCAAGTGGATATTTGGCTAGCTTTGGGGATTTCGCTGGAAGCGGGAATACATATAAAAAGCACAAAGCAGCGTTCTGAGAAACTGCTTTCTGATGTTTGCATTCAAGTCAAAAGTTGAACACTCCCTTTCATAGAGCAGTCTTGAAACACCCCTTTTGTAGTATCTGGAACTGGACTTTTGGAGCGATTTTAGGGCTAAGGTGAAAAAGGAAATATCTTCCCATAAAAACTGGACAGAAGCATTCTCAGAAACTTGTTTATGCTGTATCTACTCAACTAACAAAGTTGAACCTTTCTTTTGATAGAGCAGTTTTGAAATGGTCTTTTTGTGGAATCTGCAAGTGGATATTTGGCTAGTTTTGAGGATTTCGTTGGAAGCGGGAATTCATACAAATTGCAGACTGCAGCGTTCTGAGAAACATCTTTGTGATGTTTGTATTCAGGACACAGAGTTGAACATTCCCTATCATAGAGCAGGTTGGAATCACTCCTTTTGTAGTATCTGGAAGTGGACATTTGGAGCGCTTTCAGGCCTATTTTGGAAAGGGAAATATCTTCCCGTAACAACTATGCAGAAGCATTCTCAGAAACTTGTTTGTGATGTGTGCCCTCTACTGACAGAGTTGAACCTTTCTTTTCATAGAGCAGTTTTGAAACACTCTTTTTGTAGAATCTGCAAGAGGATATTTGCATAGCTTTGAGGATTTCGTGGGAAACGGGATTGTCTTCAGGTAAAATCTAGACAGAAGCATTCTCAGAAACTTCTTTGGGATGTTTGCATTCAAGTCACAGAGCAGAACATTCCCTTTGGTAGAGCAGGTTTGAAACACTCTTTTTGTAGTATCTGGAAGTGGACATTTGGAGCGCTTTCAGGTCTATGTTGGAAAGGGAAATATCTTCCCGTAACAACTAGGCAGAAGCATTCTCAGAAACTTATTTGAGATGTGTGGACTCAACTAAGAGAATTGAACCACCGTTTTGAAGGAGCAGTTTTGAAACACTCTTTTTCTGGAATCTGCAAGAGGATATTTGCCTAGCCTTGAGGATTTCGTTGGAAACGGGATTGTCTTCAGATCAAATCTAGACAGAAGCATTCTCAGAAACTTCTTTGGGATGTTTGCATTCAAGTCACAGAGTAGAACATTCCCTTTGGTAGAGCAGGTTTGAAACACTCTTTTTTTAGTATATGGAAGTGGACATTTGGAGCGCTTTCAGGCCTACGTTGGAAAAGGAAATATCTTCCCATAACAACTAGACAGAAGCATTCTCAGAAACTAGTTTCTGATGTGTGTCCTCAACTAACACAGTTGAACTTTTCTTTAGACAGAACAGTTTTGAAACACTCTTTTTGTGGAATCTGCAAGTGGATATTGGGCTAGATTTGAGGATTTCGTTGGAAACGGGATTACATATAAAAAACAGTCAGCAGCATTCTCAGAAAGTTCTTTGTGATGATTGCATTCAAGTCACAGAATTGAACATTCCCTTTCACAGAGCAGGTTTGAAACACTCTTTTTGTAGTGTGTGTAAGTGGACATTTGGAGCGCTTTCCGGCCTAAGGTGAAAAAGGACATATCTTCCCATAAAAACTAGACAGAAGCATTCTCAGAAACTTACTCGTGATGTGTGTCCTCAACTAAAGGAGTAGAACCTTTCTATTCATAGAGAAGTTTTGAAACGCTCTTTTTGTGGAATCTCCAAGTGGATATTTGGCTAGTTTTGAGGATTTCGTTGGAAGCGGGAATTCATACAAATTGCAGACTGCAGCGTTCTGAGAAACATCTTTGTGATGTTTGTATTCAGGACACAGAGATGAACATTCCCTATCATAGAGCAGGTTGGAATCACTCCTTTTGTAGTATCTGGAAGTGGACATTTGGAGCGCTTTCAGGCCTATGTTGAAAAAGGAAATATCTTCCCATAACAACTAGACACAAGCATTCTCAGAAACTTGTTTGTGATGTGTGCCCTCTACTGACAGAGTTGAACCTTTCTTTTCATAGAGCAGTTTTGAAACACTCTTTTTGTAGAATCCGCAAGAGGATATTTGCATAGCTTTGAGGATTTCGTGGGAAACGGGATTGTCTTCAGGTAAAATCTAGACAGAAGCATTCTCAGAAACTTCTTTGGGATGTTTGCATTCAAGTCACAGAGTAGAACATTCCCTTTGGTAGAGCAGGTTTGAAACACTCTTTTTGTAGTATCTGGAAGTGGACATTTGGAGCGCTTTCAGGCCCATGTTGGAAAGGGAAATATCTTCCCGTAACAACTAGGCAGAAGCATTCTCAGAAACTTATTTGAGATGTGTGTACTCAACTAAGAGAATTGAACCACCGTTTTGAAGGAGCAGTTTTGAAACACTCTTTTTCTGGAATCTGCAAGAGTATATTTGCCTAGCCTTGAGGATTTCGTTGGAAACGGGATTGTCTTCAGATCAAATCTAGACAGAAGCATTCTCAGAAACTTCTTTGGGATGTTTGCATTCAAGTCACAGAGTAGAACATTCCCTTTGGTAGAGCAGGTTTGAAACACTCTTTTTTTAGTATATGGAAGTGGACATTTGGAGCGCTTTCAGGCCTACGTTGGAAAAGGAAATATCTTCCCATAACAACTAGACAGAAGCATTCTCAGAAACTAGTTTCTGATGTGTGTCCTCAACTAACACAGTTGTACATTTCTTTATACAGAACAGTTTTGAAACACTCTTTTTGTGGAATCTGCAAGTGGATATTGGGCTAGATTTGAGGATTTCGTTGGAAACGGGATTACATATAAAAAGCAGACAGCAGCATTCTCAGAAAGTTCTTTGTGATGATTGCATTCAAGTCACAGAATTGAACATTCCCTTTCACAGAGCAGGTTTGAAACACTCTTTTTGTAGTGTGTGTAAGTGGACATTTGGAGCGCTTTCCGGCCTAAGGTGAAAAAGGAAATATCTTCCCATAAAAACTAGACAGAAGCATTCTCAGAAACTTACTCGTGATGTGTGTCCTCAACTTAAGGAGTAGAACCTTTCTATTCATAGAGAAGTTTTCAAACGCTCTTTTTGTGGAATCTCCAAGTGGATATTTGGCTAGTTTTGAGGATTTCGTTGGAAGCGGGAATTCATACAAATTGCAGACTGCAGCGTTCTGAGAAACATCTTTGTGATGTTTGTATTCAGGACACAGAGATGAACATTCCCTATCATAGAGCAGGTTGGAATCACTCCTTTTGTAGTATCTGGAAGTGGACATTTGGAGCGCTTTCAGGCCTATGTTGAAAAAGGAAATATCTTCCCATAACAACTAGACACAAGCATTCTCAGAAACTTGTTTGTGATGTGTGCCCTCTACTGACAGAGTTGAACCTTTCTTTTCATAGAGCAGTTTTGAAACACTCTTTTATAGAATCCGCAAGAGGATATTTGCATAGCTTTGAGGATTTCGTGGGAAACGGGATTGTCTTCAGGTAAAATCTAGACAGAAGCATTCTCAGAAACTTCTTTGGGATGTTTGCATTCAAGTCACAGAGTAGAACATTCCCTTTGGTAGAGCAGGTTTGAAACACTCTTTTTGTAGTATCTGGAAGTGGACATTTGGAGCGCTTTCAGGCCCATGTTGGAAAGGGAAATATCTTTCCCGTAACAACTAGGCAGAAAGCATTCTCAGAAACTTATTTGAGATGTGTGTACTCAACTAAGTAGCAATTGAACCACCGTTTTGAAGGAGCAGTTTTGAAACACTCTTTTTCTGGAATCTGCAAGAGGATATTTGCCTAGCCTTGAGGATTTCGTTGGAAACGGGATTGTCTTCAGATCAAATCTAGACAGAAGCATTCTCAGAAACTTCTTTGGGATGTTTGCATTCAAGTCACAGAGTAGAACATTCCCTTTGGTAGAGCAGGTTTGAAACACTCTTTTTTTAGTATATGGAAGTGGACATTTGGAGCGCTTTCAGGCCTACGTTGGAAAAGGAAATATCTTCCCATAACAACTAGACAGAAGCATTCTCAGAAACTAGTTTCTGATGTGTGTCCTCAACTAACACAGTTGAACATTTCTTTAGACAGAACAGTTTTGAAACTCTCTTTTTGTGGAATCTGCAAGTGGCTATTTGGCTAGATTTGAGGATTTCGTTGGAAACGGGATTACATATAAAAAGCAGACAGCAGCATTCTCAGAAACTTCTTTGTGATGATTGCATTCAAGTCACAGAATTGAACATTCCCTTTCACAGAGCTGGTTTGAAACACTCTTTTTCTAGTGTGTGTAAGTGGACATTTGGAGCGCTTTCCGGCCTAAGGTGAACAAGGAAATATCTTCCCATAAAAACTAGACAGAAGCATTCTCAGAAACTTACTCGTGATGTGTGTCCTCAACTAAAGGAGTAGAACCTTTCTTTTCATAGAGAAGTTTTGAAACGCTCTTTTTGTGGAATCTGCAAGTGGATATTTGGCTAGTTTGGAGGATTTCGTTGGAAGCGGGAATTCATACAAATTGCAGACTGCAGCGTTCTGAGAAACATCTTTGTGATGTTTGTATTCAGGACACAGAGTTGAAGATTCCCTATCATAGAGCAGGTTGGAATCACTCCTTTTGTAGTATCTGCAAGTGGACATTTGGAGCGCTTTCAGGCCTATGTTGAAAAAGGAAATATCTTCCCATAACAACTAGGCAGAAGCATTCTCAGAAACTTGTTTGTGATGTGTGCCCTCTACTGACACAGTTGAACCTTTCTTTTCATAGAGCACTTTCGAAACACTCTTTTTGTAGAATCTGCAAGAGGATATTTGCATAGCTTTGAGGATTTTGTGGGAAACGGGATTGTCTTCAGGTAAAATCTAGACAGAAGCATTCTCAGAAACTTCTTTGGGATGTTTGCATTCAAGTCACAGAGTAGAACATTCCCTTTGGTAGAGCAGGTTTGAAACACTCTTTTTGTAGTGTGTGTAAGTGGACATTTGGAGCGCTTTCAGGCCTACGTTGGAAAAGGAAATATCTTCCCATAACAACTAGACAGAAGCATTCTCAGAAACTAGTTTGTGATGTGTGTCCTCAACTAACACAGTTGAACATTTCTTTAGACAGAACAGTTTTGAAACACTCTTTTTGTGGATTCTGCAAGTGGATATTTGGCTAGATTTGAGGATTTCGTTGGAAACGGGATTACATATAAAAAGCAGACAGCAGCATTCTCAGAAACTTCTTTGTGATGATTGCATTCAAGTCACAGAATTGAACATTCCCTTTCACAGAGCAGGTTTGAAACACTCTTTTTGTAGTGTGTGTAAGTGGACATTTGGAGCGCTTTCCGGCCTAAGGTGAAGAAGGAAATATCTTCCCATAAAAACTAGACAGAAGCATTCTCAGAAACTTACTCGTGATGTGTGTCCTCAACTAAAGGAGTAGAACCTTTCTTTTCATAGAGAAGTTTTGAAACGCTTTTTTTGTGGACTCTGCAAGTGGATATTTGGCTAGTTTTGAGGATTTCATTGGAAGCGGGAATTCATACAAATTGCAGACTGCAGCGTTCTGAGAAACATCTTTGTGATGTTTGTATTCAGGACACAGAGTTGAACATTCCCTATCATAGAGCAGGTTGGAATCAGTCCTTTTGTGGTATCTGGAAGTGGACATTTGGAGCGCTTTCAGGCATATGTTGAAAAAGGAAATATCTTCCCATAACAACTAGACAGAGGCATTCTCAGAAACTTGTTTGTGATGTGTGCCCTCTACTGACACAGTTGAACCTTTCTTTTCATAGAGCACTTTCGAAACACTCTTTTTGTAGAATCTGCAAGAGGATATTTGCATAGATTTGAGGATTTCGTGGGAAACGGGATTGTCTCCAGGTAAAATCTAGACAGAAGCATTCTCAGAAACTTCTTTGGGATGTTTGCATTCAAGTCAAAGGGTAGAACATTCCCTTTGGTAGAGCAGGTTTCAAACACTCTTTTTGTAGTATCTGGAAGTGGACATTTGAAGCGCTTTCAGGCCTATCTTGGAAAGGGAAATATCTTCCCGTAACAACTAGGCAGAAGCATTCTCAGAAACTTATTTGGGATGTGTGTACTCAACTAAGAGAATTGAACCACCGTTTTGAAGGAGCAGTTTTGAAACACTCTTTTTCTGGAATCTGCAAGAGTATATTTGCCTAGCCTTGAGGATTTCGTTGGAAACGGGATTGTCTTCAGATAAAATCTAGACAGAAGCATTCTCAGAAACTTCTTTGGGATGTTTGCATTCAAGTCACAGAGTAGAACATTCCCTTTGGTAGAGCAGGTTTGAAACACTCTTTTTTTCGTATATGGAAGTGGACATTTGGAGCGCTTTCAGGCCTACGTTGGAAAAGGAAATATCTTCCCATAACAACTAGACAGAAGCATTCTCAGAAACTAGTTTCTGATGTGTGTCCTCAACTAACACAGTTGAACATTTCTTTAGACAGAACAGTTTTGAAACTCTCTTTTTGTGGAATCTGCAAGTGGCTATTTGGCTAGATTTGAGGATTTCGTTGGAAACGGGATTACATATAAAAAGCAGACAGCAGCATTCTCAGAAAGTTCTTTGTGATGATTGCATTCAAGTCACAGAATTGAACATTCCCATTCACAGAGCAGGTTTGAAACACTCTTTTTATAGTGTGTGTAAGTGGACATTTGGAGCACTTTCCGACCTAAGGTGAAAAAGGAAATATCTTCCCATAAAAACTAGACAGAAGCATTCTCAGAAACTTACTCGTGATGTGTGTCCTCAACTAAAGGAGTAGAACCTTTCTTTTCATAGAGAAGTTTTGAAACGCTCTTTTTGTGGAATCTGCAAGTGGATATTTGGCTAGTTTGGAGGATTTCGTTGGAAGCGGGAATTCATACAAATTGCAGACTGCAGCGTTCTGAGTAAACATCTTTGTGATGTTTGTATTCAGGACACAGAGTTGAACATTCCCTATCATCGAGCAGGTTGGAATCACTCCTTTTGTAGTATCTCGAAGTGGACATTTGGAGCGCTTTCAGGCCTATGTTGAAAAAGGAAATATCTTCCTATAACAACTAGGCAGAAGCATTCTCAGAAACTTATTTGAGATGTGTGTACTCAACTAAGAGAATTGAACCACCGATTTGAAGGAGCAGTTTTGAAACACTCTTTTTCTGGAATCTGCAAGTGGATATTTGGCTAGCTTTGGGGATTTCGCTGGAAGCGGGAATACATATAAAAAGCACACAGCAGCGTTCTGAGAAACTGCTTTCTGATGTTTGCATTCAAGTCAAAAGTTGAACACTCCCTTTCATAGAGCAGTCTTGAAACACCCCTTTTGTAGTATCTGGAACTGGACTTTTGGAGCGATTTCAGGGCTAAGGTGAAAAAGGAAATATCTTCCCATAAAAACTGGACAGAAGCATTCTCAGAAACTTGGTTATGCTGTATCTACTCAACTAACAAAGTTGAACCTTTCTTTTGATAGAGCAGTTTTGAAATGGTCTTTTTGTGGAATCTGCAAGTGGATATTTGGCTAGTTTTGAGGATTTCGTTGGAAGCGGGAATTCATACAAATTGCAGACTGCAGCGTTCTGAGAAACATCTTTGTGATGTTTGTATTCAGGACACAGAGTTGAACATTCCCTATCATAGAGCAGGTTGGAATCACTCCTTTTGTAGTATCTGGAAGTGGACATTTGGAGCGCTTTCAGGCCTATTTTGGAAAGGGAAATATCTTCCCGTAACAACTATGCAGAAGCATTCTCAGAAACTTGTTTGTGATGTGTGCCCTCTACTGACAGAGTTGAACCTTTCTTTTCATAGAGCAGTTTTGAAACACTCTTTTTGTAGAATCTGCAAGAGGATATTTGCATAGCTTTGAGGATTTCGTGGGAAACGGGATTGTCTTCAGGTAAAATCTAGACAGAAGCATTCTCAGAAACTTCTTTGGGATGTTTGCATTCAAGTCACAGAGTAGAACATTCCCTTTGGTAGAGCAGGTTTGAAACACTCTTTTTGTAGTATCTGGAAGTGGACATTTGGAGCGCTTTCAGGCCCATGTTGGAAAGGGAAATATCTTCCCGTAACAACTAGGCAGAAGCATTCTCAGAAACTTATTTGAGATGTGTGTACTCAACTAAGAGAATTGAACCACCGTTTTGAAGGAGCAGTTTTGAAACACTCTTTTTCTGGAATCTGCAAGAGTATATTTGCCTAGCCTTGAGGATTTCGTTGGAAACGGGATTGTCTTCAGAGAAAATCTAGACAGAAGCATTCTCAGAAACTTCTTTGGGATGTTTGCATTCAAGTCACAGAGTAGAACATTCCCTTTGGTAGAGCAGGTTTGAAACACTCTTTTTGTAGTATCTGGAAGTGGACATTTGGAGCGCTTTCAGGCCTACGTTGGAAAAGGAAATATCTTCCCATAACAACTAGACAGAAGCATTCTCAGAAACTAGTTTCTGATGTGTGTCCTCAACTAACACAGTTGAACATTTCTTTAGACAGAACAGTTTTGAAACACTCTTTTTGTGGAATCTGCAAGTGGCTATTTGGCTAGATTTGAGGATTTCGTTGGAAACGGGATTACATATAAAAAGCAGTCAGCAGCATTCTCAGAAAGTTCTTTGTGATGATTGCATTCAAGTCACAGAATTGAACATTCCCTTTCACAGAGCAGGTTTGAAACACTCTTTTTGTAGTGTGTGTAAGTGGACATTTGGAGCACTTACCGGCCTAAGGTGAAAAAGGAAATATCTTCCCATAAAAACTAGACAGAAGCATTCTCAGAAACTTACTCGTGATGTGTGTCCTCAACTAAAGGAGTAGAACCTTTCTTTTCATAGAGAAGTTTTGAAACACTCTTTTTGTGGAATCTGCAAGTGGATATTTGGCTAGTTTTGAGGATTTCGTTGGAAGCGGGAATTCATACAAATTGCAGACTGCAGCGTTCTGAGAAACATCTTTGTGATGTTTGTATTCAGGACACAGAGTTGAACATTCCCTATCATAGAGCAGGTTTGAATCACTCCTTTTGTAGTATCTGGAAGTGGACATTTGGAGCGCTTTCAGGCCTATGTTGGAAAAGGAAATATCTTCCCATAACAACTAGACAGAAGCATTCTCAGAAACTTATTTGAGATGTGTGTACTCAACTAAGAGAATTGAACCACCGTTTTGAAGGAGCAGTTTTGAAACACTCTTTTTCTGGAATCTGCAAGTGGATATTTGGCTAGCTTTGGGGATTTCGCTGGAAGCGGGAATACATATAAAAAGCACACAGCAGCGTTCTGAGAAACTGCTTTCTGATGTTTGCATTCAAGTCAAAAGTTGAACACTCCCTTTCATAGAGCAGTCTTGAAACACCCCTTTTGTAGTATCTGGAACTGGACTTTTGGAGCGATTTCAGGGCTAAGGTGAAAAAGGAAATATCTTCCCATACAAACTGGACAGAAGCATTCTCAGAAACTTGTTTATGCTGTATCTACTCAACTAACAAAGTTGAACCTTTCTTTTGATAGAGCAGTTTTGAAATGGTCTTTTTGTGGAATCTGCAAGTGGATATTTGGCTAGTTTTGAGGATTTCGTTGGAAGCGGGAATTCATACAAATTGCAGACTGCAGCGTTCTGAGAAACATCTTTGTGATGTTTGTATTCAGGACACAGAGTTGAACATTCCCTATCATAGAGCAGGTTGGAATCACTCCTTTTGTAGTATCTGGAAGTGGACATTTGGAGCGCTTTCAGGCCTATTTTGGAAAGGGAAATATGTTCCCGTAACAACTATGCAGAAGCATTCTCAGAAACTTGTTTGTGATGTGTGCCCTCTACTGACAGAGTTGAACCTTTCTTTTCATAGAGCAGTTTTGAAACACTCTTTTTGTAGAATCTGCAAGAGGATATTTGCATAGCTTTGAGGATTTCGTGGGAAACGGGATTGTCTTCAGGTAAAATCTAGACAGAAGCATTCTCAGAAACTTCTTTGGGATGTTTGCATTCAAGTCACAGAGTAGAACATTCCCTTTGGTAGAGCAGGTTTGAAACACTCTTTTTTTAGTATATGGAAGTGGACATTTGGAGCGCTTTCAGGCCTACGTTGGAAAAGGAAATATCTTCCCATAACAACTAGACAGAAGCATTCTCAGAAACTAGTTTCTGATGTGTGTCCTCAACTAACACAGTTGTACATTTCTTTAGACAGAACAGTTTTGAAACACTCTTTTTGTGGAATCTGCAAGTGGATATTGGGCTAGATTTGAGGATTTCGTTGGAAACGGGATTACATATAAAAAGCAGACAGCAGAATTCTCAGAAAGTTCTTTGTGATGATTGCATTCAAGTCACAGAATTGAACATTCCCTTTCACAGAGCAGGTTTGAAACACTCTTTTTGTAGTGTGTGTAAGTGGACATTTGGAGCGCTTTCCGGCCTAAGGTGAAAAAGGAAATATCTTCCCATAAAAACTAGACAGAAGCATTCTCAGAAACTTACTCGTGATGTGTGTCCTCAACTAAAGGAGTAGAACCTTTCTATTCATAGAGAAGTTTTGAAACGCTCTTTTTGTGGAATCTCCAAGTGGATATTTGGCTAGTTTTGAGGATTTCGTTGGAAGCGGGAATTCATACAAATTGCAGACTGCAGCGTTCTGAGAAACATCTTTGTGATGTTTGTATTCAGGACACAGAGATGAACATTCCCTATCATAGAGCAGGTTGGAATCACTCCTTTTGTAGTATCTGGAAGTGGACATTTGGAGCGCTTTCAGGCCTATGTTGAAAAAGGAAATATCTTCCCATAACAACTAGACACAAGCATTCTCAGAAACTTGTTTGTGATGTGTGCCCTCTACTGACAGAGTTGAACCTTTCTTTTCATAGAGCAGTTTTGAAACACTCTTTTTGTAGAATCTGCAAGAGGATATTTGCATAGCTTTGAGGATTTCGTGGGAAACGGGATTGTCTTCAGGTAAAATCTAGACAGAAGCATTCTCAGAAACTTCTTTGGGATGTTTGCATTCAAGTCACAGAGTAGAACATTCCCTTTGGTAGAGCAGGTTTGAAACCCTCTTTTTGTAGTATCTGGAAGTGGACATTTGGAGCGCTTTCAGGCCCATGTTGGAAAGGGAAATATCTTCCCGTAACAACTAGGCAGAAGCATTCTCAGAAACTTATTTGAGATGTGTGTACTCAACTAAGAGAATTTAACCAACGTTTTGAAGGAGCAGTTTTGAAACACTCTTTTTCTGGAATCTGCAAGAGTATATTTGCCTAGCCTTGAGAATTTCGTTGGAAACGGGATTGTCTTCAGATAAAATCTAGACAGAAGCATTCTCAGAAACTTCTTTGGGATGTTTGCATTCAAGTCACAGAGTAGAACATTCCCTTTGGTAGAGCAGGTTTGAAACACTCTTTTTTTAGTATATGGAAGTGGACATTTGGAGCGCTTTCAGGCCTACGTTGGAAAAGGAAATATCTTCCCATAACAACTAGACAGAAGCATTCTCAGAAACTAGTTTCTGATGTGTGTCCTCAACTAACACAGTTGAACTTTTCTTTAGACAGAACAGTTTTGAAACACTCTTTTTGTGGAATCTGCAAGTGGATATTTGGCTAGATTTGAGGATTTCGTTGGAAACGGGATTACATATAAAAAGCAGACAGCAGCATTCTCAGAAAGTTCTTTGTGATGATTGCATTCAAGTCACAGAATTGAACATTCCCTTTCACAGAGCAGGTTTGAAACACTCTTTTTGTAGTGTGTGTAAGTGGACATTTGGAGCGCTTTCCGGCCTAAGGTGAAAAAGGAAATATCTTCCCATAAAAACTAGACAGAAGCATTCTCAGAAACTTACTCGTGATGTGTGTCCTCAACTAAAGGAGTAGAACCTTTCTTTTCATAGAGAAGTTTTGAAACGCTCTTTTTGTGGAATCTGCAAGTGGATATTTGGCTAGTTTTGAGGATTTCGTTGGAAGCGGGAATTCATACAAATTGCAGACTGCAGCGTTCTGAGAAACATCTTTGTGATGTTTGTATTCAGGACACAGAGTTGAACATTCCCTATCATAGAGCAGGTTTGAATCACTCCTTTTGTAGTATCTGGAAGTGGACATTTGGAGCGCTTTCAGGCCTATGTTGGAAAAGGAAATATCTTCCCATAACAACTAGACAGAAGCATTCTCAGAAACTTATTTGAGATGTGTGTACTCAACTAAGAGAATTGAACCACCGTTTTGAAGGAGCAGTTTTGAAACTCTCTTTTTCTGGAATCTGCAAGTGGATATTTGGCTAGCTTTGGGGATTTCGCTGGAAGCGGGAATACATATAAAAAGCACACAGCAGCGTTCTGAGAAACTGCTTTCTGATGTTTGCATTCAAGTCAAAAGTTGAACACTCCCTTTCATAGAGCAGTCTTGAAACACCCCTTTTGTAGTATCTGGAACTGGACTTTTGGAGCGATTTCAGGGCTAAGGTGAAAAAGGAAATATCTTACCATAAAAACTGGACAGAAGCATTCTCAGAAACTTGGTTATGCTGTATCTACTCAACTAACAAAGTTGAACCTTTCTTTTGATAGAGCAGTTTTGAAATGGTCTTTTTGTGGAATCTGCAAGTGGATATTTGGCTAGTTTTGAGGATTTCGTTGGAAGCGGGAATTCATACAAATTGCAGACTGCAGCGTTCTGAGAAACATCTTTGTGATGTTTGTATTCAGGACACAGAGTTGAACATTCCCTATCATAGAGCAGGTTGGAATCACTCCTTTTGTAGTATCTGGAAGTGGACATTTGGAGCGCTTTCAGGCCTATTTTGGAAAGGGAAATATCTTCCCGTAACAACTATGCAGAAGCATTCTCAGAAACTTGTTTGTGATGTGTGCCCTCTACTGACAGAGTTGAACCTTTCTTTTCATAGAGCAGTTTTGAAACACTCTTTTTGTAGAATCTGCAAGAGGATATTTGCATAGCTTTGAGGATTTCGTGGGAAACGGGATTGTCTTCAGGTAAAATCTAGACAGAAGCATTCTCAGAAACTTCTTTGGGATGTTTGCATTCAAGTCACAGAGTAGAACATTCCCTTTGGTAGAGCAGGTTTGAAACACTCTTTTTGTAGTATCTGGAAGTGGACATTTGGAGCGCTTTCAGGCCCATGTTGGAAAGGGAAATATCTTCCCGTAACAACTAGGCAGAAGCATTCTCAGAAACTTATTTGAGATGTGTGTACTCAACTAAGAGAATTGAACCACCGTTTTGAAGGAGCAGTTTTGAAACACTCTTTTTCTGGAATCTGCAAGAGTATATTTGCCTAGCCTTGAGGATTTCGTTGGAAACGGGATTGTCTTCAGAGAAAATCTAGACAGAAGCATTCTCAGAAACTTCTTTGGGATGTTTGCATTCAAGTCACAGAGTAGAACATTCCCTTTGGTAGAGCAGGTTTGAAACACTCTTTTTGTAGTATCTGGAAGTGGACATTTGGAGCGCTTTCAGGCCTACGTTGGAAAAGGAAATATCTTCCCATAACAACTAGACAGAAGCATTCTCAGAAACTAGTTTCTGATGTGTGTCCTCAACTAACACAGTTGAACATTTCTTTAGACAGAACAGTTTTGAAACACTCTTTTTGTGGAATCTGCAAGTGGCTATTTGGCTAGATTTGAGGATTTCGTTGGAAACGGGATTACATATAAAAAGCAGTCAGCAGCATTCTCAGAAAGTTCTTTGTGATGATTGCATTCAAGTCACAGAATTGAACATTCCCTTTCACAGAGCAGGTTTGAAACACTCTTTTTGTAGTGTGTGTAAGTGGACATTTGGAGCACTTACCGGCCTAAGGTGAAAAAGGAAATATCTTCCCATAAAAACTAGACAGAAGCATTCTCAGAAACTTACTCGTGATGTGTGTCCTCAACTAAAGGAGTAGAACCTTTCTTTTCATAGAGAAGTTTTGAAACGCTCTTTTTGTGGAATCTGCAAGTGGATATTTGGCTAGTTTTGAGGATTTCGTTGGAAGCGGGAATTCATACAAATTGCAGACTGCAGCGTTCTGAGAAACATCTTTGTGATGTTTGTATTCAGGACACAGAGTTGAACATTCCCTATCATAGAGCAGGTTGGAATCACTCCTTTTGTAGTATCTGGAAGTGGACATTTGGAGCGCTTTCAGGCCTATGTTGGAAAAGGAAATATCTTCCCATAACAACTAGACAGAAGCATTCTCAGAAACTTATTTGAGATGTGTGTACTCAACTAAGAGAATTGAACCACCGTTTTGAAGGAGCAGTTTTGAAACTCTCTTTTTCTGGAATCTGCAAGTGGATATTTGGCTAGCTTTGGGGATTTCGCTGGAAGCGGGAATACATATAAAAAGCACACAGCCAGCGTTCTGAGCAAACTGCTTTCTGATGTTTGCATTCAAGTCAAAAGTTGAACACTCCCTTTCATAGAGCAGTCTTGAAACACCCCTTTTGTAGTATCTGGAACTGGACTTTTGGAGCGATTTCAGGGCTAAGGTGAAAAAGGAAATATCTTCCCATAAAAACTGGACAGAAGCATTCTCAGAAACTTGGTTATGCTGTATCTACTCAACTAACAAAGTTGAACCTTTCTTTTGATAGAGCAGTTTTGAAATGGTCTTTTTGTGGAATCTGCAAGTGGATATTTGGCTAGTTTTGAGGATTTCGTTGGAAGCGGGAATTCATACAAATTGCAGACTGCAGCGTTCTGAGAAACATCTTTGTGATGTTTGTATTCAGGACACAGAGTTGAACATTCCCTATCATAGAGCAGGTTGGAATCACTCCTTTTGTAGTATCTGGAAGTGGACATTTGGAGCGCTTTCAGGCCTATTTTGGAAAGGGAAATATCTTCCCGTAACAACTATGCAGAAGCATTCTCAGAAACTTGTTTGTGATGTGTGCCCTCTACTGACAGAGTTGAACCTTTCTTTTCATAGAGCAGTTTTGAAACACTCTTTTTGTAGAATCTGCAAGAGGATATTTGCATAGCTTTGAGGATTTCGTGGGAAACGGGATTGTCTTCAGGTAAAATCTAGACAGAAGCATTCTCAGAAACTTCTTTGGGATGTTTGCATTCAAGTCACAGAGTAGAACATTCCCTTTGGTAGAGCAGGTTTGAAACACTCTTTTTGTAGTATCTGGAAGTGGACATTTGGAGCGCTTTCAGGCCCATGTTGGAAAGGGAAATATCTTCCCGTAACAACTAGGCAGAAGCATTCTCAGAAACTTATTTGAGATGTGTGTACTCAACTAAGAGAATTGAACCACCGTTTTGAAGGAGCAGTTTTGAAACACTCTTTTTCTGGAATCTGCAAGAGTATATTTGCCTAGCCTTGAGGATTTCGTTGGAAACGGGATTGTCTTCAGAGAAAATCTAGACAGAAGTATTCTCAGAAACTTCTTTGGGATGTTTGCATTCAAGTCACAGAGTAGAACATTCCCTTTGGTAGAGCAGGTTTGAAACACTCTTTTTGTAGTATCTGGAAGTGGACATTTGGAGCGCTTTCAGGCCTACGTTGGAAAAGGAAATATCTTCCCATAACAACTAGACAGAAGCATTCTCAGAAACTAGTTTCTGATGTGTGTCCTCAACTAACACAGTTGAACATTTCTTTAGACAGAACAGTTTTGAAACACTCTTTTTGTGGAATCTGCAAGTGGCTATTTGGCTAGATTTGAGGATTTCGTTGGAAACGGGATTACATATAAAAAGCAGTCAGCAGCATTCTCAGAAAGTTCTTTGTGATGATTGCATTCAAGTCACAGAATTGAACATTCCCTTTCACAGAGCAGGTTTGAAACACTCTTTTTGTAGTGTGTGTAAGTGGACATTTGGAGCACTTACCGGCCTAAGGTGAAAAAGGAAATATCTTCCCATAAAAACTAGACAGAAGCATTCTCAGAAACTTACTCGTGATGTGTGTCCTCAACTAAAGGAGTAGAACCTTTCTTTTCA
Organism: Homo sapiens; assembly: GCF_000001405.40. NCBI lineage: Eukaryota > Metazoa > Chordata > Mammalia > Primates > Hominidae > Homo > Homo sapiens. The sequence continues at coordinate 16,629,532 of NC_000018.10, forward strand.
TAGAGAAGTTTTGAAACGCTCTTTTTGTGGAATCTGCAAGTGGATATTTGGCTAGTTTTGAGGATTTCGTTGGAAGCGGGAATTCATACAAATTGCAGACTGCAGCGTTCTGAGAAACATCTTTGTGATGTTTGTATTCAGGACACAGAGTTGAACATTCCCTATCATAGAGCAGGTTTGAATCACTCCTTTTGTAGTATCTGGAAGTGGACATTTGGAGCGCTTTCAGGCCTATGTTGGAAAAGGAAATATCTTCCCATAACAACTAGACAGAAGCATTCTCAGAAACTTATTTGAGATGTGTGTACTCAACTAAGAGAATTGAACCACCGTTTTGAAGGAGCAGTTTTGAAACTCTCTTTTTCTGGAATCTGCAAGTGGATATTTGGCTAGCTTTGGGGATTTCGCTGGAAGCGGGAATACATATAAAAAGCACACAGCAGCGTTCTGAGAAACTGCTTTCTGATGTTTGCATTCAAGTCAAAAGTTGAACACTCCCTTTCATAGAGCAGTCCTGAAACACCCCTTTTGTAGTATCTGGAACTGGACTTTTGGAGCGATTTCAGGGCTAAGGTGAAAAAGGAAATATCTTCCCATAAAAACTGGACAGAAGCATTCTCAGAAACTTGTTTATGCTGTATCTACTCAACTAACAAAGTTGAACCTTTCTTTTGATAGAGCAGTTTTGAAATGGTCTTTTTGTGGAATCTGCAAGTGGATATTTGGCTAGTTTTGAGGATTTCGTTGGAAGCGGGAATTCATACAAATTGCAGACTGCAGCGTTCTGAGAAACATCTTTGTGATGTTTGTATTCAGGACACAGAGTTGAACATTCCCTATCATAGAGCAGGTTGGAATCACTCCTTTTGTAGTATCTGGAAGTGGACATTTGGAGCGCTTTCAGGCCTATTTTGGAAAGGGAAATATCTTCCCGTAACAACTATGCAGAAGCATTCTCAGAAACTTGTTTGTGATGTGTGCCCTCTACTGACAGAGTTGAACCTTTCTTTTCATAGAGCAGTTTTGAAACACTCTTTTTGTAGAATCTGCAAGAGGATATTTGCATAGCTTTGAGGATTTCGTGGGAAACGGGATTGTCTTCAGGTAAAATCTAGACAGAAGCATTCTCAGAAACTTCTTTGGGATGTTTGCATTCAAGTCACAGAGTAGAACATTCCCTTTGGTAGAGCAGGTTTGAAACACTCTTTTTGTAGTATCTGGAAGTGGACATTTGGAGCGCTTCAGGCCCATGTTGGAAAGGGAAATATCTTCCCGTAACAACTAGGCAGAAGCATTCTCAGAAACTTATTTGAGATGTGTGTACTCAACTAAGAGAATTGAACCACCGTTTTGAAGGAGCAGTTTTGAAACACTCTTTTTCTGGAATCTGCAAGAGTATATTTGCCTAGCCTTGAGGATTTCGTTGGAAACGGGATTGTCTTCAGAGAAAATCTAGACAGAAGCATTCTCAGAAACTTCTTTGGGATGTTTGCATTCAAGTCACAGAGTAGAACATTCCCTTTGGTAGAGCAGGTTTGAAACACTCTTTTTTTAGTATATGGAAGTGGACATTTGGAGCGCTTTCAGGCCTACGTTGGAAAAGGAAATATCTTCCCATAACAACTAGACAGACAAGCATTCTCAGAAACTAGTTTCTGATGTGTGTCCTCAACTAACACAGTTGAACATTTCTTTAGACAGAACAGTTTTGAAACACTCTTTTTGTGGAATCTGCAAGTGGCTATTTGGCTAGATTTGAGGATTTCGTTGGAAACGGGATTACATATAAAAAGCAGTCAGCAGCATTCTCAGAAAGTTCTTTGTGATGATTGCATTCAAGTCACAGAATTGAACATTCCCTTTCACAGAGCAGGTTTGAAACACTCTTTTTGTAGTGTGTGTAAGTGGACATTTGGAGCACTTACCGGCCTAAGGTGAAAAAGGAAATAATCTTCCCATAAAAACTAGACAGAAGCATTCTCAGAAACTTACTCGTGATGTGTGTCCTCAACTAAAGGAGTAGAACCTTTCTTTTCATAGAGAAGTTTTGAAACGCTCTTTTTGTGGAATCTGCAAGTGGATATTTGGCTAGTTTTGAGGATTTCGTTGGAAGCGGGAATTCATACAAATTGCAGACTGCAGCGTTCTGAGAAACATCTTTGTGATGTTTGTATTCAGGACACAGAGTTGAACATTCCCTATCATAGAGCAGGTTTGAATCACTCCTTTTGTAGTATCTGGAAGTGGACATTTGGAGCGCTTTCAGGCCTATGTTGGAAAAGGAAATATCTTCCCATAACAACTAGACAGAAGCATTCTCAGAAACTTATTTGAGATGTGTGTACTCAACTAAGAGAATTGAACCACCGTTTTGAAGGAGCAGTTTTGAAACTCTCTTTTTCTGGAATCTGCAAGTGGATATTTGGCTAGCTTTGGGGATTTCGCTGGAAGCGGGAATACATATAAAAAGCACACAGCAGCGTTCTGAGAAACTGCTTTCTGATGTTTGCATTCAAGTCAAAAGTTGAACACTCCCTTTCATAGAGCAGTCTTGAAACACCCCTTTTGTAGTATCTGGAACTGGACTTTTGGAGCGATTTCAGGGCTAAGGTGAAAAAGGAAATATCTTCCCATAAAAACTGGACAGAAGCATTCTCAGAAACTTGTTTATGCTGTATCTACTCAACTAACAAAGTTGAACCTTTCTTTTGATAGAGCAGTTTTGAAATGGTCTTTTTGTGGAATCTGCAAGTGGATATTTGGCTAGTTTTGAGGATTTCGTTGGAAGCGGGAATTCATACAAATTGCAGACTGCAGCGTTCTGAGAAACATCTTTGTGATGTTTGTATTCAGGACACAGAGTTGAACATTCCCTATCATAGAGCAGGTTGGAATCACTCCTTTTGTAGTATCTGGAAGTGGACATTTGGAGCGCTTTCAGGCCTATTTTGGAAAGGGAAATATCTTCCCGTAACAACTATGCAGAAGCATTCTCAGAAACTTGTTTGTGATGTGTGCCCTCTACTGACAGAGTTGAACCTTTCTTTTCATAGAGCAGTTTTGAAACACTCTTTTTGTAGAATCTGCAAGAGGATATTTGCATAGCTTTGAGGATTTCGTGGGAAACGGGATTGTCTTCAGGTAAAATCTAGACAGAAGCATTCTCAGAAACTTCTTTGGGATGTTTGCATTCAAGTCACAGAGTAGAACATTCCCTTTGGTAGAGCAGGTTTGAAACACTCTTTTTGTAGTATCTGGAAGTGGACATTTGGAGCGCTTTCAGGCCTATGTTGGAAAGGGAAATATCTTCCCGTAACAACTAGGCAGAAGCATTCTCAGAAACTTATTTGAGATGTGTGTACTCAACTAAGAGAATTGAACCACCGTTTTGAAGGAGCAGTTTTGAAACACTCTTTTTCTGGAATCTGCAAGAGGATATTTGCCTAGCCTTGAGGATTTCGTTGGAAACGGGATTGTCTTCAGATCAAATCTAGACAGAAGCATTCTCAGAAACTTCTTTGGGATGTTTGCATTCAAGTCACAGAGTAGAACATTCCCTTTGGTAGAGCAGGTTTGAAACCCTCTTTTTTTAGTATATGGAAGTGGACATTTGGAGCGCTTTCAGGCCTACGTTGGAAAAGGAAATATCTTCCCATAACAACTAGACAGAAGCATTCTCAGAAACTAGTTTCTGATGTGTGTCCTCAACTAACACAGTTGAACATTTCTTTAGACAGAACAGTTTTGAAACACTCTTTTTGTGGAATCTACAAGTGGCTATTTGGCTAGATTTGAGGATTTCGTTGGAAACGGGATTACATATAAAAAGCAGACAGCAGCATTCTCAGAAAGTTCTTTGTGATGATTGCATTCAAGTCACAGAATTGAACATTCCCTTTCACAGAGCAGGTTTGAAACACTCTTTTTGTAGTGTGTGTAAGTGGACATTTGGAGCACTTTCCGGCCTAAGGTGAAAAAGGAAATATCTTCCCATAAAAACTAGACAGAAGCATTCTCAGAAACTTACTCGTGATGTGTGTCCTCAACTAAAGGAGTAGAACCTTTCTTTTCATAGAGAAGTTTTGAAACGCTCTTTTTGTGGAATCTGCAAGTGGATATTTGGCTAGTTTTGAGGATTTCGTTGGAAGCGGGAATTCATACAAATTGCAGACTGCAGCGTTCTGAGAAACATCTTTGTGATGTTTGTATTCAGGACACAGAGTTGAACATTCCCTATCATAGAGCAGGTTTGAATCACTCCTTTTGTAGTATCTGGAAGTGGACATTTGGAGCGCTTTCAGGCCTATGTTGGAAAAGGAAATATCTTCCCATAACAACTAGACAGAAGCATTCTCAGAAACTTATTTGAGATGTGTGTACTCAACTAAGAGAATTGAACCACCGTTTTGAAGGAGCAGTTTTGAAACACTCTTTTTCTGGAATCTGCAAGTGGCTATTTGGCTAGCTTTGGGGATTTCGCTGGAAGCGGGAATACATATAAAAAGCACACAGCAGCGTTCTGAGAAACTGCTTTCTGATGTTTGCATTCAAGTCAAAAGTTGAACACTCCCTTTCATAGAGCAGTCCTGAAACACTCCTTTTGTAGTATCTGGAACTGGACTTTTGGAGCGCTTTCATGGCTAAGTTGAAAAAGGAAATATCTTCCCATAAAAACTGGACAGAAGCATTCTCAGAAACTTGTTTATGCTGTATCTACTCAACTAACAAAGTTGAACCTTTCTTTTGATAGAGCAGTTTTGAAATGCTCTTTTTGTGGAATCTGCAAGTGGATATTTGGCTAGTTTTGAGGATTTCGTTGGAAGCGGGAATTCATACAAATTGCAGACTGCAGCGTTCTGAGAAACATCTTTGTGATGTTTGTATTCAGGACACAGTGATGAACATTCCCTATCATAGAGCAGGTTGGAATCACTCCTTTTGTAGTATCTGGAAGTGGACTTTTGGAGCGCTTTCAGGCCTATGTTGAAAAAGGAAATATCTTCCCATAACAACTAGACACAAGCATTCTCAGAAACTTGTTTGTGATGTGTGCCCTCTACTGACAGAGTTGAACCTTTCTTTTCATAGAGCAGTTTTGAAACACTCTTTTATAGAATCCGCAAGAGGATATTTGCATAGCTTTGAGGATTTCGTGGGAAACGGGATTGTCTTCAGGTAAAATCTAGACAGAAGCATTCTCAGAAACTTCTTTGGGATGTTTGCATTCAAGTCACAGAGTAGAACATTCCCTTTGGTAGAGCAGGTTTGAAACACTCTTTTTGTAGTATCTGGAAGTGGACACTTGGAGCGCTTTCAGACCCATGTTGGAAAGGGAAATATCTTCCCGTAACAACTAGGCAGAAGCATTCTCAGAAACTTATTTGAGATGTGTGTACTCAACTAAGAGAATTGAACCACCGTTTTGAAGGAGCAGTTTTGAAACCCTCTTTTTCTGGAATCTGCAAGAGTATATTTGCCTAGCCTTGAGGATTTCGTTGGAAACGGGATTGTCTTCAGATAAAATCTAGACAGAAGCATTCTCAGAAACTTCTTTGGGATGTTTGCATTCAAGTCACAGAGTAGAACATTCCCTTTGGTAGAGCAGGTTTGAAACACTCTTTTTTTAGTATATGGAAGTGGACATTTGGAGCGCTTTCAGGCCTACGTTGGAAAAGGAAATATCTTCCCATAACAACTAGACAGAAAGCATTCTCAGAAACTAGTTTCTGATGTGTGTCCTCAACTAACACAGTTGAACTTTTCTTTAGACAGAACAGTTTTGAAACACTCTTTTTGTGGAATCTGCAAGTGGATATTTGGCTAGATTTGAGGATTTCGTTGGAAACGGGATTACATATAAAAAGCAGACAGCAGCATTCTCAGAAAGTTCTTTGTGATGATTGCATTCAAGTCACAGAATTGAACATTCCCTTTCACAGAGCAGGTTTGAAACACTCTTTTTGTAGTGTGTGTAAGTGGACATTTGGAGCGCTTTCCGGCCTAAGGTGAAAAAGGAAATATCTTCCCATAAAAACTAGACAGAAGCATTCTCAGAAACTTACTCGTGATGTGTGTCCTCAACTAAAGGTGTAGAACCTTTCTTTTCATAGAGAAGTTTTGAAACGCTCTTTTTGTGGAATCTGCAAGTGGATATTTGGCTAGTTTGGAGGATTTCGTTGGAAGCGGGAATTCATACAAATTGCAGACTGCAGCGTTCTGAGTAAACATCTTTGTGATGTTTGTATTCAGGACACAGAGTTGAACATTCCCTATCATAGAGCAGGTTGGAATCACTCCTTTTGTAGTATCTGGAAGTGGACATTTGGAGCGCTTTCAGGCCTATGTTGGAAAAGGAAATATCTTCCCATAACAACTAGACAGAAGCATTCTCAGAAACTTGTTTGTGATGTGTGCCCTCTACTGACAGAGTTGAACCTTTCTTTTCATAGAGCAGTTTTGAAACACTCTTTTTGTAGAATCTGCAAGAGGATATTTGCATAGCTTTGAGGATTTCGTGGGAAACGGGATTGTCTTCAGGTAAAATCTAGACAGAAGCATTCTCAGAAACTTCTTTGGGATGTTTACATTCAAGTCACAGAGTAGAACATTCCCTTTGGTAGAGCAGGTTTGAAACCCTCTTTTTGTAGTATCTGGAAGTGGACATTTGGAGCGCTTTCTGGCCCATGTTGCAAAGGGAAATATCTTCCCGTAACAACTAGGCAGAAGCATTCTCAGAAACTTATTTGAGATGTGTGTACTCAACTAAGAGAATTGAACCACCGTTTTGAAGGAGCAGTTTTGAAACACTCTTTTTCTGGAATCTGCAAGAGTATATTTGCCTAGCCTTGAGGATTTCGTTGGAAACGGGATTGTCTTCAGAGAAAATCTAGACAGAAGCATTCTCAGAAACTTCTTTGGGATGTTTGCATTCAAGTCACAGAGTAGAACATTCCCTTTGGTAGAGCAGGTTTGAAACACTCTTTTTTTAGTATATGGAAGTGGACATTTGGAGCGCTTTCAGGCCTACGTTGGAAAAGGAAATATCTTCCCATAACAACTAGACAGAAGCATTCTCAGAAACTAGTTTCTGATGTGTGTCCTCAACTAACACAGTTGAACATTTCTTTAGACAGAACAGTTTTGAAACACTCTTTTTGTGGAATCTGCAAGTGGCTATTTGGCTAGATTTGAGGATTTCGTTGGAAACGGGATTACATATAAAAAGCAGTCAGCAGCATTCTCAGAAAGTTCTTTGTGATGATTGCATTCAAGTCACAGAATTGAACATTCCCTTTCACAGAGCAGGTTTGAAACACTCTTTTTGTAGTGTGTGTAAGTGGACATTTGGAGCACTTACCGGCCTAAGGTGAAAAAGGAAATATCTTCCCATAAAAACTAGACAGAAGCATTCTCAGAAACTTACTCGTGATGTGTGTCCTCAACTAAAGGAGTAGAACCTTTCTTTTCATAGAGAAGTTTTGAAACGCTCTTTTTGTGGAATCTGCAAGTGGATATTTGGCTAGTTTTGAGGATTTCGTTGGAAGCGGGAATTCATACAAATTGCAGACTGCAGCGTTCTGAGAAACATCTTTGTGATGTTTGTATTCAGGACACAGAGTTGAACATTCCCTATCATAGAGCAGGTTGGAATCACTCCTTTTGTAGTATCTGGAAGTGGACATTTGGAGCGCTTTCAGGCCTATGTTGGAAAAGGAAATATCTTCCCATAACAACTAGACAGAAGCATTCTCAGAAACTTATTTGAGATGTGTGTACTCAACTAAGAGAATTGAACCACCGTTTTGAAGGAGCAGTTTTGAAACTCTCTTTTTCTGGAATCTGCAAGTGGATATTTGGCTAGCTTTGGGGATTTCGCTGGAAGCGGGAATACATATAAAAAGCACACAGCAGCGTTCTGAGAAACTGCTTTCTGATGTTTGCATTCAAGTCAAAAGTTGAACACTCCCTTTCATAGAGCAGTCTTGAAACACCCCTTTTGTAGTATCTGGAACTGGACTTTTGGAGCGATTTCAGGGCTAAGGTGAAAAAGGAAATATCTTCCCATAAAAACTGGACAGAAGCATTCTCAGAAACTTGTTTATGCTGTATCTACTCAACTAACAAAGTTGAACCTTTCTTTTGATAGAGCAGTTTTGAAATGGTCTTTTTGTGGAATCTGCAAGTGGATATTTGGCTAGTTTTAAGGATTTCGTTGGAAGCGGGAATTCATACAAATTGCAGACTGCAGCGTTCTGAGAAACATCTTTGTGATGTTTGTATTCAGGACACAGAGTTGAACATTCCCTATCATAGAGCAGGTTGGAATCACTCCTTTTGTAGTATCTGGAAGTGGACATTTGGAGCGCTTTCAGGCCTATTTTGGAAAGGGAAATATCTTCCCGTAACAACTATGCAGAAGCATTCTCAGAAACTTGTTTGTGATGTGTGCCCTCTACTGACAGAGTTGAACCTTTCTTTTCATAGAGCAGTTTTGAAACACTCTTTTTGTAGAATCTGCAAGAGGATATTTGCATAGCTTTGAGGATTTCGTGGGAAACGGGATTGTCTTCAGGTAAAATCTAGACAGAAGCATTCTCAGAAACTTCTTTGGGATGTTTGCATTCAAGTCACAGAGTAGAACATTCCCTTTGGTAGAGCAGGTTTGAAACACTCTTTTTGTAGTATCTGGAAGTGGACATTTGGAGCGCTTTCAGGCCCATGTTGGAAAGGGAAATATCTTCCCGTAACAACTAGGCAGAAGCATTCTCAGAAACTTATTTGAGATGTGTGTACTCAACTAAGAGAATTGAACCACCGTTTTGAAGGAGCAGTTTTGAAACACTCTTTTTCTGGAATCTGCAAGAGTATATTTGCCTAGCCTTGAGGATTTCGTTGGAAACGGGATTGTCTTCAGAGAAAATCTAGACAGAAGCATTCTCAGAAACTTCTTTGGGATGTTTGCATTCAAGTCACAGAGTAGAACATTCCCTTTGGTAGAGCAGGTTTGAAACACTCTTTTTTTAGTATATGGAAGTGGACATTTGGATCGCTTTCAGGCCTACGTTGGAAAAGGAAATATCTTCCCATAACAACTAGACAGAAGCATTCTCAGAAACTAGTTTCTGATGTGTGTCCTCAACTAACACAGTTGAACATTTCTTTAGACAGAACAGTTTTGAAACACTCTTTTTGTGGAATCTGCAAGTGGCTATTTGGCTAGATTTGAGGATTTCGTTGGAAACGGGATTACATATAAAAAGCAGTCAGCAGCATTCTCAGAAAGTTCTTTGTGATGATTGCATTCAAGTCACAGAATTGAACATTCCCTTTCACAGAGCAGGTTTGAAAGACTCTTTTTGTAGTGTGTGTAAGTGGACATTTGGAGCACTTACCGGCCTAAGGTGAAAAAGGAAATATCTTCCCATAAAAACTAGACAGAAGCATTCTCAGAAACTTACTCGTGATGTGTGTCCTCAACTAAAGGAGTAGAACCTTTCTTTTCATAGAGAAGTTTTGAAACGCTCTTTTTGTGGAATCTGCAAGTGGATATTTGGCTAGTTTGGAGGATTTCGTTGGAAGCGGGAATTCATACAAATTGCAGACTGCAGCGTTCTGAGAAACATCTTTGTGATGTTTGTATTCAGGACACAGAGTTGAACATTCCCTATAATAGAGCAGGTTGGAATCACTCCTTTTGTAGTATCTGGAAGTGGACATTTGGAGCGCTTTCAGGCCTATGTTGAAAAAGGAAATATCTTCCCATAACAACTAGACAGAAGCATTCTCAGAAAATTATTTGAGATGTGTGTACTGAACTAAGAGAATTGAACCACCGTTTTGAAGGAGCACTTTTCAAACACTCTTTTTCTGGAATCTGCAAGAGGATATTTGCCTAGCCTTGAGGATTTCGTTGGAAACGGAATTGTCTTCAGATCAAATCTAGACAGAAGCATTCTCAGAAACTTCTTTGGGATGTTTGCATTCAAGTCACAGAGTAGAACATTCCCTTTGGTAGAGCAGGTTTGAAACACTCTTTTTGTAGTGTGTGTAAGTGGACATTTGGAGCGCTTTCTGGCCTACCTTGGAAAAGGAAATATCTTCCCATAACAACTAGACAGAAGCATTCTCAGCAAACTAGTTTCTGATGTGTGTCCTCAACTAACACAGTTGAACATTTCTTTAGACAGAACAGTTTTGAAACACTCTTTTTGTGGAATCTGCAAGTGGCTATTTGGCTAGATTTGAGGATTTCGTTGGAAACGGGATTACATATAAAAAGCAGTCAGCAGCATTCTCAGAAAGTTCTTTGTGATGATTGCATTCAAGTCACAGAATTGAACATTCCCTTTCACAGAGCAGGTTTGAAACACTCTTTTTGTAGTGTGTGTAAGTGGACATTTGGAGCACTTACCGGCCTAAGGTGAAAAAGGAAATATCTTCCCATAAAAACTAGACAGAAGCATTCTCAGAAACTTACTCGTGATGTGTGTCCTCAACTAAAGGAGTAGAACCTTTCTTTTCATAGAGAAGTTTTGAAACGCTCTTTTTGTGGAATCTGCAAGTGGATATTTGGCTAGTTTGGAGGATTTCGTTGGAAGCGGGAATTCATACAAATTGCAGACTGCAGCGTTCTGAGAAACATCTTTGTGATGTTTGTATTCAGGACACAGAGTTGAACATTCCCTATCATAGAGCAGGTTGGAATCACTCCTTTTGTAGTATCTGGAAGTGGACATTTGGAGCGCTTTCAGGCCTATGTTGGAAAAGGAAATATCTTCCCATAACAACTAGACAGAAGCATTCTCAGAAACTTATTTGAGATGTGTGTACTCAACTAAGAGAATTGAACCACCGTTTTGAAGGAGCAGTTTTGAAACACTCTTTTTCTGGAATCTGCAAGTGGATATTTGGCTAGCTTTGGGGATTTCGCTGGAGGCGGGAATACATATAAAAAGCACACAGCAGCGTTCTGAGAAACTGCTTTCTGATGTTTGCATTCAAGTCAAAAGTTGAACACTCCCTTTCATAGAGCAGTCCTGAAACACTCCTTTTGTAGTATCTGGAACTGGACTTTTGGAGCGCTTTCAGGGCTAAGGTGAAAAAGGAAATATCTTCCCATAAAAACTGGACAGAAGCATTCTCAGAAACTTGTTTATGCTGTATCTACTCAACTAACAAAGTTGAACCTTTCTTTTGATAGAGCAGTTTTGAAATGCTCTTTTTGTGGAATCTGCAAGTGGATATTTGGCTAGTTTTGAGGATTTCGTTGGAAGCGGGAATTCATACAAATTGCAGACTGCAGCGTTCTGAGAAACATCTTTGTGATGTTTGTATTCAGGACAGAGAGTTGAACATTCCCTATCATAGAGCAGGTTGGAATCACTCCTTTTGTAGTATCTGGAAGTGGACATTTGGAGCGCTTTCAGGCCTATGTTGAAAAAGGAAATATCTTCCCATAACAACTAGACACAAGCATTCTCAGAAACTTGTTTGTGATGTGTGCCCTCTACTGACACAGTTGAACCTTTCTTTTCATAGAGCAGTTTTGAAACACTCTTTTTGTAGAATCTGCAAGAGGATATTTGCATAGCTTTGAGGATTTCGTGGGAAACGGGATTGTCTTCAGGTAAAATCTAGACAGAAGCATTCTCAGAAACTTCTTTGGGATGTTTGCATTCAAGTCACAGAGTAGAACATTCCCTTTGGTAGAGCAGGTTTGAAACCCTCTTTTTGTAGTATCTGGAAGTGGACATTTGGAGCGCTTTCAGGCCCATGTTGGAAAGGGAAATATCTTCCCGTAACAACTAGGCAGAAGCATTCTCAGAAACTTATTTGAGATGTGTGTACTCAACTAAGAGAATTGAACCACCGTTTTGAAGGAGCAGTTTTGAAACCCTCTTTTTCTGGAATCTGCAAGAGTATATTTGCCTAGCCTTGAGGATTTCGTTGGAAACGGGATTGTCTTCAGATAAAATCTAGATAGATGCATTCTCAGAAACTCCTTTGGGATGTTTGCATTCAAGTCACAGAGTAGAACATTCTCTTTGGTAGAGCAGGTTTGAAACACTCTTTTTTTAGTATCTGGAAGTGGACATTTGGAGCGCTTTCAGGCCTACGTTGGAAAAGGAAATATCTTCCCATAACAACTAGACAGAAGCATTCTCAGAAACTAGTTTCTGATGTGTGTCCTCAACTAACACAGTTGTACATTTCTTTAGACAGAACAGTTTTGAAACACTCTTTTTGTGGAATCTGCAAGTGGATATTGGGCTAGATTTGAGGATTTCGTTGGAAACGGGATTACATATAAAAAGCAGTCAGCAGCATTCTCAGAAAGTTCTTTGTGATGATTGCATTCAAGTCACAGAATTGAACATTCCCTTTCACAGAGCAGGTTTGAAACACTCTTTTTGTAGTGTGTGTAAGTGGACATTTGGAGTGCTTTCCGGCCTAAGGTGAAAAAGGACATATCTTCCCATAAAAACTAGACAGAAGCATTCTCAGAAACTTACTCGTGATGTGTGTCCTCAACTAAAGGAGTAGAACCTTTCTATTCATAGAGAAGTTTTGAAACGCTCTTTTTGTGGAATCTCCAAGTGGATATTTGGCTAGTGTTGAGGATTTCGTTGGAAGCGGGAATTCATACAAATTGCAGACTGCAGCGTTCTGAGAAACATCTTTGTGATGTTTGTATTCAAGACACAGAGATGAACATTCCCTATCATAGAGCATGTTGGAATCACTCCTTTTGTAGTATCTGGAAGTGGACATTTGGAGCGCTTTCAGGCCTATGTTGAAAAAGGAAATATCTTCCCATATCAACTAGACACAAGCGTTCTCAGAAACTTGTTTGTGATGTGTGCCCTCTACTGACAGAGTTGAACCTTTCTTTTCATAGAGCAGTTTTGAAACACTCTTTTTGTAGAATCTGCAAGAGGATATTTGCATAGCTTTGAGGATTTCGTGGGAAACGGGATTGTCTTCAGGTAAAATCTAGACAGAAGCATTCTCAGAAACTTCTTTGGGATGTTTGCATTCAAGTCACAGAGTAGAACATTCCCTTTGGTAGAGCAGGTTTGAAACACTCTTTTTGTAGTATCTGGAAGTGGACATTTGGAGCGCTTTCAGGCCCATGTTGGAAAGGGAAATATCTTCCCGTAACAACTAGGCAGAAGCATTCTCAGAAACTTATTTGAGATGTGTGTACTCAACTAAGAGAATTGAACCACCGTTTTGAAGGAGCAGTTTTGAAACCCTCTTTTTCTGGAATCTGCAAGAGTATATTTGCCTAGCCTTGAGGATTTCGTTGGAAACGGGATTGTCTTCAGATAAAATCTAGACAGAAGCATTCTCAGAAACTTCTTTGGGATGTTTGCATTCAAGTCACAGAGTAGAACATTCCCTTTGGTAGAGCAGGTTTGAAACACTCTTTTTTTAGTATATGGAAGTGGACATTTGGAGCGCTTTCAGGCCTACGTTGGAAAAGGAAATATCTTCCCATAACAACTAGACAGAAGCATTCTCAGAAACTAGTTTCTGATGTGTGTCCTCAACTAACACAGTTGTACATTTCTTTATACAGAACAGTTTTGAAACACTCTTTTTGTGGAATCTGCAAGTGGATATTGGGCTAGATTTGAGGATTTCGTTGGAAACGGGATTACATATAAAAAGCAGACAGCAGCATTCTCAGAAAGTTCTTTGTGATGATTGCATTCAAGTCACAGAATTGAACATTCCCTTTCACAGAGCAGGTTTGAAACACTCTTTTTGTAGTGTGTGTAAGTGGACATTTGGAGCGCTTTCCGGCCTAAGGTGAAAAAGGACATATCTTCCCATAAAAACTAGACAGAAGCATTCTCAGAAACTTACTCGTGATGTGTGTCCTCAACTAAAGGAGTAGAACCTTTCTATTCATAGAGAAGTTTTGAAACGCTCTTTTTGTGGAATCTCCAAGTGGATATTTGGCTAGTTTTGAGGATTTCGTTGGAAGCGGGAATTCATACAAATTGCAGACTGCAGCGTTCTGAGAAACATCTTTGTGATGTTTGTATTCAAGACACAGAGATGAACATTCCCTATCATAGAGCAGGTTGGAATCACTCCTTTTGTAGTATCTGGAAGTGGACATTTGGAGCGCTTTCAGGCCTATGTTGAAAAAGGAAATATCTTCCCATAACAACTAGACAGAAGCATTCTCAGAAACTTGTTTGTGATGTGTGCCCTCTGCTGACAGAGTTGAACCTTTCTTTTCATAGAGCAGTTTTGAAACACTCTTTTTGTAGAATCCGCAAGAGGATATTTGCATAGCTTTGAGGATTTCGTGGGAAATGGGATTGTCTTCAGGTAAAATCTAGACAGAAGCATTCTCAGAAACTTCTTTGGGATGTTTGCATTCAAGTCACAGAGTAGAACATTCCCTTTGGTAGAGCAGGTTTGAAACACTCTTTTTGTAGTATCTGGAAGTGGACATTTGGAGCGCTTTCAGGCCCATGTTGGAAAGGGAAATATCTTCCCGTAACAACTAGGCAGAAGCATTCTCAGAAACTTATTTGAGATGTGTGTACTCAACGAAGAGAATTGAACCACCGTTTTGAAGGAGCAGTTTTGAAACCCTCTTTTTCTGGAATCTGAAAGAGTATATTTGCCTAGCCTTGAGGATTTCGTTGGAAACGGGATTGTCTTCAGATAAAATCTAGACAGAAGCATTCTCAGAAACTTCTTTGGGATGTTTGCATTCAAGTCACAGAGTAGATCATTCCCTTTGGTAGAGCAGGTTTGAAACACTCTTTTTTTAGTATATGGAAGTGGACATTTGGAGCGCTTTCAGGCCTACGTTGGAAAAGGAAATATCTTCCCACAACAACTAGACAGAAGCATTCTCAGAAACTAGTTTCTGATGTGTGTCCTCAACTAACACACTTGTATATTTCTTTAGACAGAACAGTTTTGAAACACTCTTTTTGTGGAATCTGCAAGTGGATATTGGGCTAGATTTGAGGATTTCTTTGGAAACGGGATTACATGTAAAAAGCAGTCAGCAGCATTCTCAGAAAGTTCTTTGTGATGATGGCATTCAAGTCACAGAATTGAACATTCCCTTTCACAGAGCAGGTTTGAAACACTCTTTTTGTAGTGTGTGTAAGTGGACATTTGGAGCGCTTTCCGGCCTAAGGTGAAAAAGGATATATCTTCCCATAAAAACTAGACAGAAGCATTCTCAGAAACTTACTCGTGATGTGTGTCCTCAACTAAAGGAGTAGAACCTTTCTATTCATAGAGAAGTTTTGAAACGCTCTTTTTGTGGAATCTCCAAGTGGATATTTGGCTAGTTTTGAGGATTTCGTTGGAAGCGGGAATTCATACAAATTGCAGACTGCAGCGTTCTGAGAAACATCTTTGTGATGTTTGTATTCAAGACACAGAGATGAACATTCCCTATCATAGAGCATGTTGTAATCAGTCCTTTTGTAGTATCTGGAAGTGGACATTTGGAGCGCTTTCAGGCCTATGTTGAAAAAGGAAATATCTTCCCATAACAACTAGACACAAGCATTCTCAGAAACTTGTTTGTGATGTGTGCCCTCTACTGACAGAGTTGAACCTTTCTTTTCATAGAGCAGTTTTGAAACACTCTTTTTGTAGAATCCGCAAGAGGATATTTGCATAGCTTTGAGGATTTCGTGGGAAACGGGATTGTCTTCAGGTAAAATCTAGACAGAAGCATTCTCAGAAACTTCTTTGGGATGTTTGCATTCAAATCACAGAGTAGAACATTCCCTTTGGTAGAGCAGGTTTGAAACACTCTTTTTGTAGTATCTGGAAGTGGACATTTGGAGCGCTTTCAGGCCCATGTTGGAAAGGGAAATATCTTCCCGTAACAACTAGGCAGAAGCATTCTCAGAAACTTATTTGAGATGTGTGTACTCAACTAAGAGAATTGAACCACCGTTTTGAAGGAGCAGTTTTGAAACACTCTTTTTCTGGAATCTGCAAGAGTATATTTGCCTAGCCTTGAGGATTTCGTTGGAAACGGGATTGTCTTCAGATAAAATCTAGACAGAAGCATTCTCAGAAACTTCTTTGGGATGTTTGCATTCAAGTCACAGAGTAGAACATTCCCTTTGGTAGAGCAGGTTTGAAACACTCTTTTTTTAGTATATGGAAGTGGACATTTGGAGCGCTTTCAGGCCTACGTTGGAAAAGGAAATATCTTCCCATAACAACTAGACAGAAGCATTCTCAGAAACTAGTTTCTGATGTGTGTCCTCAACTAACACAGTTGTACATTTCCTTAGACAGAACAGTTTTGAAACACTCTTTTTGTGGAATCTGCAAGTGGATATTGGGCTAGATTTGAGGATTTCGTTGGAAACGGGATTACATATAAAAAGCAGTCAGCAGCATTCTCAGAAAGTTCTTTGTGATGATTGCATTCAAGTCACAGAATTGAACATTCCCTTTCACAGAGCAGGTTTGAAACACTCTTTTTGTAGTGTGTGTAAGTGGACATTTGGAGCGCTTTCCGGCCTAAGGTGAAAAAGGACATATCTTCCCATAAAAACTAGACAGAAGCATTCTCAGAAACTTACTCGTGATGTGTGTCCTCAACTAAAGGAGTAGAACATTTCTATTCATAGAGAAGTTTTGAAACGCTCTTTTTGTGGAATCTCCAAGTGGATATTTGGCTAGTTTTGAGGATTTCGTTGGAAGCGGGAATTCATACAAATTGCAGACTGCAGCGTTCTGAGAAACATCTTTGTGATGTTTGTATTCAGGACACAGAGATGAACATTCCCTATCATAGAGCAGGTTGGAATCACTCCTTTTGTAGTATCTGGAAGTGGACATTTGGAGCGCTTTCAGGCCTATGTTGAAAAAGGAAATATCTTCCCATAACAACTAGACACAAGCATTCTCAGAAACTTGTTTGTGATGTGTGCCCTCTACTGACAGAGTTGAACCTTTCTTTTCATAGAGCAGTTTTGAAACACTCTTTTTGTAGAATCTGCAAGAGGATATTTGCATAGCTTTGAGGATTTCGTGGGAAACGGGATTGTCTTCAGGTAAAATCTAGACAGAAGCATTCTCAGAAACTTCTTTGGGATGTTTGCATTCAAGTCACAGAGTAGAACATTCCCTTTGGTAGAGCAGGTTTGAAACCCTCTTTTTGTAGTATCTGGAAGTGGACATTCGGAGCGCTATCAGGCCCATGTTGGAAAGGGAAATATCTTCCCGTAACAACTAGGCAGAAGCATTCTCAGAAACTTATTTGAGATGTGTGTACTCAACTAAGAGAATTGAACCACCGTTTTGAAGGAGCAGTTTTGAAACACTCTTTTTCTGGAATCTGCAAGAGTATATTTGCCTAGCCTTGAGGATTTCGTTGGAAACGGGATTGTCTTCAGATAAAATCTAGACAGAAGCATTCTCAGAAACTTCTTTGGGATGTTTGCATTCAAGTCACAGAGTAGAACATTCCCTTTGGTAGAGCAGGTTTGAAACACTCTTTTTTTAGTATATGGAAGTGGACATTTGGAGCGCTTTCAGGCCTACGTTGGAAAAGGAAATATCTTCCCATAACAACTAGACAGAAGCATTCTCAGAAACTAGTTTGTGATGTGTGTCCTCAACTAACACAGTTGTACATTTCTTTAGACAGAACAGTTTTGAAACACTCTTTTTGTGGAATCTGCAAGTGGATATTGGGCTAGATTTGAGTATTTCGTTGGAAACGGGATTACATATAAAAAGCAGTCAGCAGCATTCTCAGAAAGTTCTTTGTGATGATTGCATTCAAGTCACAGAATTGAACATTCCCTTTCACAGAGCAGGTTTGAAACACTCTTTTTGTAGTGTGTGTAAGTGGACATTTGGAGCGCTTTCCGGCCTAAGGTGAAAAAGGACATATCTTCCCATAAAAACTAGACAGAAGCATTCTCAGAAACTTACTCGTGATGTGTGTCCTCAACTAAAGGAGTAGAACCTTTCTATTCATAGAGAAGTTTTGAAACGCTCTTTTTGTGGAATCTCCAAGTGGATATTTGGCTAGTGTTGAGGATTTCGTTGGAAGCGGGAATTCATACAAATTGCAGACTGCAGCGTTCTGAGAAACATCTTTGTGATGTTTGTATTCAGGACACAGAGATGAACATTCCCTATCATAGAGCAGGTTGGAATCACTCCTTTTGTAGTATCTGGAAGTGGACATTTGGAGCGCTTTCAGGCCTATGTTGAAAAAGGAAATATCTTCCCATAACAACTAGACACAAGCATTCTCAGAAACTTGTTTGTGATGTGTGCCCTCTACTGACAGAGTTGAACCTTTCTTTTCATAGAGCAGTTTTGAGACACTCTTTTTGTAGAATCCGCAAGAGGATATTTGCATAGCTTTGAGGATTTCGTGGGAAACGGGATTGTCTTCAGGTAAAATCTAGACAGAAGCATTCTCAGAAACTTCTTTGGGATGTTTGCATTCAAGTCACAGAGTAGAACATTCCCTTTGGTAGAGCAGGTTTGAAACACTCTTTTTGTAGTATCTGGAAGTGGACATTTGGAGCGCTTTCAGGCCCATGTTGGAAAGGGAAATATCTTCCCGTAACAACTAGGCAGAAGCATTCTCAGAAACTTATTTGAGATGTGTGTACTCAACGAAGAGAATTGAACCACCGTTTTGAAGGAGCAGTTTTGAAACCCTCTTTTTCTGGAATCTGCAAGAGTATATTTGCCTAGCCTTGAGGATTTCGTTGGAAACGGGATTGTCTTCAGATAAAATCTAGACAGAAGCATTCTCAGAAACTTCTTTGGGATGTTTGCATTCAAGTCACAGAGTAGAACATTCCCTTTGGTAGAGCAGGTTTGAAACACTCTTTTTTTAGTATATGGAAGTGGACATTTGGAGCGCTTTCAGGCCTACGTTGGAAAAGGAAATATCTTCCCATAACAACTAGACAGAAGCATTCTCAGAAACTAGTTTCTGATGTGTGTCCTCAACTAACACAGTTGTACATTTCTTTAGACAGAACAGTTTTGAAACACTCTTTTTGTGGAATCTGCAAGTGGATACTGGGCTAGATTTGAGGATTTCGTTGGAAACGGGATTACATATAAAAAGCAGTCAGCAGCATTCTCAGAAAGTTCTTTGTGATGATTGCATTCAAGTCACAGAATTGAACATTCCCTTTCACAGAGCAGGTTTGAAACACTCTTTTTGTAGTGTGTGTAAGTGGATATTTGGAGTGCTTTCCGGCCTAAGGTGAAAAAGGACATATCTTCCCATAAAAACTAGACAGAAGCATTCTCAGAAACTTACTCGTGATGTGTGTCCTCAACTAAAGGAGTAGAACCTTTCTATTCATAGAGAAGTTTTGAAACGCTCTTTTTGTGGAATCTCCAAGTGGATATTTGGTTAGTTTTGAGGATTTCGTTGGAAGCGGGAATTCATACAAATTGCAGACTGCAGCGTTCTGAGAAACATCTTTGTGATGTTTGTATTCAAGACACAGAGATGAACATTCCCTATCATAGAGCATGATGGAATCACTCCTTTTGTAGTATCTGGAAGTGGACATTTGGAGCGCTTTCAGGCCTATGTTGAAAAAGGAAATATCTTCCCATAACAACTAGACACAAGCGTTCTCAGAAACTTGTTTGTGATGTGTGCCCTCCACTGACAGAGTTGAACCTTTCTTTTCATAGAGCAGTTTTGAAACACTCTTTTTGTAGAATCTGCAAGAGGATATTTGCATAGCTTTGAGGATTTCGTGGGAAACGGGATTGTCTTCAGGTAAAATCTAGACAGAAGCATTCTCAGAAACTTCTTTGGGATGTTTGCATTCAAGTCACAGAGTAGAACATTCCCTTTGGTAGAGCAGGTTTGAAACACTCTTTTTGTAGTATCTGGAAGTGGACATTTGGAGCGCTTTCAGGCCCATGTTGGAAAGGGAAATATCTTCCCGTAACAACTAGGCAGAAGCATTCTCAGAAACTTATTTGAGATGTGTGTACTCAACTAAGAGAATTGAACCACCGTTTTGAAGGAGCAGTTTTGAAACACTCTTTTTCTGGAATCTGCAAGAGTATATTTGCCTAGCCTTGAGGATTTCGTTGGAAACGGGATTGTCTTCAGAGAAAATCTAGACAGAAGCATTCTCAGAAACTTCTTTGGGATGCTTGCATTCAAGTCACAGAGTAGAACATTCCCTTTGGTAGAGCAGGTTTGAAACACTCTTTTTTTAGTATCTGGAAGTGGACATTTGGAGCGCTTTCAGGCCTACGTTGGAAAAGGAAATATCTTCCCATAACAACTAGACAGAAGCATTCTCAGAAACTAGTTTCTGATGTGTGTCCTCAACTAACACAGTTGAACATTTCTTTAGACAGAACAGTTTTGAAACACTCTTTTTGTGGAATCTGCAAGTGGCTATTTGGCTAGATTTGAGGATTTCGTTGGAAACGGGATTACATATAAAAAGCAGTCAGCGGCATTCTCAGAAAGTTCTTTGTGATGATTGCATTCAAGTCACAGAATTGAACATTCCCTTTCACAGAGCAGGTTTGAAACACTCTTTTTGTAGTGTGTGTAAGTGGACATTTGGAGCACTTACCGGCCTAAGGTGAAAAAGGAAATAATCTTCCCATAAAAACTAGACAGAAGCATTCTCAGAAACTTACTCGTGATGTGTGTCCTCAACTAAAGGAGTAGAACCTTTCTTTTCATAGAGAAGTTTTGAAACGCTCTTTTTGTGGAATCTGCAAGTGGATATTTGGCTAGTTTTGAGGATTTCGTTGGAAGCGGGAATTCATACAAATTGCAGACTGCAGCGTTCTGAGAAACATCTTTGTGATGTTTGTATTCAGGACACAGAGTTGAACATTCCCTATCATAGAGCAGGTTTGAATCACTCCTTTTGTAGTATCTGGAAGTGGACATTTGGAGCGCTTTCAGGCCTATGTTGGAAAAGGAAATATCTTCCCATAACAACTAGACAGAAGCATTCTCAGAAACTTATTTGAGATGTGTGTACTCAACTAAGAGAATTGAACCACCGTTTTGAAGGAGCAGTTTTGAAACTCTCTTTTTCTGGAATCTGCAAGTGGATATTTGGCTAGCTTGGGGATTTCGCTGGAAGCGGGAATACATATAAAAAGCACACAGCAGCGTTCTGAGAAACTGCTTTCTGATGTTTGCATTCAAGTCAAAAGTTGAACACTCCCTTTCATAGAGCAGTCCTGAAACACCCCTTTTGTAGTATCTGGAACTGGACTTTTGGAGCGATTTCAGGGCTAAGGTGAAAAAGGAAATATCTTCCCATAAAAACTGGACAGAAGCATTCTCAGAAACTTGTTTATGCTGTATCTACTCAACTAACAAAGTTGAACCTTTCTTTTGATAGAGCAGTTTTGAAATGGTCTTTTTGTGGAATCTGCAAGTGGATATTTGGCTAGTTTTGAGGATTTCGTTGGAAGCGGGAATTCATACAAATTGCAGACTGCAGCGTTCTGAGAAACATCTTTGTGATGTTTGTATTCAGGACACAGAGTTGAACATTCCCTATCATAGAGCAGGTTGGAATCACTCCTTTTGTAGTATCTGGAAGTGGACATTTGGAGCGCTTTCAGGCCTATTTTGGAAAGGGAAATATCTTCCCGTAACAACTATGCAGAAGCATTCTCAGAAACTTGTTTGTGATGTGTGCCCTCTACTGACAGAGTTGAACCTTTCTTTTCATAGAGCAGTTTTGAAACACTCTTTTTGTAGAATCTGCAAGAGGATATTTGCATAGCTTTGAGGATTTCGTGGGAAACGGGATTGTCTTCAGGTAAAATCTAGACAGAAGCATTCTTAGAAACTTCTTTGGGATGTTTGCATTCAAGTCACAGAGTAGAACATTCCCTTTGGTAGAGCAGGTTTGAAACACTCTTTTTGTAGTATCTGGAAGTGGACATTTGGAGCGCTTTCAGGCCCATGTTGGAAAGGGAAATATCTTCCCGTAACAACTAGGCAGAAGCATTCTCAGAAACTTATTTGAGATGTGTGTACTCAACTAAGAGAATTGAACCACCGTTTTGAAGGAGCAGTTTTGAAACACTCTTTTTCTGGAATCTGCAAGAGTATATTTGCCTAGCCTTGAGGATTTCGTTGGAAACGGGATTGTCTTCAGAGAAAATCTAGACAGAAGCATTCTCAGAAACTTCTTTGGGATGTTTGCATTCAAGTCACAGAGTAGAACATTCCCTTTGGTAGAGCAGGTTTGAAACACTCTTTTTTTAGTATATGGAAGTGGACATTTGGAGCGCTTTCAGGCCTACGTTGGAAAAGGAAATATCTTCCCATAACAACTAGACAGAAGCATTCTCAGAAACTAGTTTCTGATGTGTGTCCTCAACTAACACAGTTGAACATTTCTTTAGACAGAACAGTTTTGAAACACTCTTTTTGTGGAATCTGCAAGTGGCTATTTGGCTAGATTTGAGGATTTCGTTGGAAACGGGATTACATATAAAAAGCAGACAGCAGCATTCTCAGAAAGTTCTTTGTTATGATTGCATTCAAGTCACAGAATTGAACATTCCCTTTCACAGAGCAGGTTTGAAACACTCTTTTTGTAGTGTGTGTAAGTGGACATTTGGAGCACTTTCCGGCCTAAGGTGAAAAAGGAAATATCTTCCCATAAAAACTAGACAGAAGCACTCTCAGAAACTTACTCGTGATGTGTGTCCTCAACTAAAGGAGTAGAACCTTTCTTTTCATAGAGAAGTTTTGAAACGCTCTTTTTGTGGAATCTGCAAGTGGATATTTGGCTAGTTTGGAGGATTTCGTTGGAAGCGGGAATTCATACAAATTGCAGACTGCAGCGTTCTGAGAAACATCTTTGTGATGTTTGTATTCAGGACACAGAGTTGAACATTCCCTATCATAGAGCAGGTTTGAATCACTCCTTTTGTAGTATCTGGAAGTGGACATTTGGAGCGCTTTCAGGCCTATGTTGGAAAAGGAAATATCTTCCCATAACAACTAGACAGAAGCATTCTCAGAAACTTATTTGAGATGTGTGTACTCAACTAAGAGAATTGAACCACCGTTTTGAAGGAGCAGTTTTGAAACACTCTTTTCCTGGAATCTGCAAGTGGATATTTGGCTAGCTTTGGGGATTTCGCTGGAAGCGGGAATACATATAAAAAGCACACAGCAGCGTTCTGAGAAACTGCTTTCTGATGTTTGCATTCAAGTCAAAAGTTGAACACTCCCTTTCATAGAGCAGTCCTGAAACACTCCTTTTGTAGTATCTGGAACTGGACTTTTGGAGCGCTTTCAGGGCTAAGGTGAAAAAGGAAATATCTTCCCATAAAAACTGGACAGAAGCATTCTCAGAAACTTGTTTATGCTGTATCTACTCAACTAACAAAGTTGAACCTTTCTTTTGATAGAGCAGTTTTGAAATGCTCTTTTTGTGGAATCTGCAAGTGGATATTTGGCTAGTTTTGAGGATTTCGTTGGAAGCGGGAATTCATACAAATTGCAGACTGCAGCGTTCTGAGAAACATCTTTGTGATGTTTGTATTCAGGACAGAGAGTTGAACATTCCCTATCATAGAGCAGGTTGGAATCACTCCTTTTGTAGTATCTGGAAGTGGACATTTGGAGCGCTTTCAGGCCTATGTTGAAAAAGGAAATATCTTCCCATAACAACTAGACACAAGCATTCTCAGAAACTTGTTTGTGATGTGTGCCCTCTACTGACAGAGTTGAACCTTTCTTTTCATAGAGCAGTTTTGAAACACTCTTTTTGTAGAATCTGCAAGAGGATATTTGCATAGCTTTGAGGATTTCGTGGGAAACGGGATTGTCTTCAGGTAAAATCTAGACAGAAGCATTCTCAGAAACTTCTTTGGGATGTTTGCATTCAAGTCACAGAGTAGAACATTCCCTTTGGTAGAGCAGGTTTGAAACACTCTTTTTGTAGTATCTGGAAGTGGACATTTGGAGCGCTTTCAGGCCTATGTTGGAAAGGGAAATATCTTCCCGTAACAACTAGGCAGAAGCATTCTCAGAAACTTATTTGAGATGTGTGTACTCAACTAAGAGAATTGAACCACCGTTTTGAAGGAGCAGTTTTGAAACACTCTTTTTCTGGAATCTGCAAGAGGATATTTGCATAGATTTGAGGATTTCGTTGGAAACGGGATTGTCTTCAGATCCAATCTAGACAGAAGCATTCTCAGAAACTTCTTTGGGATGTTTGCATTCAAGTCACAGAGTAGAACATTCCCTTTGGTAGAGCAGGTTTGAAACACTCTTTTTTTAGTATATGGAAGTGGACATTTGGAGCGCTTTCAGGCCTACGTTGGAAAAGGAAATATCTTCCCATAACAACTAGACAGAAGCATTCTCAGAAACTAGTTTCTGATGTGTGTCCTCAACTAACACAGTTGAACATTTCTTTAGACAGAACAGTTTTGAAACACTCTCTTTGTGGAATCTGCAAGTGGATATTTGGCTAGATTTGAGGATTTCGTTGGAAACGGGATTACATATAAAAAGCAGACAGCAGCATTCTCAGAAAGTTCTTTGTGATGATTGCATTCAAGTCACAGAATTGAACATTCCCTTTCACAGAGCAGGTGTGAAACACTCTTTTTGTAGTGTGTGTAAGTGGACATTTGGAGCGCTTTCCGGCCTAAGGTGAACAAGGAAATATCTTCCCATAAAAACTAGACAGAAGCATTCTCAGAAACTTACTCGTGATGTGTGTCCTCAACTAAAGGAGTAGAACCTTTCTTTTCATAGAGAAGTTTTGAAACGCTCTTTTTGTGGAATCTGCAAGTGGATATTTGGCTAGTTTTGAGGATTTCGTTGGAAGCGGGAATTCATACAAATTGCAGACTGCAGCGTTCTGAGAAACATCTTTGTGATGTTTGTATTCAGGACACAGAGTTGAACATTCCCTATCATAGAGCAGGTTTGAATCACTCCTTTTGTAGTATCTGGAAGTGGACATTTGGAGCGCTTTCCGGCCTCAGGTGAAAAAGGAAATATCTTCCCATAAAAACTAGACAGAAGCATTCTCAGAAACTTACTCGTGATGTGTGTCCTCAACTAAAGGGGTAGAACCTTTCTTTTCATAGAGCAGTTTTGAAACACTCTTTTTGTAGAATCTGCAAGTGGATATTTCGATAGCTTTGTGGATTTCGTTGGAAACGGGAATATCTTCATATAAAATCTAGAGAGAAGCATTCTCAGAAACTTGTTTATGCTGTATCTACTCAACTAACAAAGTTGAACCTTTCTTTTGATAGAGCAGTTTTGAAATGCTCTTTTTGTGGAATCTGCAAGTGGATATTTGGCTAGTTTTGAGGATTTCGTTGGAAGCGGGAATTCATACAAATTGCAGACTGCAGCGTTCTGAGAAACATCTTTGTGATGTTTGTATTCAGGACACAGAGTTGAACATTCCCTATCATAGAGCTGGTTGGAATCACTCCTTTTGTAGTATCTGGAAGTGGACATTTGGAGCGCTTTCTGGCCTATGTTGAAAAAGGAAATATCTTCCCATAACAACTAGACACAAGCATTCTCAGAAACTTGTTTGTGATGTGTGCCCTCTACTGACAGAGTTGAACCTTTCTTTTCATAGAGCAGTTTTGAAACACTCTTTTTGTAGAATCTGCAAGAGGATATTTGCATAGCTTTGAGGATTTCGTGGGAAACGGGATTGTCTTCAGGTAAAATCTAGACAGAAGCATTCTCAGAAACTTCTTTGGGATGTTTGCATTCAACTCACAGAGTAGAACATTCCCTTTGGTAGAGTAGGTTTGAAACACTCTTTTTGTAGTATCTGGAAGTGGACATTTGGAGCGCTTTCAGGCCTATGTTGGAAAGGGAAATATCTTCCCGTAAGAACTAGGCAGAAGCATTCTCAGAAACTTATTTGAGATGTGTGTATTCAACTAAGAGAATTGAACCACCGTTTTGAAGGAGCAGTTTTGAAACACTCTTTTTCTGGAATCTGCAAGTGGATATTTGGCTAGATTTGAGGATTTCGTTGGAAACGGGATTACATATAAAAAGCAGACAGCAGCAGTCTCAGAAAGTTCTTTTTGATGATTGCATTTAAGTCACAGAATTGAACATTCCCTTTCACAGAGCAGGTTTGAAACACTCTTTTTGTAGTGTGTGTAAGTGGACATTTGGAGCGCTTTCCGGCCTAAGGTGAAAAAGGAAATATCTTCCCATAAAAACTAGACAGAAGCATTCTCAGAAACTTACTCGTGATGTGTGTCCTCAACTAAAGGTGTAGAACCTTTCTTTTCATAGAGAAGTTTTGAAACTCTCTTTTTGTGGAATCTGCAAGTGGATATTTGGCTAGTTTTTATGATTTCGTTGGAAGCGGGAATTCATACAAATTGCAGACTGCAGCGTTCTGAGAAACATCTTTGTGATGTTTGTATTCAGGACACAGAGTTGAACATTCCCTATCATAGAGCAGGTTGGAATCACTCCTTTTGTAGTATCTGGAAGTGGACATTTGGAGCGCTTTCAGGCCTATGTTGGAAAAGGAAATATCTTCCCATAACAACTAGACAGAAGCATTCTCAGAAACTAGTTTCTGATGTGTGTCCTCAACTAACACAGTTGAACATTTCTTTAGACAGAACAGTTTTGAAACACTCTTTTTGTGGAATCTGCAAGTGGCTATTTGGCTAGATTTGAGGATTTCGTTGGAAACGGGATTACATATAAAAAGCAGACAGCAGCATTCTCAGAAAGTTCTTTGTGATGATTGCATTCAAGTCACAGAATTGAACATTCCCTTTCACAGAGCAGGTTTGAAACACTCTTTTTGTAGTGTGTGTAAGTGGACATTTGGAGCACTTTCCGGCCTAAGGTGAAAAAGGAAATATCTTCCCATAAAAACTAGACAGAAGCACTCTCAGAAACTTACTCGTGATGTGTGTCCTCAACTAAAGGAGTAGAACCTTTCTTTTCATAGAGAAGTTTTGAAACGCTCTTTTTGTGGAATCTGCAAGTGGATATTTGGCTAGTTTGGAGGATTTCCTTGGAAGCGGGAATTCATACAAATTGCAGACTGCAGCGTTCTGAGAAACATCTTTGTGATGTTTGTATTCAGGACACAGAGTTGAACATTCCCTATCATAGAGCAGGTTGGAATCACTCCTTTTGTAGTATCTGGAAGTGGACATTTGGAGCGCTTTCAGGCCTATGTTGGAAAAGGAAATATCTTCCCATAAACAACTAGACAGAAGCATTCTCAGAAACTTGTTTGTGATGTGTGCCCTCTACTGACACAGTTGAACCTTTCTTTTCATAGAGCAGTTTCGAAACACTCTTTTTGTAGAATCTGCAAGAGGATATTTGCATAGCTTTGAGGATTTCGTGGGAAACGGGATTGTCTTCAGGTAAAATCTAGACAGAAGCATTCTCAGAAACTTCTTTGGGATGTTTGCATTCAAGTCACAGAGTAGAACATTCCCTTTGGTAGAGCAGGTTTGAAACACTCTTTTTGTAGTGTGTGTAAGTGGACATTTGGAGCGCTTTCTGGCCTACGTTGGAAAAGGAAATATCTTCCCATAACAACTAGACAGAAGCATTCTCAGAAACTAGTTTCTGATGTGTGTCCTCAACTAACACAGTTGAACATTTCTTTAGACAGAACAGTTTTGAAACACTCTTTTTGTGGAATCTGCAAGTGGATATTTGGCTACATTTGAGGATTTCGTTGGAAACGGGATTACATATAAAAAGCAGACAGCAGCATTCTCAGAAACTTCTTTGTGATGATTGCATTCAAGTCACAGAATTGAACATTCCTTTTCACAGAGCAGGTTTGAAACACTCTTTTTGTAGTGTGTGTAAGTGGACATTTGGAGCGCTTTCCGGCCTAAGGTGAACAAGGAAATATCTTCCCATAAAAACTAGACAGAAGCATTCTCAGAAAATTACTCGTGATGTGTGTCCTCAACTAAAGGAGTAGAACCTTTCTTTTCATAGAGAAGTTTTGAAACGCTCTTTTTGTGGAATCTGCAAGTGGATATTTGGCTAGTTTGGAGGATTTCGTTGGAAGCGGGAATTCATACAAATTGCAGACTGCAGCGTTCTGAGAAACATCTTTGTGATGTTTGTATTCAGGACACAGAGTTGAACATTCCCTATCATAGAGCAGGTTGGAATCACTCCTTTTGTAGTATCTGGAAGTGGACATTTGGAGCGCTTTCAGGCCTATGTTGGAAAAGGAAATATCTTCCCATAACAACTAGACAGAAGCATTCTCAGAAACTTATTTGAGATGTGTGTACTCAACTAAGAGAATTGAACCACCGTTTTGAAGGAGCAGTTTTGAAACACTCTTTTTCTGGAATCTGCAAGTGGATATTTGGCTAGCTTTGGGGATTTCGCTGGAAGCGGGAATACATATAAAAAGCACACAGCAGCGTTCTGAGAAACTGCTTTCTGATGTTTGCATTCAAGTCAAAAGTTGAACACTCCCTTTCATAGAGCAGTCTTGAAACACCCCTTTTGTAGTATCTGGAACTGGACTTTTGGAGCGATTTCAGGGCTAAGGTGAAAAAGGAAATATCTTCCCATAAAAACTGGACAGAAGCATTCTCAGAAACTTGTTTATGCTGTATCTACTCAACTAACAAAGTTGAACCTTTCTTTTGATAGAGCAGTTTTGAAATGGTCTTTTTGTGGAATCTGCAAGTGGATATTTGGCTAGTTTTGAGGATTTCGTTGGAAGCGGGAATTCATACAAATTGCAGACTGCAGCGTTCTGAGAAACATCTTTGTGATGTTTGTATTCAGGACACAGAGTTGAACATTCCCTATCATAGAGCAGGTTGGAATCACTCCTTTTGTAGTATCTGGAAGTGGACATTTGGAGCGCTTTCAGGCCTATTTTGGAAAGGGAAATATCTTCCCGTAACAACTATGCAGAAGCATTCTCAGAAACTTGTTTGTGATGTGTGCCCTCTACTGACAGAGTTGAACCTTTCTTTTCATAGAGCAGTTTTGAAACACTCTTTTTGTAGAATCTGCAAGAGGATATTTGCATAGCTTTGAGGATTTCGTGGGAAACGGGATTGTCTTCAGGTAAAATCTAGACAGAAGCATTCTCAGAAACTTCTTTGGGATGTTTGCATTCAAGTCACAGAGTAGAACATTCCCTTTGGTAGAGCAGGTTTGAAACACTCTTTTTGTAGTATCTGGAAGTGGACATTTGGAGCGCTTTCAGGCCCATGTTGGAAAGGGAAATATCTTCCCGTAACAACTAGGCAGAAGCATTCTCAGAAACTTATTTGAGATGTGTGTACTCAACTAAGAGAATTGAACCACCGTTTTGAAGGAGCAGTTTTGAAACACTCTTTTTCTGGAATCTGCAAGAGTATATTTGCCTAGCCTTGAGGATTTCGTTGGAAACGGGATTGTCTTCAGAGAAAATCTAGACAGAAGCATTCTCAGAAACTTCTTTGGGATGCTTGCATTCAAGTCACAGAGTAGAACATTCCCTTTGGTAGAGCAGGTTTGAAACACTCTTTTTGTAGTATCTGGAAGTGGACATTTGGAGCGCTTTCAGGCCTACGTTGGAAAAGGAAATATCTTCCCATAACAACTAGACAGAAGCATTCTCAGAAACTAGTTTCTGATGTGTGTCCTCAACTAACACAGTTGAACATTTCTTTAGACAGAACAGTTTTGAAACACTCTTTTTGTGGAATCTGCAAGTGGCTATTTGGCTAGATTTGAGGATTTCGTTGGAAACGGGATTACATATAAAAAGCAGTCAGCGGCATTCTCAGAAAGTTCTTTGTGATGATTGCATTCAAGTCACAGAATTGAACATTCCCTTTCACAGAGCAGGTTTGAAACACTCTTTTTGTAGTGTGTGTAAGTGGACATTTGGAGCACTTACCGGCCTAAGGTGAAAAAGGAAATAATCTTCCCATAAAAACTAGACAGAAGCATTCTCAGAAACTTACTCGTGATGTGTGTCCTCAACTAAAGGAGTAGAACCTTTCTTTTCATAGAGAAGTTTTGAAACGCTCTTTTTGTGGAATCTGCAAGTGGATATTTGGCTAGTTTTGAGGATTTCGTTGGAAGCGGGAATTCATACAAATTGCAGACTGCAGCGTTCTGAGAAACATCTTTGTGATGTTTGTATTCAGGACACAGAGTTGAACATTCCCTATCATAGAGCAGGTTTGAATCACTCCTTTTGTAGTATCTGGAAGTGGACATTTGGAGCGCTTTCAGGCCTATGTTGGAAAAGGAAATATCTTCCCATAACAACTAGACAGAAGCATTCTCAGAAACTTATTTGAGATGTGTGTACTCAACTAAGAGAATTGAACCACCGTTTTGAAGGAGCAGTTTTGAAACTCTCTTTTTCTGGAATCTGCAAGTGGATATTTGGCTAGCTTTGGGGATTTCGCTGGAAGCGGGAATACATATAAAAAGCACACAGCAGCGTTCTGAGAAACTGCTTTCTGATGTTTGCATTCAAGTCAAAAGTTGAACACTCCCTTTCATAGAGCAGTCCTGAAACACCCCTTTTGTAGTATCTGGAACTGGACTTTTGGAGCGATTTCAGGGCTAAGGTGAAAAAGGAAATATCTTCCCATAAAAACTGGACAGAAGCATTCTCAGAAACTTGTTTATGCTGTATCTACTCAACTAACAAAGTTGAACCTTTCTTTTGATAGAGCAGTTTTGAAATGGTCTTTTTGTGGAATCTGCAAGTGGATATTTGGCTAGTTTTGAGGATTTCGTTGGAAGCGGGAATTCATACAAATTGCAGACTGCAGCGTTCTGAGAAACATCTTTGTGATGTTTGTATTCAGGACACAGAGTTGAACATTCCCTATCATAGAGCAGGTTGGAATCACTCCTTTTGTAGTATCTGGAAGTGGACATTTGGAGCGCTTTCAGGCCTATTTTGGAAAGGGAAATATCTTCCCGTAACAACTATGCAGAAGCATTCTCAGAAACTTGTTTGTGATGTGTGCCCTCTACTGACAGAGTTGAACCTTTCTTTTCATAGAGCAGTTTTGAAACACTCTTTTTGTAGAATCTGCAAGAGGATATTTGCATAGCTTTGAGGATTTCGTGGGAAACGGGATTGTCTTCAGGTAAAATCTAGACAGAAGCATTCTCAGAAACTTCTTTGGGATGTTTGCATTCAAGTCACAGAGTAGAACATTCCCTTTGGTAGAGCAGGTTTGAAACACTCTTTTTGTAGTATCTGGAAGTGGACATTTGGAGCGCTTTCAGGCCCATGTTGGAAAGGGAAATATCTTCCCGTAACAACTAGGCAGAAGCATTCTCAGAAACTTATTTGAGATGTGTGTACTCAACTAAGAGAATTGAACCACCGTTTTGAAGGAGCAGTTTTGAAACACTCTTTTTCTGGAATCTGCAAGAGTATATTTGCCTAGCCTTGAGGATTTCGTTGGAAACGGGATTGTCTTCAGATAAAATGCTAGACAGAAGCATTCTCAGAAACTTCTTTGGGATGTTTGCATTCAAGTCACAGAGTAGAACATTCCCTTTGGTAGAGCAGGTTTGAAACACTCTTTTTAGTATATGGAAGTGGACATTTGGAGCGCTTTCAGGCCTACGTTGGAAAAGGAAATATCTTCCCATAACAACTAGACAGAAGCATTCTCAGGAACTAATTTCTGATGTGTGTCCTCAACTAACACAGTTGAACATTTCTTTAGACAGAACAGTTTTGAAACACTCTTTTTGTGGAATCTGCAAGTGGATATTGGGCTAGATTTGAGGATTTCGTTGGAAACGGGATTACGTATAAAAAGCAGTCAGCAGCATTCTCAGAAAGTTCTTTGTGATGATTGCATTCAAGTCACAGAATTGAACATTCCCTTTCATAGAGCAGGTTTGAAACACTCTTTTTGTAGTGTGTGTAAGTGGACATTTGGAGCGCTTTCCGGCCTAAGGTGAAAAAGGACATATCTTCCCATAAAAACTAGACAGAAGCATTCTCAGAAACTTACTCGTGATGTGTGTCTTCAACTAAAGGAGTAGAACCTCTCTATTCATAGAGAAGTTTTGAAACGCTCTTTTTGTGGAATCTCCAAGTGGATATTTGGCTAGTTTTGAGGATTTCGTTGGAAGCGGGAATTCATACAAATTGCAGACTGCAGCGTTCTGAGAAACATCTTTGAAATGTTTGTATTCAAGACACAGAGATGAACATTCCCTATCATAGAGCATGTTGGAATCACTCCTTTTGTAGTATCTGAAAGTGGACATTTGGAGCGCTTTCAGGCCTATGTTGAAAAAGGAAATATCTTCCCATAACAACTAGACACAAGCATTCTCAGAAACCTATTTGAGATGTGTGTACTCAACTAAGAGAATTGAACCACCGTTTTGAAGGAGCAGTTTTGAAACACTCTTTTTCTGGAATCTGCAATTGGATATTTGGCTAGCTTTGGGGATTTCGCTGGAAGCGGGAATACATATAAAAAGCACACAGCAGCGTTCTGAGAAACTGCTTTCTGATGTTTGCATTCAAGTCAAAAGTTGAACACTCCCTTTCATAGAGCAGTCTTGAAACACCCCTTTTGTAGTATCTGGAACTGGACTTTTGGAGCGATTTCAGGGCTAAGGTGAAAAAGGAAATATCTTCCCATAAAAACTGGACAGAAGCATTCTCAGAAACTTGGTTATGCTGTATCTACTCAACTAACAAAGTTGAACCTTTCTTTTGATAGAGCAGTTTTGAAATGGTCTTTTTGTGGAATCTGCAAGTGGATATTTGGCTAGTTTTGAGGATTTCGTTGGAAGCGGGAATTCATACAAATTGCAGACTGCAGCGTTCTGAGAAACATCTTTGTGATGTTTGTATTCAGGACACAGAGAGGAACATTCCCTATCATAGAGCAGGTTGGAATCACTCCTTTTGTAGTATCTGGAAGTGGACATTTGGAGCGCTTTCAGGCCTATGTTGAAAAAGGAAATATCTTCCCATAACAGCTAGACACAAGCATTCTCAGAAACTTGTTTGTGATGTGTGCCCTCTACTGACAGAGTTGAACCTTTCTTTTCATAGAGCAGTTTTGAAACACTCTTTTTGTAGAATCTGCAAGAGGATATTTGCATAGCTTTGAGGATTTCGTGGGAAACGGGATTGTCTTCAGGTAAAATCTAGACAGAAGCATTCTCAGAAACTTCTTTGGGATGTTTGCATTCAAGTCACAGAGTAGAACATTCCCTTTGGTAGAGCAGGTTTGAAACACTCTTTTTGTAGTATCTGGAAGTGGACATTTGGAGCGCTTTCAGGCCCATGTTGGAAAGGGAAATATCTTCCCGTAACAACTAGGCAGAAGCATTCTCAGAAACTTATTTGAGATGTGTGTACTCAACTAAGAGAATTGAACCACCGTTTTGAAGGAGCAGTTTTGAAACACTCTTTTTCTGGAATCTGCAAGAGTATATTTGCCTAGCCTTGAGGATTTCGTTGGAAACGGGATTGTCTTCAGAGAAAATCTAGACAGAAGCATTCTCAGAAACTTCTTTGGGATGTTTGCATTCAAGTCACAGAGTAGAACATTCCCTTTGGTAGAGCAGGTTTGAAACACTCTTTTTTTAGTATATGGAAGTGGACATTTGGAGCGCTTTCAGGCCTACGTTGGAAAAGGAAATATCTTCCCATAACAACTAGACAGAAGCATTCTCAGAAACTAGTTTCTGATGTGTGTCCTCAACTAACACAGTTGAACATTTCTTTAGACAGAACAGTTTTGAAACACTCTTTTTGTGGAATCTGCAAGTGGCTATTTGGCTAGATTTGAGGATTTCGTTGGAAACGGGATTACATATAAAAAGCAGTCAGCAGCATTCTCAGAAAGTTCTTTGTGATGATTGCATTCAAGTCACAGAATTGAACATTCCCTTTCACAGAGCAGGTTTGAAACACTCTTTTTG
This sequence comes from Homo sapiens, assembly GCF_000001405.40. NCBI lineage: Eukaryota > Metazoa > Chordata > Mammalia > Primates > Hominidae > Homo > Homo sapiens. The sequence continues at coordinate 16,663,502 of NC_000018.10, forward strand.
TAGTGTGTGTAAGTGGACATTTGGAGCACTTACCGGCCTAAGGTGAAAAAGGAAATATCTTCCCATAAAAACTAGACAGAAGCATTCTCAGAAACTTACTCGTGATGTGTGTCCTCAACTAAAGGAGTAGAACCTTTCTTTTCATAGAGAAGTTTTGAAACGCTCTTTTTGTGGAATCTGCAAGTGGATATTTGGCTAGTTTTGAGGATTTCGTTGGAAGGGGGAATTCATACAAATTGCAGACTGCAGCGTTCTGAGAAACATCTTTGTGATGTTTTTATTCAGGACACAGAGTTGAACATTCCCTATCATAGAGCAGGTTGGAATCACTCCTTTTGTAGTATCTGGAAGTGGACATTTGGAGCGCTTTCTGCCCTATGTTGGAAAAGGAAATATCTTCCCATCACAACTAGACAGAAGCATTCTCAGAAACTTATTTGAGATGTGTGTACTCAACTAAGAGAATTGAACCACCGTTTTGAAGGAGCAGTTTTGAAACTCTCTTTTTCTGGAATCTGCAAGTGGATATTTGGCTAGCTTTGGGGATTTCGCTGGAAGCGGGAATACATATAAAAAGCACACAGCAGCGTTCTGAGAAACTGCTTTCTGATGTTTGCATTCAAGTCAAAAGTTGAACACTCCCTTTCATAGAGCAGTCCTGAAACACCCCTTTGGTAGTATCTGGAACTGGACTTTTGGAGCGATTTCAGGGCTAAGGTGAAAAAGGAAATATCTTCCCATAAAAACTGGACAGAAGCATTCTCAGAAACTTGTTTATGCTGTATCTACTCAACTAACAAAGTTGAACCTTTCTTTTGATAGAGCAGTTTTGAAATGGTCTTTTTGTGGAATCTGCAAGTGGATATTTGGCTAGTTTTGAGGATTTCGTTGGAAGCGGGAATTCATACAAATTGCAGACTGCAGCGTTCTGAGAAACATCTTTGTGATGTTTGTATTCAGGACACAGAGTTGAACATTCCCTATCATAGAGCAGGTTGGAATCACTCCTTTTGTAGTATCTGGAAGTGGACATTTGGAGCGCTTTCAGGCCTATTTTGGAAAGGGAAATATCTTCCCGTAACAACTATGCAGAAGCATTCTCAGAAACTTGTTTGTGATGTGTGCCCTCTACTGACAGAGTTGAACCTTTCTTTTCATAGAGCAGTTTTGAAACACTCTTTTTGTAGAATCTGCAAGAGGATATTTGCATAGCTTTGAGGATTTCGTGGGAAACGGGATTGTCTTCAGGTAAAATCTAGACAGAAGCATTCTTAGAAACTTCTTTGGGATGTTTGCATTCAAGTCACAGAGTAGAACATTCCCTTTGGTAGAGCAGGTTTGAAACACTCTTTTTGTAGTATCTGGAAGTGGACATTTGGAGCGCTTTCAGGCCCATGTTGGAAAGGGAAATATCTTCCCGTAACAACTAGGCAGAAGCATTCTCAGAAACTTATTTGAGATGTGTGTACTCAACTAAGAGAATTGAACCAACGTTTTGAAGGAGCAGTTTTGAAACACTCTTTTTTCTGGAATCTGCAAAAGGATATTTGCCTAGCTTTGAGGATTTCGTTGGAAACGGGATTGTCTTCAGATAAAATCTAGACAGAAGCATTCTCAGAAACTTTTTTGGGATGTTTGCATTCAAGTCACAGAGTAGAACATTCCCTTTGGTAGAGCAGGTTTGAAACACTCTTTTTTTAGTATATGGAAGTGGACATTTGGAGCGCTTTCAGGCCTACGTTGGAAAAGGAAATATCTTCCCATAACAACTAGACAGAAGCATTCTCAGAAACTAGTTTCTGATGTGTGTCCTCAACTAACACAGTTGAACATTTCTTTAGACAGAACAGTTTTGAAACACTCTTTTTGTGGAATCTGCAAGTGGCTATTTGGCTAGATTTGAGGATTTCGTTGGAAACGGGATTACATATAAAAAGCAGTCAGCAGCATTCTCAGAAAGTTCTTTGTGATGATTGCATTCAAGTCACAGAATTGAACATTCCCTTTCACAGAGCAGGTTTGAAACACTCTTTTTGTAGTGTGTGTAAGTGGACATTTGGAGCACTTACCGGCCTAAGGTGAAAAAGGAAATATCTTCCCATAAAAACTAGACAGAAGCATTCTCAGAAACTTACTCGTGATGTGTGTCCTCAACTAAAGGAGTAGAACCTTTCTTTTCATAGAGAAGTTTTGAGACGCTCTTTTTGTGGAATCTGCAAGTGGATATTTGGCTAGTTTTGAGGATTTCGTTGGAAGCGGGAATTCATACAAATTGCAGACTGCAGCGTTCTGAGAAACATCTTTGTGATGTTTGTATTCAGGACACAGAGTTGAACATTCCCTATCATAGAGCAGGTTGGAATCACTCCTTTTGTAGTATCTGGAAGTGGATATTTGGAGCGCTTTCAGGCCTATGTTGGAAAAGGAAATATCTTCCCATAACAACTAGACAGAAGCATTCTCAGAAACTTATTTGAGATGTGTGTACTCAACTAAGAGAATTGAACCACCGTTTTGAAGGAGCAGTTTTGAAACTCTCTTTTTCTGGAATCTGCAAGTGGATATTTGGCTAGCTTTGGGGATTTCGCTGGAAGCGGGAATACATATAAAAAGCACACAGCAGCGTTCTGAGAAACTGCTTTCTGATGTTTGCATTCAAGTCAAAAGTTGAACACTCCCTTTCATAGAGCAGTCTTGAAACACCCCTTTTGTAGTATCTGGAACTGGACTTTTGGAGCGATTTCAGGGCTAAGGTGAAAAAGGAAATATCTTCCCATAAAAACTGGACAGAAGCATTCTCAGAAACTTGTTTATGCTGTATCTACTCAACTAACAAAGTTGAACCTTTCTTTTGATAGAGCAGTTTTGAAATGGTCTTTTTGTGGAATCTGCAAGTGGATATTTGGCTAGTTTTGAGGATTTCGTTGGAAGCGGGAATTCATACAAATTGCAGACTGCAGCGTTCTGAGAAACATCTTTGTGATGTTTGTATTCAGGACACAGAGTTGAACATTCCCTATCATAGAGCAGGTTGGAATCACTCCTTTTGTAGTATCTGGAAGTGGACATTTGGAGCGCTTTCAGGCCTATTTTGGAAAGGGAAATATCTTCCCGTAACAACTATGCAGAAGCATTCTCAGAAACTTGTTTGTGATGTGTGCCCTCTACTGACAGAGTTGAACCTTTCTTTTCATAGAGCAGTTTTGAAACACTCTTTTTGTAGAATCTGCAAGAGGATATTTGCATAGCTTTGAGGATTTCGTGGGAAACGGGATTGTCTTCAGGTAAAATCTAGACAGAAGCATTCTCAGAAACTTCTTTGGGATGTTTGCATTCATGTCACAGAGTAGAACATTCCCTTTGGTAGAGCAGGTTTGAAACACTCTTTTTGTAGTATCTGGAAGTGGACATTTGGAGCGCTTTCAGGCCCATGTTGGAAAGGGAAATATCTTCCCGTAACAACTAGGCAGAAGCATTCTCAGAAACTTATTTGAGATGTGTGTACTCAACTAAGAGAATTGAACCACCGTTTTGAAGGAGCAGTTTTGAAACACTCTTTTTCTGGAATCTGCAAGAGTATATTTGCCTAGCCTTGAGGATTTCGTTGGAAACGGGATTGTCTTCAGAGAAAATCTAGACAGAAGCATTCTCAGAAACTTCTTTGGGATGTTTGCATTCAAGTCACAGAGTAGAACATTCCCTTTGGTAGAGCAGGTTTGAAACACTCTTTTTGTAGTATCTGGAAGTGGACATTTGGAGCGCTTTCAGGCCTACGTTGGAAAAGGAAATATCTTCCCATAACAACTAGACAGAAGCATTCTCAGAAACTAGTTTCTGATGTGTGTCCTCAACTAACACAGTTGAACATTTCTTTAGACAGAACAGTTTTGAAACACTCTTTTTGTGGAATCTGCAAGTGGCTATTTGGCTAGATTTGAGGATTTCGTTGGAAACGGGATTACATATAAAAAGCAGTCAGCAGCATTCTCAGAAAGTTCTTTGTGATGATTGCATTCAAGTCACAGAATTGAACATTCCCTTTCACAGAGCAGGTTTGAAACACTCTTTTTGTAGTGTGTGTAAGTGGACATTTGGAGCACTTACCGGCCTAAGGTGAAAAAGGAAATATCTTCCCATAAAAACTAGACAGAAGCATTCTCAGAAACTTACTCGTGATGTGTGTCCTCAACTAAAGGAGTAGAACCTTTCTTTTCATAGAGAAGTTTTGAAACGCTCTTTTTGTGGAATCTGCAAGTGGATATTTGGCTAGTTTTGAGGATTTCGTTGGAAGCGGGAATTCATACAAATTGCAGACTGCAGCGTTCTGAGAAACATCTTTGTGATGTTTGTATTCAGGACACAGAGTTGAACATTCCCTATCATAGAGCAGGTTGGAATCACTCCTTTTGTAGTATCTGGAAGTGGACATTTGGAGCGCTTTCAGGCCTATGTTGGAAAAGGAAATATCTTCCCATAACAACTAGACAGAAGCATTCTCAGAAACTTATTTGAGATGTGTGTACTCAACTAAGAGAATTGAACCACCGTTTTGAAGGAGCAGTTTTGAAACTCTCTTTTTCTGGAATCTGCAAGTGGATATTTGGCTAGCTTTGGGGATTTCGCTGGAAGCGGGAATACATATAAAAAGCACACAGCAGCGTTCTGAGAAACTGCTTTCTGATGTTTGCATTCAAGTCAAAAGTTGAACACTCCCTTTCATAGAGCAGTCTTGAAACACCCCTTTTGTAGTATCTGGAACTGGACTTTTGGAGCGATTTCAGGGCTAAGGTGAAAAAGGAAATATCTTCCCATAAAAACTGGACAGAAGCATTCTCAGAAACTTGTTTATGCTGTATCTACTCAACTAACAAAGTTGAACCTTTCTTTTGATAGAGCAGTTTTGAAATGGTCTTTTTGTGGAATCTGCAAGTGGATATTTGGCTAGTTTTGAGGATTTCGTTGGAAGCGGGAATTCATACAAATTGCAGACTGCAGCGTTCTGAGAAACATCTTTGTGATGTTTGTATTCAGGACACAGAGTTGAACATTCCCTATCATAGAGCAGGTTGGAATCACTCCTTTTGTAGTATCTGGAAGTGGACATTTGGAGCGCTTTCAGGCCTATTTTGGAAAGGGAAATATCTTCCCGTAACAACTATGCAGAAGCATTCTCAGAAACTTGTTTGTGATGTGTGCCCTCTACTGACAGAGTTGAACCTTTCTTTTCATAGAGCAGTTTTGAAACACTCTTTTTGTAGAATCTGCAAGAGGATATTTGCATAGCTTTGAGGATTTCGTGGGAAACGGGATTGTCTTCAGGTAAAATCTAGACAGAAGCATTCTCAGAAACTTCTTTGGGATGTTTGCATTCAAGTCACAGAGTAGAACATTCCCTTTGGTAGAGCAGGTTTGAAACACTCTTTTTGTAGTATCTGGAAGTGGACATTTGGAGCGCTTTCAGGCCCATGTTGGAAAGGGAAATATCTTCCCGTAACAACTAGGCAGAAGCATTCTCAGAAACTTATTTGAGATGTGTGTACTCAACTAAGAGAATTGAACCACCGTTTTGAAGGAGCAGTTTTGAAACACTCTTTTTCTGGAATCTGCAAGAGTATATTTGCCTAGCCTTGAGGATTTCGTTGGAAACGGGATTGTCTTCAGAGAAAATCTAGACAGAAGCATTCTCAGAAACTTCTTTGGGATGCTTGCATTCAAGTCACAGAGTAGAACATTCCCTTTGGTAGAGCAGGTTTGAAACACTCTTTTTGTAGTATCTGGAAGTGGACATTTGGAGCGCTTTCAGGCCTACGTTGGAAAAGGAAATATCTTCCCATAACAACTAGACAGAAGCATTCTCAGAAACTAGTTTCTGATGTGTGTCCTCAACTAACACAGTTGAACATTTCTTTAGACAGAACAGTTTTGAAACACTCTTTTTGTGGAATCTGCAAGTGGCTATTTGGCTAGATTTGAGGATTTCGTTGGAAACGGGATTACATATAAAAAGCAGTCAGCAGCATTCTCAGAAAGTTCTTTGTGATGATTGCATTCAAGTCACAGAATTGAACATTCCCTTTCACAGAGCAGGTTTGAAACACTCTTTTTGTAGTGTGTGTAAGTGGACATTTGGAGCACTTACCGGCCTAAGGTGAAAAAGGAAATAATCTTCCCATAAAAACTAGACAGAAGCATTCTCAGAAACTTGTTTATGCTGTATCTACTCAACTAACATAGTTGAACCTTTCTTTTGATAGAGCAGTTTTGAAATGCTCTTTTTGTGGAATCTGCAAGTGGATATTTGGCTAGTTTGGAGGATTTCGTTGGAAGCGGGAATTCATACAAATTGCAGACTGCAGCGTTCTGAGAAACATCTTTGTGATGTTTGTATTCAGGACACAGAGTTGAACATTCCCTATCATAGAGCAGGTTTGAATCACTCCTTTTGTAGTATCTGGAAGTGGACATTTGGAGCGCTTTCAGGCCTATGTTGGAAAAGGAAATATCTTCCCATAACAACTAGACAGAAGCATTCTCAGAAACTTATTTGAGATGTGTGTACTCAACTAAGAGAATTGAACCACCGTTTTGAAGGAGCAGTTTTGAAACACTCTTTTTCTGGAATCTGCAAGTGGATATTTGGCTAGCTTTGGGGATTTCGCTGGAAGCGGGAATACATATAAAAAGCACACAGCAGCGTTCTGAGAAACTGCTTTCTGATGTTTGCATTCAAGTCAAAAGTTGAACACTCCCTTTCATAGAGCAGTCTTGAAACACCCCTTTTGTAGTATCTGGAACTGGACATTTGGAGCGCTTTCAGGGCTAAGGTGAAAAAGGAAATATCTTCCCATAAAAACTGGACAGAAGCATTCTCAGAAACTTGTTTATGCTGTATCTACTCAACTAACAAAGTTGAACCTTTCTTTTGATAGAGCAGTTTTGAAATGCTCTTTTTGTGGAATCTGCAAGTGGATATTTGGCTAGTTTGGAGGATTTCGTTGGAAGCGGGAATTCATACAAATTGCAGACTGCAGCGTTCTGAGAAACATCTTTGTGATGTTTGTATTCAGGACAGAGAGTTGAACATTCCCTATCATAGAGCAGGTTGGAATCACTCCTTTTGTAGTATCTGGAAGTGGACATTTGGAGCGCTTTCAGGCCTATGTTGAAAAAGGAAATATCTTCCCATAACAACTAGACACAAGCATTCTCAGAAACTTGTTTGTGATGTGTGCCCTCTACTGACAGAGTTGAACCTTTCTTTTCATAGAGCAGTTTTGAAACACTCTTTTTGTAGAATCTGCAAGAGGATATTTGCATAGCTTTGAGGATTTCGTAGGAAACGGGATTGTCTTCAGGTAAAATCTAGACAGAAGCATTCTCAGAAACTTCTTTGGGATGTTTGCATTCAAGTCACAGAGTAGAACATTCCCTTTGGTAGAGCAGGTTTGAAACACTCTTTTTGTAGTATCTGGAAGTGGACATTTGGAGCGCTTTCAGGCCTATGTTGGAAAAGGAAATATCTTCCCATAACAACTAGACAGAAGCATTCTCAGAAACTAGTTTCTGATGTGTGTCCTCAACTAACACAGTTGAACATTTCTTTAGACAGAACAGTTTTGAAACACTCTTTTTGTGGAATCTGCAAGTGGCTATTTGGCTAGATTTGAGGATTTCGTTGGAAACGGGATTACATATAAAAAGCAGTCAGCAGCATTCTCAGAAAGTTCTTTGTGATGATTGCATTCAAGTCACAGAATTGAACATTCCCTTTCACAGAGCAGGTTTGAAACACTCTTTTTGTAGTGTGTGTAAGTGGACCTTTGGAGCACTTACCGGCCTAAGGTGAAAAAGGAAATATCTTCCCATAAAAACTAGACAGAAGCATTCTCAGAAACTTACTCGTGATGTGTGTCCTCAACTAAAGGAGTAGAACCTTTCTTTTCATAGAGAAGTTTTGAAACGCTCTTTTTGTGGAATCTGCAAGTGGATATTTGGCTAGTTTTGAGGATTTCGTTGGAAGCGGGAATTCATACAAATTGCAGACTGCAGCGTTCTGAGAAACATCTTTGTGATGTTTGTATTCAGGACACAGAGTTGAACATTCCCTATCATAGAGCAGGTTGGAATCACTCCTTTTGTAGTATCTGGAAGTGGACATTTGGAGCGCTTTCAGGCCTATGTTGGAAAAGGAAATATCTTCCCATAACAACTAGACAGAAGCATTCTCAGAAACTTATTTGAGATGTGTGTACTCAACTAAGAGAATTGAACCACCGTTTTGAAGGAGCAGTTTTGAAACTCTCTTTTTCTGGAATCTGCAAGTGGATATTTGGCTAGCTTTGGGGATTTCGCTGGAAGCGGGAATACATATAAAAAGCACACAGCAGCGTTCTGAGAAACTGCTTTCTGATGTTTGCATTCAAGTCAAAAGTTGAACACTCCCTTTCATAGAGCAGTCCTGAAACACCCCTTTTGTAGTATCTGGAACTGGACTTTTGGAGCGATTTCAGGGCTAAGGTGAAAAAGGAAATATCTTCCCATAAAAACTGGACAGAAGCATTCTCAGAAACTTGTTTATGCTGTATCTACTCAACTAACAAAGTTGAACCTTTCTTTTGATAGAGCAGTTTTGAAATGGTCTTTTTGTGGAATCTGCAAGTGGATATTTGGCTAGTTTTGAGGATTTCGTTGGAAGCGGGAATTCATACAAATTGCAGACTGCAGCGTTCTGAGAAACATCTTTGTGATGTTTGTATTCAGGACACAGAGTTGAACATTCCCTATCATAGAGCAGGTTGGAATCACTCCTTTTGTAGTATCTGGAAGTGGACATTTGGAGCGCTTTCAGGCCTATTTTGGAAAGGGAAATATCTTCCCGTAACAACTATGCAGAAGCATTCTCAGAAACTTGTTTGTGATGTGTGCCCTCTACTGACAGAGTTGAACCTTTCTTTTCATAGAGCAGTTTTGAAACACTCTTTTTGTAGAATCTGCAAGAGGATATTTGCATAGCTTTGAGGATTTCGTGGGAAACGGGATTGTCTTCAGGTAAAATCTAGACAGAAGCATTCTCAGAAACTTCTTTGGGATGTTTGCATTCAAGTCACAGAGTAGAACATTCCCTTTGGTAGAGCAGGTTTGAAACACTCTTTTTGTAGTATCTGGAAGTGGACATTTGGAGCGCTTTCAGGCCCATGTTGGAAAGGGAAATATCTTCCCGTAACAACTAGGCAGAAGCATTCTCAGAAACTTATTTGAGATGTGTGTACTCAACTAAGAGAATTGAACCACCGTTTTGAAGGAGCAGTTTTGAAACACTCTTTTTCTGGAATCTGCAAGAGTATATTTGCCTAGCCTTGAGGATTTCGTTGGAAACGGGATTGTCTTCAGAGAAAATCTAGACAGAAACATTCTCAGAAACTTCTTTGGGATGCTTGCATTCCAGTCACAGAGTAGAACATTCCCTTTGGTAGAGCAGGTTTGAAACACTCTTTTTGTAGTATCTGGAAGTGGACATTTGGAGCGCTTTCAGGCCTACGTTGGAAAAGGAAATATCTTCCCATAACAACTAGACAGAAGCATTCTCAGAAACTAGTTTCTGATGTGTGTCCTCAACTAACACAGTTGAACATTTCTTTAGACAGAACAGTTTTGAAACACTCTTTTTGTGGAATCTGCAAGTGGCTATTTGGCTAGATTTGAGGATTTCGTTGGAAACGGGATTACATATAAAAAGCAGTCAGCGGCATTCTCAGAAAGTTCTTTGTGATGATTGCATTCAAGTCACAGAATTGAACATTCCCTTTCACAGAGCAGGTTTGAAACACTCTTTTTGTAGTGTGTGTAAGTGGACATTTGGAGCACTTACCGGCCTAAGGTGAAAAAGGAAATATCTTCCCATAAAAACTAGACAGAAGCATTCTCAGAAACTTACTCGTGATGTGTGTCCTCAACTAAAGGAGTAGAACCTTTCTTTTCATAGAGAAGTTTTGAAACGCTCTTTTTGTGGAATCTGCAAGTGGATATTTGGCTAGTTTTGAGGATTTCGTTGGAAGCGGGAATTCATACAAATTGCAGACTGCAGCGTTCTGAGAAACATCTTTGTGATGTTTGTATTCAGGACACAGAGTTGAACATTCCCTATCATAGAGCAGGTTTGAATCACTCCTTTTGTAGTATCTGGAAGTGGACATTTGGAGCGCTTTCAGGCCTATGTTGGAAAAGGAAATATCTTCCCATAAAAACTAGACAGAAGCATTCTCAGAAACTTATTTGAGATGTGTGTACTCAACTAAGAGAATTGAACCACCGTTTTGAAGGAGCAGTTTTGAAACACTCTTTTTCTGGAATCTGCAAGTGGATATTTGGCTAGCTTTGGGGATTTCGCTGGAAGCGGGAATACATATAAAAAGCACACAGCAGCGTTCTGAGAAACTGCTTTCTGATGTTTGCATTCAAGTCAAAAGTTGAACACTCCCTTTCATAGAGCAGTCCTGAAACACTCCTTTTGTAGTATCTGGAACTGGACTTTTGGAGCGCTTTCAGAGCTAAGGTGAAAAAGGAAATATCTTCCCATAAAAACTGGACAGAAGCATTCTCAGAAACTTGTTTATGCTGTATCTACTCAACTAACAAAGTTGAACCTTTCTTTTGATAGAGCAGTTTTGAAATGCTCTTTTTGTGGAATCTGCAAGTGGATATTTGGCTAGTTTTGAGGATTTCGCTGGAAGCGGGAATTCATACAAATTGCAGACTGCAGCGTTCTGAGAAACATCTTTGTGATGTTTGTATTCAAGACACAGAGATGAACATTCCCTATCATAGAGCAGGTTGGAATCACTCCTTTTGTAGTATCTGGAAGTGAACATTTGGAGCGCTTTCAGGCCTATGTTGAAAAAGGAAATATCTTCCCATAACAACTAGACACAAGCATTCTCAGAAACTTGTTTGTGTTGTGTGCCCTCTACTGACAGAGTTGAACCTTTCTTTTCATAGAGCAGTTTTGAAACACTCTTTTTGTAGAATCCGCAAGAGGATATTTGCATAGCTTTGAGGATTTCGTGGGAAACGGGATTGTCTTCAGGTTAAATCTAGACAGAAGCATTCTCAGAAACTTCTTTGGGATGTTTGCATTCAAGTCACAGAGTAGAACATTCCCTTTGGTAGAGCAGGTTTGAAACACTCTTTTTGTAGTATCTGGAAGTGGACATTTGGAGCGCTTTCAGGCCTATGTTGGAAAGGGAAATATCTTCCCGTAACAACTAGGCAGAAGCATTCTCAGAAACTTATTTGAGATGTGTGTACTCAACTAAGAGAATTGAACCACCGTTTTGAAGGAGCAGTTTTGAAACACTCTTTTTCTGGAATCTGCAAGAGGATATTTGCCTAGCCTTGAGGATTTCGTTGGAAACGGGATTGTCTTCAGATCAAATCTAGACAGAAGCATTCTCAGAAACTTCTTTGGGATGTTTGCATTCAAGTCACAGAGTAGAACATTCCCTTTGGTAGAGCAGGTTTGAAACACTCTTTTTTTAGTATATGGAAGTGGACATTTGGAGCGCTTTCAGGCCTACGTTGGAAAAGGAAATATCTTCCCATAACAACTACACAGAAGCATTCTCAGAAACTAGTTTCTGATGTGTGTCCTCAACTAACACAGTTGAACATTTCTTTAGACAGAACAGTTTTGAAACACTCTTTTGTGGAATCTGCAAGTGGCTATTTGGCTAGATTTGAGGATTTCGTTGGAAACGGGATTACATATAAAAAGCAGACAGCAGCATTCTCAGAAAGTTCTTTGTGATGATTGCATTCAAGTCACAGAATTGAACATTCCCTTTCACAGAGCAGGTTTGAAACACTCTTTTTGTAGTGTGTGTAAGTGGACATTTGGAGCGCTTTCCGGCCTAAGGTGAACAAGGAAATATCTTCCCATAAAAACTAGACAGAAGCATTCTCAGAAACTTACTCGTGATGTGTGTCCTCAACTAAAGGAGTAGAACCTTTCTATTCATAGAGAAGTTTTGAAACGCTCTTTTTGTGGAATCTCCAAGTGGATATTTGGCTAGTTTTGAGGATTTCGTTGGAAGCGGGAATTCACACAAATTGCAGACTGTAGCGTTCTGAGAAACATCTTTGTGATGTTTGTATTCAGGACACAGAGTTGAACATTCCCTATCATAGAGCAGGTTGGAATCACACCTTTTGTAGTATCTGTAAGTGGATATTTGGAGCGATTTAAGGCCTATGTTGAAAAAGGAAATATCTTCCCATAACAACTAGGCAGAAGCATTCTCAGAAACTTGTTTGTGATGTGTGCCCTCTACTGACAGAGTTGAACCTTTCTTTTCATAGAGCAGTTTTGAAACACTCTTTTTGTAGAATCCGCAAGAGGATATTTGCATAGCTTTGAGGATTTCGTGGGAAACGGGATTGTCTTCAGGTAAAATACTAGACAGAAGCATTCTCAGAAACTTCTTTGGGGATGTTTGCATTCAAGTCACAGAGTAGAACATTCCCTTTGGTAGAGCAGGTTTGAAACACTCTTTTTGTAGTATCTGGAAATGGACATTTGGAGCGCTTTCAGGCCCATGTTGGAAAGGGAAATATCTTCCCGTAACAACTAGGCAGAAGCATTCTCAGAAACTTATTTGAGATGTGTGTACTCAACTAAGAGAATTGAACCACCGTTTTGAAGGAGCAGTTTTGAAACACTCTTTTTCTGGAATCTGCAAGAGTATATTTGCCTAGCCTTGAGGATTTCGTTGGAAACGGGATTGTCTTCAGAGAAAATCTAGACAGAAGCATTCTCAGAAACTTCTTTGGGATGTTTGCATTCAAGTCACAGAGTAGAACATTCCCTTTGGTAGAGCAGGTTTGAAACACTCTTTTTTTAGTATATGGAAGTGGACATTTGGATCGCTTTCAGGCCTACGTTGGAAAAGGAAATATCTTCCCATAACAACTAGACAGAAGCATTCTCAGAAACTAGTTTCTGATGTGTGTCCTCAACTAACACAGTTGAACATTTCTTTAGACAGAACAGTTTTGAAACACTCTTTTTGTGGAATCTGCAAGTGGCTATTTGGCTAGATTTGAGGATTTCGTTGGAAACGGGATTACATATAAAAAGCAGTCAGCAGCATTCTCAGAAAGTTCTTTGTGATGATTGCATTCAAGTCACAGAATTGAACATTCCCTTTCACAGAGCAGGTTTGAAACACTCTTTTTGTAGTGTGTGTAAGTGGACATTTGGAGCACTTACCGGCCTAAGGTGAAAAAGGAAATATCTTCCCATAAAAACTAGACAGAAGCATTCTCAGAAACTTACTCGTGATGTGTGTCCTCAACTAAAGGAGTAGAACCTTTCTTTTCATAGAGAAGTTTTGAAACGCTCTTTTTGTGGAATCTGCAAGTGGATATTTGGCTAGTTTTGAGGATTTCGTTGGAAGCGGGAATTCATACAAATTGCAGACTGCAGCGTTCTGAGAAACATCTTTGTGATGTTTGTATTCAGGACACAGAGTTGAACATTCCCTATCATAGAGCAGGTTGGAATCACTCCTTTTGTAGTATCTGGAAGTGGACATTTGGAGCGCTTTCAGGCCTATGTTGGAAAAGGAAATATCTTCCCATAACAACTAGACAGAAGCATTCTCAGAAACTTATTTGAGATGTGTGTACTCAACTAAGAGAATTGAACCACCGTTTTGAAGGAGCAGTTTTGAAACTCTCTTTTTCTGGAATCTGCAAGTGGATATTTGGCTAGCTTTGGGGATTTCGCTGGAAGCGGGAATACATATAAAAAGCACACAGCAGCGTTCTGAGAAACTGCTTTCTGATGTTTGCATTCAAGTCAAAAGTTGAACACTCCCTTTCATAGAGCAGTCTTGAAACACCCCTTTTGTAGTATCTGGAACTGTTCTTTTGGAGCGATTTCAGGGCTAAGGTGAAAAAGGAAATATCTTCCCATAAAAACTGGACAGAAGCATTCTCAGAAACTTGGTTATGCTGTATCTACTCAACTAACAAAGTTGAACCTTTCTTTTGATAGAGCAGTTTTGAAATGGTCTTTTTGTGGAATCTGCAAGTGGATATTTGGCTAGTTTTGAGGATTTCTTTGGAAGCGGGAATTCATACAAATTGCAGACTGCAGCGTTCTGAGAAACATCTTTGTGATGTTTGTATTCAGGACACAGAGTTGAACATTCCCTATCATAGAGCAGGTTTGAATCACTCCTTTTGTAGTATCTGGAAGTGGACATTTGGAGTGCTTTCAGGCCTATGTTGGAAAAGGAAATATCTTCCCATAACAACTAGACAGAAGCATTCTCAGAAACTTATTTGAGATGTGTGTACTCAACTAAGAGAATTGAACCACCGTTTTGAAGGAGCAGTTTTGAAACACTCTTTTTCTGGAATCTGCAAGTGGATATTTGGCTAGCTTTGGGGATTTCGCTGGAAGCGGGAATACATATAAAAAGCACACAGCAGCGTTCTGAGAAACTGCTTTCTGATGTTTGCATTCAAGTCAAAAGTTGAACACTCCCTTTCATAGAGCAGTCTTGAAACACCCCTTTTGTAGTATCTGGAACTGGACTTTTGGAGCGATTTCAGGGCTAAGGTGAAAAAGGAAATATCTTCCCATAAAAACTGGACAGAAGCATTCTCAGAAACTTGGTTATGCTGTATCTACTCAACTAACAAAGTTGAACCTTTCTTTTGATAGAGCAGTTTTGAAATGGTCTTTTTGTGGAATCTGCAAGTGGATATTTGGCTAGTTTTGAGGATTTCGTTGGAAGCGGGAATTCATACAAATTGCAGACTGCAGCGTTCTGAGAAACATCTTTGTGATGTTTGTATTCAGGACACAGAGTTGAACATTCCCTATCATAGAGCAGGTTGGAATCACTCCTTTTGTAGTATCTGGAAGTGGACATTTGGAGCGCTTTCAGGCCTATTTTGGAAAGGGAAATATCTTCCCGTAACAACTATGCAGAAGCATTCTCAGAAACTTGTTTGTGATGTGTGCCCTCTACTGACAGAGTTGAACCTTTCTTTTCATAGAGCAGTTTTGAAACACTCTTTTTGTAGAATCTGCAAGAGGATATTTGCATAGCTTTGAGGATTTCGTGGGAAACGGGATTGTCTTCAGGTAAAATCTAGACAGAAGCATTCTCAGAAACTTCTTTGGGATGTTTGCATTCAAGTCACAGAGTAGAACATTCCCTTTGGTAGAGCAGGTTTGAAACACTCTTTTTGTAGTATCTGGAAGTGGACATTTGGAGCGCTTTCAGGCCCATGTTGGAAAGGGAAATATCTTCCCGTAACAACTAGGCAGAAGCATTCTCAGAAACTTATTTGAGATGTGTGTACTCAACTAAGAGAATTGAACCACCGTTTTGAAGGAGCAGTTTTGAAACACTCTTTTTCTGGAATCTGCAAGAGTATATTTGCCTAGCCTTGAGGATTTCGTTGGAAACGGGATTGTCTTCAGAGAAAATCTAGACAGAAGCATTCTCAGAAACTTCTTTGGGATGCTTGCATTCAAGTCACAGAGTAGAACATTCCCTTTGGTAGAGCAGGTTTGAAACACTCTTTTTTTAGTATATGGAAGTGGACATTTTGATCGCTTTCAGGCCTACGTTGGAAAAGGAAATATCTTCCCATAACAACTAGACAGAAGCATTCTCAGAAACTAGTTTCTGATGTGTGTCCTCAACTAACACAGTTGAACATTTCTTTAGACAGAACAGTTTTGAAACACTCTTTTTGTGGAATCTGCAAGTGGCTATTTGGCTAGATTTGAGGATTTCGTTGGAAACGGGATTACATATAAAAAGCAGTCAGCAGCATTCTCAGAAAGTTCTTTGTGATGATTGCATTCAAGTCACAGAATTGAACATTCCCTTTCACAGAGCAGGTTTGAAACACTCTTTTTGTAGTGTGTGTAAGTGGACATTTGGAGCACTTACCGGCCTAAGGTGAAAAAGGAAATATCTTCCCATAAAAACTAGACAGAAGCATTCTCAGAAACTTACTCGTGATGTGTGTCCTCAACTAAAGGAGTAGAACCTTTCTTTTCATAGAGAAGTTTTGAAACGCTCTTTTTGTGGAATCTGCAAGTGGATATTTGGCTAGTTTTGAGGATTTCGTTGGAAGCGGGAATTCATACAAATTGCAGACTGCAGCGTTCTGAGAAACATCTTTGTGATGTTTGTATTCAGGACACAGAGTTGAACATTCCCTATCATAGAGCAGGTTTGAATCACTCCTTTTGTAGTATCTGGAAGTGGACATTTGGAGCGCTTTCAGGCCTATGTTGGAAAAGGAAATATCTTCCCATAACAACTAGACAGAAGCATTCTCAGAAACTTATTTGAGATGTGTGTACTCAACTAAGAGAATTGAACCACCGTTTTGAAGGAGCAGTTTTGAAACTCTCTTTTTCTGGAATCTGCAAGTGGATATTTGGCTAGCTTTGGGGATTTCGCTGGAAGCGGGAATACATATAAAAAGCACACAGCAGCGTTCTGAGAAACTGCTTTCTGATGTTTGCATTCAAGTCAAAAGTTGAACACTCCCTTTCATAGAGCAGTCTTGAAACACCCCTTTTGTAGTATCTCGACCTGGACTTTTGGAGCGATTTCAGGGCTAAGGTGAAAAAGGAAATATCTTCCCATAAAAACTGGACAGAAGCATTCTCAGAAACTTGGTTATGCTGTATCTACTCAACTAACAAAGTTGAACCTTTCTTTTGATAGAGCAGTTTTGAAATGGTCTTTTTGTGGAATCTGCAAGTGGATATTTGGCTAGTTTTGAGGATTTCGTTGGAAGCGGGAATTCATACAAATTGCAGACTGCAGCGTTCTGAGAAACATCTTTGTGATGTTTGTATTCAGGACACAGAGTTGAACATTCCCTTATCATAGAGCAGGTTGGAATCACTCCTTTTGTAGTATCTGGAAGTGGACATTTGGAGCGCTTTCAGGCCTATTTTGGAAAGGGAAATATCTTCCCGTAACAACTATGCAGAAGCATTCTCAGAAACTTGTCTGTGATGTGTGCCCTCTACTGACAGAGTTGAACCTTTCTTTTCATAGAGCAGTTTTGAAACACTCTTTTTGTAGAATCTGCAAGAGGATATTTGCATAGCTTTGAGGATTTCGTGGGAAACGGGATTGTCTTCAGGTAAAATCTAGACAGAAGCATCCTCAGAAACTTCTTTGGGATGTTTGCATTCAAGTCACAGAGTAGAACATTCCCTTTGGTAGAGTAGGTTTGAAACACTCTTTTTGTAGTATCTGGAAGTGGACATTTGGAGCGCTTTCAGGCCCATGTTGGAAAGGGAAATATCTTGCCGTAACAACTAGGCAGAAGCATTCTCAGAAACTTATTTGAGATGTGTGGACTCAACGAAGAGAATTGAACCACCGTTTTGAAGGAGCAGTTTTGAAACACTCTTTTTCTGGAATCTGCAAGAGTATATTTGCCTAGCCTTGAGGATTTCGTTGGAAACGGGATTGTCTTCAGATAAAATCTAGACAGAAGCATTCTCAGAAACTTCTTTGGGATGTTTGCATTCAAGTCACAGAGTAGAACATTCCCTTTGGTAGAGCAGGTTTGAAACACTCTTTTTTTAGTATATGGAAGTGGACATTTGGAGCGCTTTCAGGCCTACGTTGGAAAAGGAAATATCTTCCCATAACAACTAGACAGAAGCATTCTCAGAAACTAGTTTCTGATGTGTGTCCTCAACTAACACAGTTGTACATTTCTTTAGACAGAACAGTTTTGAAACACTCTTTTTGTGGAATCTGCAAGTGGATATTGGGCTAGATTTGAGGATTTCGTTGGAAACGGGATTACATATAAAAAGCAGTAAGCAGCATTCTCAGAAAGTTCTTTGTGATGATTGCATTCAAGTCACAGAATTGAACATTCCCTTTCACAGAGCAGGTTTGAAACACTCTTTTTGTAGTGTGTGTAAGTGGACATTTGGAGCGCTTTCCGGCCTAAGGTGAAAAAGGAAATATCTTCCCATAAAAACTAGACAGAAGCATTCTCAGAAACTTACTCGTGATGTGTGTCCTCAACTAAAGGAGTAGAACCTTTCTATTCATAGAGAAGTTTTGAAACGCTCTTTTTGTGGAATCTCCAAGTGGATATTTGGCTAGTTTTGAGGATTTCGTTGGAAGCGGGAATTCATACAAATTGCAGACTGCAGCGTTATGAGAAACATCTTTGTGATGTTTGTATTCAGGACACAGAGATGAACATTCCCTATCATAGAGCAGGTTGGAATCACTCCTTTTGTAGTATCTGGAAGTGGACATTTGGAGCGCTTTCAGGCCTATGTTGAAAAAGGAAATATCTTCCCATAACAACTAGACACAAGCATTCTCAGAAACTTGTTTGTGATGTGTGCCCTCTACTGACAGAGTTGAACCTTTCTTTTCATAGAGCAGTTTTGAAACACTCTTTTTGTAGAATCTGCAAGAGGATATTTGCATAGCTTTGAGGATTTCGTGGGAAACGGGATTGTCTTCAGGTAAAATCTAGACAGAAGCATTCTCAGAAACTTCTTTGGGATGTTTGCATTCAAGTCACAGAGTAGAACATTCCCTTTGGTAGAGCAGGTTTGAAACACTCTTTTTGTAGTATCTGGAAGTGGACATTTGGAGCGCTTTCAGGCCCATGTTGGAAAGGGAAATATCTTCCCGTAACAACTAGGCAGAAGCATTCTCAGAAACTTATTTGAGATGTGTGTACTCAACTAAGAGAATTGAACCACCGTTTTGAAGGAGCAGTTTTGAAACACTCTTTTTCTGGAATCTGCAAGAGGATATTTGCCTAGCCTTGAGGATTTCGTTGGAAACGGGATTGTCTTCAGAGAAAATCTAGACAGAAGCATTCTCAGAAACTTCTTTGGGATGCTTGCATTCAAGTCACAGAGTAGAACATTCCCTTTGGTAGAGCAGGTTTGAAACACTCTTTTTTTAGTATATGGAAGTGGACATTTGGAGCGCTTTCAGGCCTACGTTGGAAAAGGAAATATCTTCCCATAACAACTAGACAGAAGCATTCTCAGAAACTAGTTTCTGATGTGTGTCCTCAACTAACACAGTTGAACATTTCTTTAGACAGAACAGTTTTGAAACACTCTTTTTGTGGAATCTGCAAGTGGCTATTTGGCTAGATTTGAGGATTTCGTTGGAAACGGGATTACATATAAAAAGCAGTCAGCAGCATTCTCAGAAAGTTCTTTGTGATGATTGCATTCAAGTCACAGAATTGAACATTCCCTTTCACAGAGCAGGTTTGAAACACTCTTTTTGTAGTGTGTGTAAGTGGACATTTGGAGCACTTACCGGCCTAAGGTGAAAAAGGAAATATCTTCCCATAAAAACTAGACAGAAGCATTCTCAGAAACTTACTCGTGATGTGTGTCCTCAACTAAAGGAGTAGAACCTTTCTTTTCATAGAGAAGTTTTGAAACGCTCTTTTTGTGGAATCTGCAAGTGGATATTTGGCTAGTTTGGAGGATTTCGTTGGAAGCGGGAATTCATACAAATTGCAGACTGCAGCGTTCTGAGAAACATCTTTGTGATGTTTGTATTCAGGACACAGATTTGAACATTCCCTATCATAGAGCAGGTTTGAATCACTCCTTTTGTAGTATCTGGAAGTGGACATTTGGAGCGCTTTCAGGCCTATGTTGGAAAAGGAAATATCTTCCCATAACAACTAGACAGAAGCATTCTCAGAAACTTATTTGAGATGTGTGTACTCAACTAAGAGAATTGAACCACCGTTTTGAAGGAGCAGTTTTGAAACACTCTTTTTCTGGAATCTGCAAGTGGATATTTGGCTAGCTTTGGGGATTTCGCTGGAAGCGGGAATACATATAAAAAGCACACAGCAGCGTTCTGAGAAACTGCTTTCTGATGTTTGCATTCAAGTCAAAAGTTGAACACTCCCTTTCATAGAGCAGTCTTGAAACACCCCTTTTGTAGTATCTGGAACTGGACTTTTGGAGCGATTTCAGGGCTAAGGTGAAAAAGGAAATATCTTCCCATAAAAACTGGACAGAAGCATTCTCAGAAACTTGTTTATGCTGTATCTACTCAACTAACAAAGTTGAACCTTTCTTTTGATAGAGCAGTTTTGAAATGCTCTTTTTGTGGAATCTGCAAGTGGATATTTGGCTAGTTTTGAGGATTTCGCTGGAAGCGGGAATTCATACAAATTGCAGACTGCAGCGTTCTGAGAAACATCTTTGTGATGTTTGTATTCAGGACACAGAGTTGAACATTCCCTATCATAGAGCAGGTTTGAATCACTCCTTTTCTAGTATCTGGAAGTGGACATTTGGAGCGCTTTCAGGCCTATGTTGGAAAAGGAAATATCTTCCCATAACAAATAGACAGAAGCATTCTCAGAAACTTATTTGAGATGTGTGTACTCAACTAAGAGAATTGAACCACCGTTTTGAAGGAGCAGTTTTGAAACTCTCTTTTTCTGGAATCTGCAAGTGGATATTTGGCTAGCTTTGGGGATTTCGCTGGAAGCGGGAATACATATAAAAAGCACACAGCAGCGTTCTGAGAAACTGCTTTCTGATGTTTGCATTCAAGTCAAAAGTTGAACACTCCCTTTCATAGAGCAGTCCTGAAACACCCCTTTTGTAGTATCTGGAACTGGACTTTTGGAGCGATTTCAGGGCTAAGGTGAAAAAGGAAATATCTTCCCATAAAAACTGGACAGAAGCATTCTCAGAAACTTGTTTATGCTGTATCTACTCAACTAACAAAGTTGAACCTTTCTTTTGATAGAGCAGTTTTGAAATGGTCTTTTTGTGGAATCTGCAAGTGGATATTTGGCTAGTTTTGAGGATTTCGTTGGAAGCGGGAATTCATACAAATTGCAGACTGCAGCGTTCTGAGAAACATCTTTGTGATGTTTGTATTCAGGACACAGAGTTGAACATTCCCTATCATAGAGCAGGTTGGAATCACTCCTTTTGTAGTATCTGGAAGTGGACATTTGGAGCGCTTTCAGGCCTATTTTGGAAAGGGAAATATCTTCCCGTAACAACTATGCAGAAGCATTCTCAGAAACTTGTTTGTGATGTGTGCCCTCTACTGACAGAGTTGAACCTTTCTTTTCATAGAGCAGTTTTGAAACACTCTTTTTGTAGAATCTGCAAGAGGATATTTGCATAGCTTTGAGGATTTCGTGGGAAACGGGATTGTCTTCAGGTAAAATCTAGACAGAAGCATTCTCAGAAACTTCTTTGGGATGTTTGCATTCAAGTCACAGAGTAGAACATTCCCTTTGGTAGAGCAGGTTTGAAACACTCTTTTTGTAGTATCTGGAAGTGGACATTTGGAGCGCTTTCAGGCCCATGTTGGAAAAGGAAATATCTTCCCGTAACAACTAGGCAGAAGCATTCTCAGAAACTTATTTGAGATGTGTGTACTCAACTAAGAGAATTGAACCACCGTTTTGAAGGAGCAGTTTTGAAACACTCTTTTTCTGGAATCTGCAAGAGTATATTTGCCTAGCCTTGAGGATTTCGTTGGAAACGGGATTGTCTTCAGAGAAAATCTAGACAGAAGCATTCTCAGAAACTTCTTTGGGATGTTTGCATTCAAGTCACAGAGTAGAACATTCCCTTTGGTAGAGCAGGTTTGAAACACTCTTTTTTTAGTATATGGAAGTGGACATTTGGAGCGCTTTCAGGCCTACGTTGGAAAAGGAAATATCTTCCCATAACAACTAGACAGAAGCATTCTCAGAAACTAGTTTCTGATGTGTGTCCTCAACTAACACAGTTGAACTTTTCTTTAGACAGAACAGTTTTGAAACACTCTTTTTGTGGAATCTGCAAGTGGATATTTGGCTAGATTTGAGGATTTCGTTGGAAACGGGATTACATATAAAAAGCAGACAGCAGCATTCTCAGAAAGTTCTTTGTGATGATTGCATTCAAGTCACAGAATTGAACATTCCCTTTCACAGAGCAGGTTTGAAACACTCTTTTTGTAGTGTGTGTAAGTGGACATTTGGAGCGCTTTCCGGCCTAAGGTGAACAAGGAAATATCTTCCCATAAAAACTAGACAGAAGCATTCTCAGAAACTTACTCGTGATGTGTGTCCTCAACTAAAGGAGTAGAACCTTTCTATTCATAGAGAAGTTTTGAAACGCTCTTTTTGTGGAATCTCCAAGTGGATATTTGGCTAGTTTTGAGGATTTCGTTGGAAGCGGGAATTCACACAAATTGCAGACTGTAGCGTTCTGAGAAACATCTTTGTGATGTTTGTATTCAGGACACAGAGATGAACATTCCCTATCATAGAGCAGGTTGGAATCACTCCTTTTGTAGTATCTGGAAGTGGACATTTGGAGCGCTTTCAGGCCTATGTTGAAAAAGGAAATATCTTCCCATAACAACTAGACACAAGCATTCTCAGAAACTTGTTTGTGATGTGTGCCCTCTACTGACAGAGTTGAACCTTTCTTTTCATAGAGCAGTTTTGAAACACTCTTTTTGTAGAATCCGCAAGAGGATATTTGCATAGCTTTGAGGATTTCGTGGGAAACGGGATTGTCTTCAGGTAAAATCTAGACAGAAGCATTCTCAGAAACTTCTTTGGGATGTTTGCATTCAAGTCACAGAGTAGAACATTCCCTTTGGTAGAGCAGGTTTGAAACACTCTTTTTGTAGTATCTGGAAGTGGACATTTGGAGCGCTTTCAGGCCCATGTTGGAAAGGGAAATATCTTCCCGTAACAACTAGGCAGAAGCATTCTCAGAAACTTATTTGAGATGTGTGTACTCAACTAAGAGAATTGAACCACCGTTTTGAAGGAGCAGTTTTGAAACACTCTTTTTCTGGAATCTGCAAGAGTATATTTGCCTAGCCTTGAGGATTTCGTTGGAAACGGGATTGTCTTCAGATAAAATCTAGACAGAAGCATTCTCAGAAACTTCTTTGGGATGTTTGCATTCAAGTCACAGATTAGAACATTCCCTTTGGTAGAGCAGGTTTGAAACACTCTTTTTCTAGTATATGGAAGTGGACATTTGGAGTGCTTTCAGGCCTACGTTGGAAAAGGAAATATCTTCCCATAACAACTAGACAGAAGCATTCTCAGAAACTAGTTTCTGATGTGTGTCCTCAACTAACACAGTTGTACATTTCTTTATACAGAACAGTTTTGAAACACTCTTTTTGTGGAATCTGCAAGTGGATATTGGGCTAGATTTGAGGATTTCGTTGGAAACGGGATTACATATAAAAAGCAGACAGCAGCATTCTCAGAAAGTTCTTTGTGATGATTGCATTCAAGTCACAGAATTGAACATTCCCTTTCACAGAGCAGGTTTGAAACACTCTTTTTGTAGTGTGTGTAAGTGGACATTTGGAGCGCTTTCCGGCCTAAGGTGAAAAAGGACATATCTTCCCATAAAAACTAGACAGAAGCATTCTCAGAAACTTACTCGTGATGTGTGTCCTCAACTAAAGGAGTAGAACCTTTCTATTCATAGAGAAGTTTTGAAACGCTCTTTTTGTGGAATCTCCAAGTGGATATTTGGCTAGTTTTGAGGATTTCGTTGGAAGCGGGAATTCCTACAAATTGCAGACTGCAGCGTTCTGAGAAACATCTTTGTGATGTTTGTATTCAGGACACAGAGATGAACATTCCCTATCATAGAGCATGTTGGAATCACTCCTTTTGTAGTATCTGGAAGTGGACATTTGGAGCGCTTTCAGGCCTATGTTGAAAAAGGAAATATCTTCCCATAACAACTAGACACAAGCATTCTCAGAAACTTGTTTGTGATGTGTGCCCTCTACTGACAGAGTTGAACCTTTCTTTTCATAGAGCAGTTTTGAAACACTCTTTTTGTAGAATCCGCAAGAGGATATTTGCATAGCTTTGAGGATTTCGTGGGAAACGGGATTGTCTTCAGGTAAAATCTAGACAGAAGCATTCTCAGAAACTTCTTTGGGATGTTTGCATTCAAGTCACAGAGTAGAACATTCCCTTTGGTAGAGCAGGTTTGAAACACTCTTTTTGTAGTATCTGGAAGTGGACATTTGGAGCGCTTTCAGGCCCATGTTGGAAAGGGAAATATCTTCCCGTAACAACTAGGCAGAAGCATTCTCAGAAACTTATTTGAGATGTGTGGACTCAACTAAGAGAATTGAACCACCGTTTTGAAGGAGCAGTTTTGAAACACTCTTTTTCTGGAATCTGCAAGAGTATATTTGCCTAGCCTTGAGGATTTCGTTGGAAACGGGATTGTCTTCAGATAAAATCTAGACAGAAGCATTCTCAGAAACTTCTTTGGGATGTTTGCATTCAAGTCACAGAGTAGAACATTCCCTTTGGTAGAGCAGGTTTGAAACACTCTTTTTTTAGTATATGGAAGTGGACATTTGGAGCGCTTTCAGGCCTACGTTGTAAAAGGAAATATCTTCCCATAACAACTAGACAGAAGCATTCTCAGAAACTAGTTTCTGATATGTGTCCTCAACTAACACAGTTGAACTTTTCTTTAGACAGAACAGTTTTGAAACACTCTTTTTGTGGAATCTGCAAGTGGATATTGGGCTAGATTTGAGGATTTCGTTGGAAACGGGATTACATATAAAAAGCAGACAGCAGCATTCTCAGAAAGTTCTTTGTGATGATTGCATTCAAGTCACAGAATTGAACATTCCCTTTCACAGAGCAGGTTTGAAACACTCTTTTTGTAGTGTGTGTAAGTGGACATTTGGAGCGCTTTCCGGCCTAAGGTGAAAAAGGACATATCTTCCCATAAAAACTAGACAGAAGCATTCTCAGAAACTTACTCGTGATGTGTGTCCTCAACTAAAGGAGTAGAACCTTTCTATTCATAGAGAAGTTTTGAAACGCTCTTTTTGTGGAATCTCCAAGTGGATATTTGGCTAGTTTTGAGGATTTCGTTGGAAGCGGGAATTCATACAAATTGCAGACTGCAGCGTTCTGAGAAACATCTTTGTGATGTTTGTATTCAAGACACAGAGATGAACATTCCCTATCATAGAGCATGTTGGAATCACTCCTTTTGTAGTATCTGGAAGTGGACATTTGGAGCGCTTTCAGGCCTATGTTGAAAAAGGAAATATCTTCCCATAACAACTAGACACAAGCATTCTCAGAAACTTGTTTGTGATGTGTGCCCTCTACTGACAGAGTTGAACCTTTCTTTTCATAGAGCAGTTTTGAAACACTCTTTTTGTAGAATCTGCAAGAGGATATTTGCATAGCTTTGAGGATTTCGTGGGAAACGGGATTGTCTTCAGGTAAAATCTAGACAGAAGCATTCTCAGAAACTTCTTTGGGATGTTTGCATTCAAGTCACAGAGTAGAACATTCCCTTTGGTAGAGCAGGTTTGAAACACTCTTTTTGTAGTATCTGGAAGTGGACATTTGGAGCGCTTTCAGGCCTATGTTGGAAAGGGAAATATCTTCCCGTAACAACTAGGCAGAAGCATTCTCAGAAACTTATTTGAGATGTGTGTACTCAACTAAGAGAATTGAACCACCGTTTTGAAGGAGCAGTTTTGAAACACTCTTTTTCTGGAATCTGCAAGAGGATATTTGCCTAGCCTTGAGGATTTCGTTGGAAACGGGATTGTCTTCAGATCAAATCTAGACAGAAGCATTCTCAGAAACTTCTTTGGGATGTTTGCATTCAAGTCACAGAGTAGAACATTCCCTTTGGTAGAGCAGGTTTGAAACACTCTTTTTTTAGTATATGGAAGTGGACATTTGGAGCGCTTTCAGGCCTACGTTGGAAAAGGAAATATCTTCCCATAACAACTAGACAGAAGCATTCTCAGAAACTAGTTTCTGATGTGTGTCCTCAACTAAAACAGTTGAACATTTCTTTAGACAGAACAGTTTTGAAACTCTCTTTTTGTGGAATCTGCAAGTGGCTATTTGGCTAGATTTGAGGATTTCGTTGGAAACGGGATTACATATAAAAAGCAGACAGCAGCATTCTCAGAAAGTTCTTTGTGATGATTGCATTCAAGTCACAGAATTGAACATTCCCTTTCACAGAGCAGGTTTGAAACACTCTTTTTGTAGTGTGTGTAAGTGGACATTTGGAGCACTTTCCGGCCTAAGGTGAAAAAGGAAATATCTTCCCATAAAAACTAGACAGAAGCATTCTCAGAAACTTACTCGTGATGTGTGTCCTCAACTAAAGGAGTAGAACCTTTCTTTTCATAGAGAAGTTTTGAAACGCTCTTTTTGTGGAATCTGCAAGTGGATATTTGGCTAGTTTTGAGGATTTCGTTGGAAGCGGGAATTCATACAAATTGCAGACTGCAGCGTTCTGAGAAACATCTTTGTGATGTTTGTATTCAGGACACAGAGTTGAACATTCCCTATCATAGAGCAGGTTTGAATCACTCCTTTTGTAGTATCTGGAAGTGGACATTTGGAGCGCTTTCAGGCCTATGATGGAAAAGGAAATATCTTCCCATAACAGCTAGACAGAAGCATTCTCAGAAACTTATTTGAGATGTGTGTACTCAACTAAGAGAATTGAACCACCGTTTTGAAGGAGCAGTTTTGAAACACTCTTTTTCTGGAATCTGCAAGTGGATATTTGGCTAGCTTTGGGGATTTCGCTGGAAGCGGGAATACATATAAAAAGCACACAGCAGCGTTCTGAGAAACTGCTTTCTGATGTTTGCATTCAAGTCAAAAGTTGAACACTCCCTTTCATAGAGCAGTCCTGAAACACTCCTTTTGTAGTATCTGGAACTGGACTTTTGGAGCGCTTTCAGGGCTAAGGTGAAAAAGGAAATATCTTCCCATAAAAACTGGACAGAAGCATTCTCAGAAACTTGTTTATGCTGTATCTACTCTACTAAAAAAGTTGAACCTTTCTTTTGATAGAGCAGTTTTGAAATGCTCTTTTTGTGGAATCTGCAAGTGGATATTTGGCTAGATTTGAGGATTTCGTTGGAAGCTGGAATACATACAAATTGCAGACTGCAGCGTTCTGAGAAACATCTTTGTGATGTTTGTATTCAGGACACAGAGTTGAACATTCCCTATCATAGAGCAGGTTGGAATCACTCCTTTTGTAGTATCTGGAAGTGGACATTTGGAGCGCTTTCAGGCCTATGTTGAAAAAGGAAATATCTTCCCATAACAACTAGACACAAGCATTCTCAGAAACTTGTTTGTGATGTGTGCCCTCTACTGACAGAGTTGAACCTTTCTTTTCATAGAGCAGTTTTGAAACACTCTTTTTGTAGAATCTGCAAGAGGATATTTGCATAGCTTTGAGGATTTCGTGGGAAACGGGATTGTCTTCAGGTAAAATCTAGACAGAAGCATTCTCAGAAACTTCTTTGGGATGTTTGCATTCAAGTCACAGAGTAGAACATTCCCTTTGGTAGAGCAGGTTTGAAACCCTCTTTTTGTAGTATCTGGAAGTGGACATTTGGAGCGCTTTCAGGCCCATGTTGGAAAGGGAAATATCTTCCCGTAACAACTAGGCAGAAGCATTCTCAGAAACTTATTTGAGATGTGTGTACTCAACTAAGAGAATTGAACCACCGTTTTGAAGGAGCAGTTTTGAAACACTCTTTTTCTGGAATCTGCAAGAGTATATTTGCCTAGCCTTGAGGATTTCGTTGGAAACGGGATTGTCTTCAGATAAAATCTAGACAGAAGCATTCTCAGAAACTTCTTTGGGATGTTTGCATTCAAGTCACAGAGTAGAACATTCCCTTTGGTAGAGCAGGTTTGAAACACTCTTTTTTTAGTATATGGAAGTGGACATTTGGAGCGCTTTCAGGCCTACGTTGGAAAAGGAAATATCTTCCCATAACAACTAGACAGAAGCATTCTCAGAAACTAGTTTCTGATGTGTGTCCTCAAATAACACAGTTGTACATTTCTTTACACAGAACAGTTTTGAAACACTCTTTTTGTGGAATCTGCAAGTGGATATTGGGCTAGATTTGAGGATTTCGTTGGAAACGGGATTACATATAAAAAGCAGTCAGCAGCATTCTCAGAAAGTTCTTTGTGATGATTGCATTCAAGTCACAGAATTGAACATTCCCTTTCACAGAGCAGGTTTGAAACACTCTTTTTGTAGTGTGTGTAAGTGGACATTTGGAGCGCTTTCCGGCCTAAGGTGAAAAAGGACATATCTTCCCATAAAAACTAGACAGAAGCATTCTCAGAAACTTACTCGTGATGTGTGTCCTCAACTAAAGGAGTAGAACCTTTCTATTCATAGAGAAGTTTTGAAACGCTCTTTTTGTGGAATCTCCAAGTGGATATTTGGCTAGTTTTGAGGATTTCGTTGGAAGCGGGAATTCATACAAATTGCAGACTGCAGCGTTCTGAGAAACATCTTTGTGATGTTTGTATTCAAGACACAGAGATGAACATTCCCTATCATAGAGCATGTTGGAATCACTCCTTTTGTAGTATCTGGAAGTGGACATTTGGAGCGCTTTCAGGCCTATGTTGAAAAAGGAAATATCGTCCCATGCCAACTAGACACAAGCATTCTCAGAATCTTGTTTGTGATGTGTGCCCTCTACTGACAGAGTTGAACCTTTCTTTTCATAGAGCAGTTTTGAAACACTCTTTTTGTAGAATCTGCAAGAGGATATTTGCATAGCTTTGAGGATTTCGTGGGAAACGGGATTGTCTTCAGGTAAAATCTAGACAGAAGCATTCTCAGAAACTTCTTTGGGATGTTTGCATTCAAGTCACAGAGTAGAACATTCCCTTTGGTAGAGCAGGTTTGAAACCCTCTTTTTGTAGTATCTGGAAGTGGACATTTGGAGCGCTTTCAGGCCCATGTTGCAAAGGGAAATATCTTCCCGTAACAACTAGGCAGAAGCATTCTCAGAAACTTATTTGAGATGTGTGTACTCAACTAAGAGAATTGAACCACCGTTTTGAAGGAGCAGTTTTGAAACACTCTTTTTCTGGAATCTGCAAGAGTATATTTGCCTAGCCTTGAGGATTTCGTGGGAAACGGGATTGTCTTCAGGTAAAATCTAGACAGAAGCATTCTCAGAAACTTCTTTGGGATGTTTGCATTCAAGTCACAGAGTAGAACATTCCCTTTGGTAGAGCAGGTTTGAAACACTCTTTTTGTAGTATCTGGAAGTGGACATTTGGAGCGCTTTCAGGCCCATGTTGGAAAGGGAAATATCTTCCCGTAACAAATAGGCAGAAGCATTCTCAGAAACTTATTTGAGATGTGTGTACTCAACTAAGAGAATTGAACCACCGTTTTGAAGGAGCAGTTTTGAAACACTCTTTTTCTGGAATCTGCAAGAGTATATTTGCCTAGCCTTGAGGATTTCGTTGGAAACGGGATTGTCTTCAGATCAAATCTAGACAGAAGCATTCTCAGAAACTTCTTTGGGATGTTTGCATTCAAGTCACAGAGTAGAACATTCCCTTTGGTAGAGCAGGTTTGAAACACTCTTTTTGTAGTATCTGGAAGTGGACATTTGGAGCGCTTTCAGGCCTACGTTGGAAAAGGAAATATCTTCCCATAACAACTAGGCAGAAGCATTCTCAGAAACTAGTTTCTGATGTGTGTCCTCAACTAACACAGTTGAACATTTCTTTAGACAGAACAGTTTTGAAACACTGTTTTTGTGGAATCTGCAAGTGGATATTTGGCTAGATTTGAGGATTTCGTTGGAAACGGGATTACATATAAAAAACAGTCAGCAGCATTCTAAGAAAGTTCTTTGTGATGATTGCATTCAAGTCACAGAATTGAACATTCCCTTTCACAGAGCAGGTTTGAAACAATCTTTTTGTAGTGTGTGTAAGTGGACATTTGGAGCGCTTTCTGGCCTAAGGTGAAAAAGGAAATATCTTCCCATAAAAACTAGACAGAAGAATTCTCAGAAACTTACTCGTGATGTGTGTCCTCAACTAAAGGAGTAGAACCTTTCTTTTCATAGAGAAGTTTTGAAACGCTCTTTTTGTGGAATCTGCAAGTGGATATTTGGCTAGTTTTGAGGATTTCGTTGGAAGCGGGAATTCATACAAATTGCAGACTGCAGCGTTCTGAGAAACATCTTTGTGATGTTTGTATTCAGGACACAGAGTTGAACATTCCCTATCATAGAGCAGGTTTGAATCACTCCTTTTGTAGTATCTGGAAGTGGACATTTGGAGCGCTTTCAGGCCTATGTTAGAAAAGGAAATATCTTCCCATAACAACTAGACAGAAGCATTCTCAGAAACTTATTTGAGATGTGTGTACTCAACTAAGAGAATTGAACCACCGTTTTGAAGGAGCAGTTTTGAAACTCTCTTTTTCTGGAATCTGCAAGTGGATATTTGGCTAGCTTTGGGGATTTCGCTGGAAGCGGGAATACATATAAAAAGCACACAGCAGCGTTCTGAGAAACTGCTTTCTGATGTTTGCATTCAAGTCAAAAGTTGAACACTCCCTTTCATAGAGCAGTCTTGAAACACCCCTTTTGTAGTATCTGGAACTGGACTTTTGGAGCGATTTCAGGGCTAAGGTGAAAAAGGAAATATCTTCCCATAAAAACTGGACAGAAGCATTCTCAGAAACTTGTTTATGCTGTATCTACTCAACTAACAAAGTTGAACCTTTCTTTTGATAGAGCAGTTTTGAAATGGTCTTTTTGTGGAATCTGCAAGTGGATATTTGGCTAGTTTTGAGGATTTCGTTGGAAGCGGGAATTCATACAAATTGCAGACTGCAGCGTTCTGAGAAACATCTTTGTGATGTTTGTATTCAGGACACAGAGTTGAACATTCCCTATCATAGAGCAGGTTGGAATCACTCCTTTTGTAGTATCTGGAAGTGGACATTTGGAGCGCTTTCAGGCCTATTTTGGAAAGGGAAATATCTTCCCGTAACAACTATGCAGAAGCATTCTCAGAAACTTGTTTGTGATGTGTGCCCTCTACTGACAGAGTTGAACCTTTCTTTTCATAGAGCAGTTTTGAAACACTCTTTTTGTAGAATCTGCAAGAGGATATTTGCATAGCTTTGAGGATTTCGTGGGAAACGGGATTGTCTTCAGGTAAAATCTAGACAGAAGCATTCTCAGAAACTTCTTTGGGATGTTTGCATTCAAGTCACAGAGTAGAACATTCCCTTTGGTAGAGCAGGTTTGAAACACTCTTTTTGTAGTATCTGGAAGTGGACATTTGGAGCGCTTTCAGGCCCATGTTGGAAAGGGAAATATCTTCCCGTAACAACTAGGCAGAAGCATTCTCAGAAACTTATTTGAGATGTGTGGACTCAACTAAGAGAATTGAACC
Source organism: Homo sapiens (assembly GCF_000001405.40). NCBI lineage: Eukaryota > Metazoa > Chordata > Mammalia > Primates > Hominidae > Homo > Homo sapiens. Next base: position 16,694,855 of record NC_000018.10, read on the forward strand.
ACCGTTTTGAAGGAGCAGTTTTGAAACACTCTTTTTCTGGAATCGGCAAGAGTATATTTGCCTAGCCTTGAGGATTTCGTTGGAAACGGGATTGTCTTCAGATAAAATCTAGACAGAAGCATTCTCAGAAACTTCTTTGGGATGTTTGCATTCAAGTCACAGAGTAGAACATTCTGTTTGGTAGAGCAGGTTTGAAACACTCTTTTTTTAGTATATGGAAGTGGACATTTGGAGCGCTTTCAGGCCTACGTTGGAAAAGGAAATATCTTCCCATAACAACTAGACAGAAGCATTCTCAGAAACTAGTTTCTGATGTGTGTCCTCAACTAACACAGTTGAACATTTCCTTAGACAGAACAGTTTTGAAACACTCTTTTTGTGGAATCTGCAAGTGGCTATCTGGCTAGATTTGAGGATTTCGTTGGAAACGGGATTACATATAAAAAGCAGTCAGCAGCATTCTCAGAAAGTTCTTTGTGATGATTGCATTCAAGTCACAGAATTGAACATTCCCTTTCACAGAGCAGGTTTGAAACACTCTTTTTGTAGTGTGTGTAAGTGGACATTTGGAGCACTTACCGGCCTAAGGTGAAAAAGGAAATATCTTCCCATAAAAACTAGACAGAAGCATTCTCAGAAACTTACTCGTGATGTGTGTCCTCAACTAAAGGAGTACAACCTTTCTTTTCATAGAGAAGTTTTGAAACGCTCTTTTTGTGGAATCTGCAAGTGGATATTTGGCTAGTTTTGAGGATTTCGTTGGAAGCGGGAATTCATACAAATTGCAGACTGCAGCGTTCTGAGAAACATCTTTGTGATGTTTGTATTCAGGACACAGAGTTGAACATTCCCTATCATAGAGCAGGTTTGAATCACTCCTTTTGTAGTATCTGGAAGTGGACATTTGGAGCGCTTTCAGGCCTATGTTGGAAAAGGAAATATCTTCCCATAACAACTAGACAGAAGCATTCTCAGAAACTTATTTGAGATGTGTGTACTCAACTAAGAGAATTGAACCACCGTTTTGAAGGAGCAGTTTTGAAACTCTCTTTTTCTGGAATCTGCAAGTGGATATTTGGCTAGCTTTGGGGATTTCGCTGGAAGCGGGAATACATATAAAAAGCACACAGCAGCGTTCTGAGAAACTGCTTTCTGATGTTTGCATTCAAGTCAAAAGTTGAACACTCCCTTTCATAGAGCAGTCCTGAAACACCCCTTTGGTAGTATCTGGAACTGGACTTTTGGAGCGATTTCAGGGCTAAGGTGAAAAAGGAAATATCTTCCCATAAAAACTGGACAGAAGCATTCTCAGAAACTTGTTTATGCTGTATCTACTCAACTAACAAAGTTGAACCTTTCTTTTGATAGAGCAGTTTTGAAATGGTCTTTTTGTGGAATCTGCAAGTGGATATTTGGCTAGTTTTGAGGATTTCGTTGGAAGCGGGAATTCATACAAATTGCAGACTGCAGCGTTCTGAGAAACATCTTTGTGATGTTTGTATTCAGGACACAGAGTTGAACATTCCCTATCATAGAGCAGGTTGGAATCACTCCTTTTGTAGTATCTGGAAGTGGACATTTGGAGCGCTTTCAGGCCTATTTTGGAAAGGGAAATATCTTCCCGTAACAACTATGCAGAAGCATTCTCAGAAACTTGTTTGTGATGTGTGCCCTCTACTGACAGAGTTGAACCTTTCTTTTCATAGAGCAGTTTTGAAACACTCTTTTTGTAGAATCTGCAAGAGGATATTTGCATAGCTTTGAGGATTTCGTGGGAAACGGGATTGTCTTCAGGTAAAATCTAGACAGAAGCATTCTCAGAAACTTCTTTGGGATGTTTGCATTCAAGTCACAGAGTAGAACATTCCCTTTGGTAGAGCAGGTTTGAAACACTCTTTTTGTAGTATCTGGAAGTGGACATTTGGAGCGCTTTCAGGCCCATGTTGGAAAGGGAAATATCTTCCCGTAACAACTAGGCAGAAGCATTCTCAGAAACTTATTTGAGATGTGTGTACTCAACTAAGAGAATTGAACCACCGTTTTGAAGGAGCAGTTTTGAAACACTCTTTTTCTGGAATCTGCAAGAGTATATTTGCCTAGCCTTGACGATTTCGTTGGAAACGGGATTGTCTTCAGATAAAATCTAGACAGAAGCATTCTCAGAAACTTCTTTGGGATGTTTGCATTCAAGTCACAGAGTAGAACATTCCCTTTGGTAGAGCAGGTTTGAAACACTCTTTTTTTAGTATATGGAAGGACATTTGGAGCGCTTTCAGGCCTACGTTGGAAAAGGAAATCTCTTCCCATAACAACTAGACAGAAGCATTCTCAGAAACTACTTTCTGATATGTGTCCTCAACTAACACAGTTGAACTTTTCTTTAGACAGAACAGTTTTGAAACACTCTTTTTGTGGAATCTGCAAGTGGATATTGGGCTAGATTTGAGGATTTCGTTGGAAACGGGATTACATATAAAAAGCAGACAGCAGCATTCTCAGAAAGTTCTTTGTGATGATTGCATTCAAGTCACAGAATTGAACATTCCCTTTCACAGAGCAGGTTTGAAACACTCTTTTTGTAGTGTGTGTAAGTGGACATTTGGAGCGCTTTCCGGCCTAAGGTGAAAAAGGACATATCTTCCCATAAAAACTAGACAGAAGCATTCTCAGAAACTTACTCGTGATGTGTGTCCTCAACTAAAGGAGTAGAACCTTTCTTTTCATAGAGAAGTTTTGAAACGCTCTTTTTGTGGAATCTGCAAGTGGATATTTGGCTAGTTTTGAGGATTTCGTTGGAAGCGGGAATTCATACAAATTGCAGACTGCAGCGTTCTGAGAAACATCTTTGTGATGTTTGTATTCAGGACACAGAGTTGAACATTCCCTATCATAGAGCAGGTTTGAATCACTCCTTTTCTAGTATCTGGAAGTGGACATTTGGAGCGCTTTCAGGCCTATGTTGGAAAAGGAAATATCTTCCCATAACAAATAGACAGAAGCATTCTCAGAAACTTATTTGAGATGTGTGTACTCAACTAAGAGAATTGAACCACCGTTTTGAAGGAGCAGTTTTGAAACACTCTTTTTCTGGAATCTGCAAGTGGATATTTGGCTAGCTTTGGGGATTTCGCTGGAAGCGGGAATACATATAAAAAGCACACAGCAGCGTTCTGAGAAACTGCTTTCTGATGTTTGCATTCAAGTCAAAAGTTGAACACTCCCTTTCATAGAGCAGTCCTGAAACACTCCTTTTGTAGTATCTGGAACTGGACTTTTGGAGCGCTTTCAGGGCTAAGGTGAAAAAGGAAATATCTTCCCATAAAAACTGGACAGAAGCATTCTCAGAAACTTGTTTATGCTGTATCTACTCAACTAACAAAGTTGAACATTTCTTTTGATAGAGCAGTTTTGAAATGCTCTTTTTGTGGAATCTGCAAGTGGATATTTGGCTAGTTTTGAGGATTTCATTGGAAGCGGGAATTCATACAAATTGCAGACTGCCAGCGTTCTGAGAAACTTCTTTGTGATGTTTGTATTCAGGACACAGAGTTGAACATTCCCTATCATAGAGCAGGTTGGAATCACTCCTTTTGTAGTATCTGGAAGTGGACATTTGGAGCGCTTTCAGGCCTATGTTGAAAAAGGAAATATCTTCCCATAACAAGTAGACACAGCATTCTCAGAAACTTGTTTGTGATGTGTGCCCTCTACTGACAGAGTTGAACCTTTCTTTTCATAGAGCAGTTTTGAAACACTCTTTTTGTAGAATCTGCAAGAGGATATTTGCATAGCTTTGAGGATTTCGTGGGAAACGGGATTGTCTTCAGGTAAAATCTAGACAGAAGCATTCTCAGAAACTTCTTTGGGATGTTTGCATTCAAGTCACAGAGTAGAACATTCCCTTTGGTAGAGCAGGTTTGAAACACTCTTTTTGTAGTATCTGGAAGTGGACATTTGGAGCGCTTTCAGGCCTATGTTGGAAAGGGAAATATCTTCCCGTAACAACTAGGCAGAAGCATTCTCAGAAACTTATTTGAGATGTGTGTACTCAACTAAGAGAATTGAACCACCGTTTTGAAGGAGCAGTTTTGAAACACTCTTTTTCTGGAATCTGCAAGAGGATATTTGCCTAGCCTTGAGGATTTCGTTGGAAACGGGATTGTCTTCAGATCAAATCTAGACAGAAGCATTCTCAGAAACTTCTTTGGGATGTTTGCATTCAAGTCACAGAGTAGAACATTCCCTTTGGTAGAGCAGGTTTGAAACACTCTTTTTGTAGTGTGTGTAAGTGAACATTTGGAGCGCTTTCAGGCCTACGTTGGAAAAGGAAATATCTTCCCATAACAACTAGACAGAAGCATTCTCAGAAACTAGTTTCTGATGTGTGTCCTCAACTAACACAGTTGAACATTTCTTTAGACAGAACAGTTTTGAAACACTCTTTTTGTGGAATCTGCAAGTGGATATTTGGCTAGATTTGAGGATTTCGTTGGAAACGGTATTACATATAAAAAGCAGACAGCAGCATTCTCAGAAAGTTCTTTGTGATGATTGCATTCAAGTCACAGAATTGAACATTCCCTTTCACAGAGCAGGTTTGAAACACTCTTTTTGTAGTGTGTGTAAGTGGACATTTGGAGCACTTACCGGCCTAAGGTGAAAAAGGAAATATCTTCCCATAAAAACTAGACAGAAGCATTCTCAGAAACTTACTCGTGATGTGTGTCCTCAACTAAAGGAGTAGAACCTTTCTTTTCATAGAGAAGTTTTGAAACGCTCTTTTTGTGGAATCTGCAAGTGGATATTTGGCTAGTTTTGAGGATTTCGTTGGAAGCGGGAATTCATACAAATTGCAGACTGCAGCGTTCTGAGAAACATCTTTGTGATGTTTGTATTCAGGACACAGAGTTGAACATTCCCTATCATAGAGCAGGTTGGAATCACTCCTTTTGTAGTATCTGGAAGTGGACATTTGGAGCGCTTTCAGGCCTATGTTGGAAAAGGAAATATCTTCCCATAACAACTAGACAGGAGCATTCTCAGAAACTTATTTGAGATGTGTGTACTCAACTAAGAGAATTGAACCACCGTTTTGAAGGAGCAGTTTTGAAACACTCTTTTTCTGGAATCTGCAAGTGGATATTTGGCTAGCTTTGGGGATTTCGCTGGAAGCGGGAATACATATAAAAAGCACACAGCAGCGTTCTGAGAAACTGCTTTCTGATGTTTGCATTCAAGTCAAAAGTTGAACACTCCCTTTCATAGAGCAGTCCTGAAACACTCCTTTTGTAGTATCTGGAACTGGACTTTTGGAGCGCTTTCAGGGCTAAGGTGAAAAAGGAAATATCTTCCCATAAAAACTGGACAGAAGCATTCTCAGAAACTTGTTTATGCTGTATCTACTCAACTAACAAAGTTGAACCTTTCTTTTGACAGAGCAGTTTTGAAATGCTCTTTTTGTGGAATCTGCAAGTGGATATTTGGCTAGTTTTGAGGATTTCGTTGGAAGCGGGAATTCATACAAATTGCAGACTGCAGCGTTCTGAGAAACATCTTTGTGATGTTTGTATTCAGGACACAGAGATGAACATTCCCTATCATAGAGCAGGTTGGAATCACTCCTTTTGTAGTATCTGGGACATTTGGAGCGCTTTCAGGCCTATGTTGAAAAAGGAAATATCTTCCCATAACAACTAGACACAAGCATTCTCAGAAACTTGTTTGTGATGTGTGCCCTCTACTGACAGAGTTGAACCTTTCTTTTCATAGAGCAGTTTTGAAACACTCTTTTTGTAGAATCTGCAAGAGGATATTTGCATAGCTTTGAGGATTTCGTGGGAAACGGGATTGTCTTCAGGTAAAATCTAGACAGAAGCATTCTCAGAAACTTCTTTGGGATGTTTGCATTCAAGTCACAGAGTAGAACATTCCCTTTGGTAGAGTAGGTTTGAAACACTGTTTTTGTAGTATCTGGAAGTGGACATTTGGAGCGCTTTCAGGCCCATGTTGGAAAGGGAAATATCTTCCCGTAACAACTAGGCAGAAGCATTCTCAGAAACTTATTTGAGATGCGTGGACTCAACTAAGAGAATTGAACCACCGTTTTGAAGGAGCAGTTTTGAAACACTCTTTTTCTGGAATCTGAAAGAGTATATTTGCCTAGCCTTGAGAATTTCGTTGGAAACGGGATTGTCTTCAGATAAAATCTAGACAGAAGCATTCTCAGCAAACTTCTTTGGGATGTTTGCATTCAAGTCACAGAGTAGAACATTTACTTTGGTAGAGCAGGTTTGAAACACTCTTTTTGTAGTGTGTGTAAGTGGACATTTGGAGCGCTTTCAGGCCTACGTTGGAAAAGCAAATGTCTTCCCATAACAACTAGACAGAAGCATTCTCAGAAACTAGTTTCTGATGTGTGTCCTCAACTAACACAGTTGAACATTTCTTTAGACAGAACAGTTTTGAAACACTCTTTTTGTGGAATCTGCAAGTGGCTATTTGGCTAGATTTGAGGATTTCGTTGGAAACGGGATTACATATAAAAAGCAGACAGCAGCATTCTCAGAAACTTCTTTGTGATGATTGCATTCAAGTCACAGTATTGAACATTCCCTTTCACAGAGCAGGTTTGAAACACTCTTTGTATAGTGTGTGTAAGTGGACATTTGGAGCACTTTCCGGCCTAAGGTGAAAAAGGAAATATCTTCCCATAAAAACTAGACAGAAGCATTCTCAGAAACTTACTCGTGATGTGTGTCCTCAACTAAAGAAGTGGAACCTTTCTTTTCATAGATAAGTTTTGAAACGCTCTTTTTGTGGAATCTGCAAGTGGATATTTGGCTAGTTTTGAGGATTTCGTTGGAAGCGGGAATTCATACAAATTGCAGACTGCAGCGTTCTGAGAAACATCTTTGTGATGTTTGTATTCAGGACACAGAGTTGAACATTCCCTATCATAGAGCAGGTTGGAATCACTCCTTTTGTAGTATCTGGAAGTGGACATTTGGAGCGCTTTCAGGCCTATGTTGAAAAAGGAAATATCTTCCCATAACAACTAGACACAAGCATTCTCAGAAACTTGTTTGTGATGTGTGCCCTCTACTGACAGAGTTGAACCTTTCTTTTCATAGAGCAGTTTTGAAACACTCTTTTTGTAGAATCTGCAAGAGGATATTTGCATAGCTTTGAGGATTTCGTGGGAAACGGGATTGTCTTCAGGCAAAATCTAGACAGAAGCATTCTCAGAAACTTCTTTGGGATGTTTGCATTCAAGTCACAGAGTAGAACATTCCCTTTGGTAGAGCAGGTTTGAAACACTCTTTTTGTAGTATCTGGAAGTGGACATTTGGAGCGCTTTCAGGCCCATGTTGGAAAGGGAAATATCTTTCCCGTAACAACTAGGCAGAAAGCATTCTCAGAAACTTATTTGAGATGTGTGTACTCAACTAAGTAGCAATTGAACCACCGTTTTGAAGGAGCAGTTTTGAAACACTCTTTTTCTGGAATCTGCAAGAGGATATTTGCCTAGCCTTGAGGATTTCGTTGGAAACGGGATTGTCTTCAGATCAAATCTAGACAGAAGCATTCTCAGAAACTTCTTTGGGATGTTTGCATTCAAGTCACAGAGTAGAACATTCCCTTTGGTAGAGCAGGTGTGAAACACTCTTTTTTTAGTATATGGAAGTGGACATTTGGAGCGCTTTCAGGCCTACGTTGGAAAAGGAAATATCTTCCCATAACAACTAGACAGAAGCATTCTCAGAAACTAGTTTCTGATGTGTGTCCTCAACTAACACAGTTGAACATTTCTTTAGACAGAACAGTTTTGAAACTCTCTTTTTGTGGAATCTGCAAGTGGCTATTTGGCTAGATTTGAGGATTTCGTTGGAAACGGGATTACATATAAAAAGCAGACAGCAGCATTCTCAGAAAGTTCTTTGTGATGATTGCATTCAAGTCACAGAATTGAACATTCCCTTTCACAGAGCAGGTTTGAAACACTCTTTTTGTAGTGTGTGTAAGTGGACATTTGGAGCACTTTCCGGCCTAAGGTGAGAAAGGAAATATCTTCCCATAAAAACTAGACAGAAGCATTCTCAGAAACTTACTCGTGATGTGTGTCCTCAACTAAAGGAGTAGAACCTTTCTTTCATAGAGAAGTTTTGAAACGCTCTTTTTGTGGAATCTGCAAGTGGATATTTGGCTAGTTTGGAGGATTTCGTTGGAAGCGGGAATTCTTACAAATTGCAGACTGCAGCGTTCTGAGAAACATCTTTGTGATGTTTGTATTCAGGACACAGAGTTGAACATTCCCTATCATAGAGCAGGTTGGAATCACTCCTTTTGTAGTATCTGGAAGTGGACATTTGGAGCGCTTTCAGGCCTATGTTGGAAAAGGAAATATCTTCCCATAACAACTAGACAGAAGCATTCTCAGAAACTTATTTGAGATGTGTGTACTCAACTAAGAGAATTGAACCACCGTTTTGAAGGAGCAGTTTTGAAACACTCTTTTTCTGGAATCTGCAAGTGGCTATTTGGCTAGCTTTGGGGATTTCGCTGGAAGCGGGAATACATATAAAAAGCACACAGCAGCGTTCTGAGAAACTGCTTTCTGATGTTTGCATTCAAGTCAAAAGTTGAACACTCCCTTTCATAGAGCAGTCCTGAAACACTCCTTTTGTAGTATCTGGAACTGGACTTTTGGAGCGCTTTCAGGGCTAAGGTGAAAAAGGAAATATCTTCCCATAAAAACTGGACAGAAGCATTCTCAGAAACTTGTTTATGCTGTATCTACTCAACTAACAAAGTTGAACCTTTCTTTTGATAGAGCAGTTTTGAAATGGTCTTTTTGTGGAATCTGCAAGTGGATATTTGGCTAGTTTTGAGGATTTCGTTGGAAGCGGGAATTCATACAAATTGCAGACTGCAGCGTTCTGAGAAACATCTTTGTGATGTTTGTATTCAGGACACAGAGTTGAACATTCCCTATCATAGAGCAGGTTGGAATCACTCCTTTTGTAGTATCTGGAAGTGGACATTTGGAGCGCTTTCAGGACTATTTTGGAAAGGGAAATATCTTCCCGTAACAACTATGCAGAAGCATTCTCAGAAACTTGTTTGTGATGTGTGCCCTCTACTGACAGAGTTGAACCTTTCTTTTCATAGAGCAGTTTTGAAACACTCTTTTTGTAGAATCTGCAAGAGGATATTTGCATAGCTTTGAGGATTTCGTGGGAAACGGGATTGTCTTCAGGTAAAATCTAGACAGAAGCATTCTCAGAAACTTCTTTGGGATGTTTGCATTCAAGTCACAGAGTAGAACATTCCCTTTGGTAGAGCAGGTTTGAAACACTCTTTTTGTAGTATCTGGAAGTGGACATTTGGAGCGCTTTCAGGCCCATGTTGGAAAGGGAAATATCTTCCCGTAACAACTAGGCAGAAGCATTCTCAGAAACTTATTTGAGATGTGTGTACTCAACTAAGAGAATTGAACCACCGTTTTGAAGGAGCAGTTTTGAAACACTCTTTTTCTGGAATCTGCAAGAGTATATTTGCCTAGCCTTGAGGATTTCGTTGGAAACGGGATTGTCTTCAGATCAAATCTAGACAGAAGCATTCTCAGAAACTTCTTTGGGATGTTTGCATTCAAGTCACAGAGTAGAACATTCCCTTTGGTAGAGCAGGTTTGAAACACTCTTTTTTTAGTATATGGAAGTGGACATTTGGAGCGCTTTCAGGCCTACGTTGGAAAAGGAAATATCTTCCCATAACAACTAGACAGAAGCATTCTCAGAAACTAGTTTCTGATGTGTGTCCTCAACTAACACAGTTGAACATTTCTTTAGACAGAACAGTTTTGAAACACTCTTTTTGTGGAATCTGCAAGTGGCTATTTGGCTAGATTTGAGGATTTCGTTGGAAACGGGATTACATATAAAAAGCAGACAGCAGCATTCTCAGAAAGTTCTTTGTGATGATTGCATTCAAGTCACAGAATTGAACATTCCCTTTCACAGAGCAGGTTTGAAACACTCTTTTTGTAGTGTGTGTAAGTGGACATTTGGAGCACTTTCCGGCCTAAGGTGAAAAAGGAAATATCTTCCCATAAAAACTAGACAGAAGCATTCTCAGAAACTTACTCGTGATGTGTGTCCTCAACTAAAGGAGTAGAACCTTTCTTTTCATAGAGAAGTTTTGAAACGCTCTTTTTGTGGAATCTGCAAGTGGATATTTGGCTAGTTTTGAGGATTTCGTTGGAAGCGGGAATTCATACAAATTGCAGACTGCAGCGTTCTGAGAAACATCTTTGTGATGTTTGTATTCAGGACACAGAGTTGAACATTCCCTATCATAGAGCAGGTTGGAATCACTCCTTTTGCAGTATCTGGAAGTGGACATTTGGAGCGCTTTCAGGCCTATGTTGGAAAAGGAAATATCTTCCCATAACAACTAGACAGAAGCATTCTCAGAAACTTATTTGAGATGTGTGTACTCAACTAAGAGAATTGAACCACCGTTTTGAAGGAGCAGTTTTGAAACACTCTTTTTCTGGAATCTGCAAGTGGATATTTGGCTAGCTTTGGGGATTTCGCTGGAAGCGGGAATACATATAAAAAGCACACAGCAGCGTTCTGAGAAACTGCTTTCTGATGTTTGCATTCAAGTCAAAAGTTGAACACTCCCTTTCATAGAGCAGTCCTGAAACACTCCTTTTGTAGTATCTGGAACTGGACTTTTGGAGCGCTTTCAGGGCTAAGGTGAAAAAGGAAATATCTTCCCATAAAAACTGGACAGAAGCATTCTCAGAAACTTGTTTATGCTGTATCTACTCAACTAACAAAGTTGAACCTTTCTTTTGATAGAGCAGTTTTGAAATGCTCTTTTTGTGGAATCTGCAAGTGGATATTTGGCTAGTTTTGAGGATTTCGTTGGAAGCGGGAATTCATACAAATTGCAGACTGCCAGCGTTCTGAGAAACATCTTTGTGATGTTTGTATTCAGGACACAGAGTTGAACATTCCCTATCATAGAGCAGGTTGGAATCACTCCTTTTGTAGTATCTGGAAGTGGACATTTGGAGCGCTTTCAGGCCTATGTTGGAAAAGGAAATATCTTCCCATAACAACTAGACAGAGCATTCTCAGAAACTTATTTGAGATGTGTGTACTCAACTAAGAGAATTGAACCACCGTTTTGAAGGAGCAGTTTTGAAACTCTCTTTTTCTGGAATCTGCAAGTGGATATTTGGCTAGCTTTGGGGATTTCGCTGGAAGCGGGAATACATATAAAAAGCACACAGCAGCGTTCTGAGAAACTGCTTTCTGATGTTTGCATTCAAGTCAAAAGTTGAACACTCCCTTTCATAGAGCAGTCTTGAAACACCCGTTTTGTAGTATCTGGAACTGGACTTTTGGAGCGATTTCAGGGCTAAGGTGAAAAAGGAAATATCTTCCCATAAAAACTGGACAGAAAGCATTCTCAGAAACTTATTTGAGATGTGTGTACTCAACTAAGAGAATTGAACCACCGTTTTGAAGGAGCAGTTTTGAAACTCTCTTTTTCTGAAATCTGCAAGTGGATATTTGGCTAGCTTTGGGGATTTCGCTGGAAGCGGGAATACATATAAAAAGCACACAGCAGCGTTCTGAGAAACTGCTTTCTGATGTTTGCATTCAAGTCAAAAGTTGAACACTCCCTTTCATAGAGCAGTCTTGAAACACCCCTTTTGTAGTATCTGGAACTGGACTTTTGGAGCGATTTCAGGGCTAAGGTGAAAAAGGAAATATCTTCCCATAAAAACTGGACAGAAGCATTCTCAGAAACTTGTTTATGCTGTATCTACTCAACTAACAAAGTTGAACCTTTCTTTTGATAGAGCAGTTTTGAAATGGTCTTTTTGTGGAATCTGCAAGTGGATATTTGGCTAGTTTTGAGGATTTCGTTGGAAGCGGGAATTCATACAAATTGCAGACTGCAGCGTTCTGAGAAACATCTTTGTGATGTTTGTATTCAGGACACAGAGTTGAACATTCCCTATCATAGAGCAGGTTGGAATCACTCCTTTTGTAGTATCTGGAAGTGGACATTTGGAGCGCTTTCAGGCCTATTTTGGAAAGGGAAATATCTTCCCGTAACAACTATGCAGAAGCATTCTCAGAAACTTGTTTGTGATGTGTGCCCTCTACTGACAGAGTTGAACCTTTCTTTTCATAGAGCAGTTTTGAAACACTCTTTTTGTAGAATCTGCAAGAGGATATTTGCATAGCTTTGAGGATTTCGTGGGAAACGGGATTGTCTTCAGGTAAAATCTAGACAGAAGCATTCTCAGAAACTTCTTTGGGATGTTTGCATTCAAGTCACAGAGTAGAACATTCCCTTTGGTAGAGCAGGTTTGAAACACTCTTTTTGTAGTATCTGGAAGTGGACATTTGGAGCGCTTTCAGGCCTATGTTGGAAAGGGAAATATCTTCCCGTAACAACTAGGCAGAAGCATTCTCAGAAACTTATTTGAGATGTGTGTACTCAACTAAGAGAATTGAACCACCGTTTTGAAGGAGCAGTTTTGAAACACTCTTTTTCTGGAATCTGCAAGAGGATATTTGCCTAGCCTTGAGGATTTCGTTGGAAACGGGATTGTCTTCACATCAAATCTAGACAGAAGCATTCTCAGAAACTTCTTTGGGATGTTTGCATTCAAGTCACAGAGTAGAACATTCCCTTTGGTAGAGCAGGTTTGAAACACTCTTTTTTTAGTATATGGAAGTGGACATTTGGAGCGCTTTCAGGCCTACGTTGGAAAAGGAAATATCTTCCCATAACAACTAGACAGAAGCATTCTCAGAAACTAGTTTCTGATGTGTGTCCTCAACTAACACAGTTGAACATTTCTTTAGACAGAACAGTTTTGAAACACTTTTTGTGGAATCTGCAAGTGGCTATTTGGCTAGATTTGAGGATTTCGTTGGAAACGGGATTACATATAAAAAGCAGACAGCAGCATTCTCAGAAAGTTCTTTGTGATGATTGCATTCAAGTCACAGAATTGAACATTCCCTTTCACAGAACAGGTTTGAAACACTCTTTTTGTAGTGTGTGTAAGTGGACATTTGGAGCACTTTCCGGCCTAAGGTGAAAAAGGAAATATCTTCCCATAAAAACTAGACAGAAGCATTCTCAGAAACTTACTCGTGATGTGTGTCCTCAACTAAAGGAGTAGAACCTTTCTTTTCATAGAGAAGTTTTGAAACCCTCTTTTTGTGGAATCTGCAAGTGGATATTTGGCTAGTTTTGAGGATTTCGTTGGAAGCGGGAATTCATACAAATTGCAGACTGCAGCGCTCTGAGAAACATCTTTGTGATGTTTGTATTCAGGACACAGAGTTGAACATTCCCTATCATAGAGCAGGTTTGAATCACTCCTTTTGTAGTATCTGGAAGTGGACATTTGGAGCGCTTTCAGGCCTATGTTGGAAAAGGAAATATCTTCCCATAACAACTAGACAGAAGCATTCTCAGAAACTTATTTGAGATGTGTGTACGCAACTAGGAGAATTGAACCACCGTTTTGAAGGAGCAGTTTTGAAACACTCTTTTTCTGGAATCTGCAAGTGGATATTTGGCTAGCTTTGGGGATTTCGCTGGAAGCGGGAATACATATAAAAAGCACACAGCAGCGTTCTGAGAAACTGCTTTCTGATGTTTGCATTCAAGTCAAAAGTTGAACACTCCCTTTCATAGAGCAGTCTTGAAACACCCCTTTTGTAGTATCGGGAACTGGACATTTGGAGCGCTTTCAGGGCTAAGGTGAAAAAGGAAATATCTTCCCATAAAAACTGGACAGAAGCATTCTCAGAAACTTGTTTATGCTGTATCTACTCAACTAACAAAGTTGAACCTTTCTTTTGATAGAGCAGTTTTGAAATGCTCTTTTTGTGGAATCTGCAAGTGGATATTTGGCTAGTTTTGAGGATTTCGTTGGAAGCGGGAATTCATACAAATTGCAGACTGCAGCGTTCTGAGAAACATCTTTGTGATGTTTGTATTCAGGACAGAGAGTTGAACATTCCCTATCATAGAGCAGGTTGGAATCACTCCTTTTGTAGTATCTGGAAGTGGACATTTGGAGCACTTTCCGGCCTAAGGTGAAAAAGGAAATATCTTCCCATAAAAACTAGACAGAAGCATTCTGAGAAACTTACTCGTGATGTGTGTCCTCCACTAAATGAGTAGAACCTTTCTTTTCATAGAGAAGTTTTGAAACGCTCTTTTTGTAGAATCTGCAAGAGGATATTTGCATAGCTTTGAGGATTTCGTGGGAAACGGGATTGTCTTCAGGTAAAATCTAGACAGAAGCATTCTCAGAAACTTCTTTGGGATGTTTGCATTCAAGTCACAGAGCAGAACATTCCCTTTGGTAGAGCAGGTTTGAAACACTCTTTTTGTAGTATCTGGAAGTGGACATTTGGAGCGCTTTCAGGCCTATGTTGGAAAGGGAAATATCTTCCCGTAACAACTAGGCAGAAGCATTCTCAGAAACTTATTTGAGATGTGTGTACTCAACTAAGAGAATTGAACCACCGTTTTGAAGGAGCAGTTTTGAAACACTCTTTTTCTGGAATCTGCAAGAGGATATTTGCCTAGCCTTGAGGATTTCGTTGGAAACGGGATTGTCTTCAGATCAAATCTAGACAGAAGCATTCTCAGAAACTTCTTTGGGATGTTTGCATTCATGTCACAGAGTAGAACATTCCCTTTGGTAGAGCAGGTTTGAAACACTCTTTTTTTAGTATATGGAAGTGGACATTTGGAGCGCTTTCAGGCCTACGTTGGAAAAGGAAATATCTTCCCATAACAACTAGACAGAAGCATTCTCAGAAACTAGTTTCTGATGTGTGTCCTCAACTAACACAGTTGAACATTTCTTTAGACAGAACAGTTTTGAAACACTCTTTTTGTGGAATCTGCAAGTGGCTATTTGGCTAGATTTGAGGATTTCGTTGGAAACGGGATTACATATAAAAAGCAGACAGCAGCATTCTCAGAAAGTTCTTTGTGATGATTGCATTCAAGTCACAGAATTGAACATTCCCTTTCACAGAGCAGGTTTGAAACACTCTTTTTGTAGTGTGTGTAAGTGGACATTTGGAGCACTTTCCGGCCTAAGGTGAAAAAGGAAATATCTTCCCATAAAAACTAGACAGAAGCATTCTCAGAAACTTACTCGTGATGTGTGTCCTCAACTAAAGGAGTAGAACCTTTGTTTTCATAGAGAAGTTTTGAAACGCTCTTTTTGTGGAATCTGCAAGTGGATATTTGGCTAGTTTGGAGGATTTCGTTGGAAGCGGGAATTCATACAAATTGCAGACTGCAGCATTCTCAGAAACTTCTTAGGGATGTTTGAATTCAAGTCACAGTAGTAGAACATTCCCTTTGGTAGAGCAGGTTTGAAACACTCTTTTTTTAGTATATGGAAGTGGACATTTGGAGTGCTTTCAGGCCTACGTTCGAAAAGGAAATATCTTCCCATAACAACTAGACAGAAGCATTCTCAGAAACTAGTTTCTGATGTGTGTCCTCAGCTAACACAGTTGAACTTTTCTTTAGACAGAACAGTTTGGAAACACTCTTTTTGTGGAATCTGCAAGTGGATATTTGGCTAGATTTGAGGATTTCGTTGGAAACGGGATTACATATAAAAAGCAGACTGCAGCATTCTCAGAAAGTTCTTTGTGATGATTGCATTCAAGTCACAGAATTGAACATTCCCTTTCACAGAGCAGGTTTGAAACACTCTTTTTGTAGTGTGTGTAAGTGGACATTTGGAGCGCTTTCCGGCCTAAGGTGAAAAAGGACATATCTTCCCATAAAAACTAGACAGAAGCATTCTCAGAAACTTACTCGTGATGTGTGTCCTCAACTAAAGGAGTAGAACCTTTCTATTCATAGAGAAGTTTTGAAACGCTCTTTTTGTGGAATCTCCAAGTGGATATTTGGCTAGTTTTGAGGATTTCGTTGGAAGCGGGAATTCATCCAAATTGCAGACTGCAGCGTTCTGAGGAACATCTTTGTGATGTTTGTATTCAGGACACAGAGATGAACATTCCCTATCATAGAGCAGGTTGGAATCACTCCTTTTGTACTATCTGGAAGTGGACATTTGGAGCGCTTTCAGGCCTATGTTGAAAAAGGAAATATCTTCCCATAACAACTAGACACAAGCGTTCTCAGAAACTTGTTTGTGATGTGTGCCCTCTACTGACAGAGTTGAACCTTTCTTTTCATAGAGCAGTTTTGAAACACTCTTTTTGTAGAATCCGCAAGAGGATATTTGCATAGCTTTGAGGATTTCGTGGGAAACGGGATTGTCTTCAGGTAAAATCTAGACAGAAGCATTCTCAGAAACTTCTTTGGGATGTTTGCATTCAAGTCACAGAGTAGAACATTCCCTTTGGTAGAGCAGGTTTGAAACACTCTTTTTGTAGTATCTGGAAGTGGACATTTGGAGCGCTTTCAGGCCCATGTTGGAAAGGGAAATATCTTCCCGTAACAACTAGGCAGAAGCATTCTCAGAAACTTATTTGAGATGTGTGTACTCAACTAAGAGAATTGAACCACCGTTTTGAAGGAGCAGTTTTGAAACACTCTTTTTCTGGAATCTGCAAGAGTATATTTGCCTAGCCTTGAGGATTTCGTTGGAAACGGGATTGTCTTCAGATAAAATCTAGACAGAAGCATTCTCAGAAACTTCTTTGGGATGTTTGCATTCAAGTCACAGAGTAGAACATTCCCTTTGGTAGAGCAGGTTTGAAACACTCTTTTTTTAGTATATGGAAGTGGACAATTGGAGCGCTTTCAGGCCTAGGTTTGAAAAGGAAATATCTTCCCATAACAACTTGACAGAAGCATTCTCAGAAACTAGTTTCTGATGTGTGTCCTCAACTAACACAGTTGAACTTTTCTTTAGACAGAACAGTTTTGAAACACTCTTTTTGTGGAATCTGCAAGTGGATATTGGGCTAGATTTGAGGATTTCGTTGGAAACGGGATTACATATAAAAAGCAGACAGCAGCATTCTCAGAAAGTTCTTTGTGATGATTGCATTCAAGTCACAGAATTGAACATTCCCTTTCACAGAGCAGGTTTGAAACACTCTTTTTGTAGTGTGTGTAAGTGGACATTTTGAGCGCTTTCCGGCCTAAGGTGAAAAAGGAAATATCTTCCCATAAAAACTAGACAGAAGCATTCTCAGAAACTTACTCGTGATGTGTGTCCTCAACTAAAGGAGCAGAACCTTTCTATTCATAGAGAAGTTTTGAAACGCTCTTTTTGTGGAATCTCCAAGTGGATATTTGGCTAGTTTTGAGGATTTCGTTGGAAGCGGGAATTCATACAAATTGCAGACTGCAGCGTTCTGAGAAACTGCTTTCTGATGTTTGCATTCAAGTCAAAAGTTGAACACTGCCTTTCATAGAGCAGTCCTGAAACACTCCTTTTGTAGTATCTGGAACTGGACTTTTGGAGCGCTTTCAGGGCTAAGGTGAAAAAGGAAATATCTTCCCATAAAAACTGGACAGAAGCATTCTCAGAAACTTATTTGAGATGTGTGTACTCAACTAAGAGAATTGAACCACCGTTTTGAAGGAGCAGTTTTGAAACACTCTTTTTCTGGAATCTGCAAGTGGATATTTGGCTAGCTTAGGGGATTTCGCTGGAAGCGGGAATACATATAAAAAGCACACAGCAGCGTTCTGAGAAACTTCTTTCTGATGTTCGCATTCAAGTCAAAAGTTGAACACTCCCTGTCATAGAGCAGTCTTGAAACTCCCCTTTTGTGGTATCTGGAAGTGGACATTTGGAGTGCTTTCAGGGCTAAGGTGAAAAAGGAAATATCTTCCCATAAAAACTGGACAGAAGCATTCTCAGAAACTTGTTTATGCTGTATCTACTCAACTAACAAAGTTGAACCTTTCTTTTGATAGAGCAGTTTTGAAATGGTCTTTTTGTGGAATCTGCAAGTGGATATTTGGCTAGTTTTGAGGATTTCGTTGGAAGCGGGAATTCATACAAATTGCAGACTGCAGCGTTCTGAGAAACATCTTTGTGATGTTTGTATTCAGGACACAGAGTTGAACATTCCCTATCATAGAGCAGGTTGGAATCACTCCTTTTGTAGTATCTGGAAGTGGACATTTGGAGTGCTTTCAGGCCTATGTTGGAAAAGGAAATATCTTCCCATAACAACTAGACAGAAGCATTCTCAGAAACTTATTTGAGATGTGTGTACTCAACTAAGAGAATTGAACCACCGTTTTGAAGGAGCAGTTTTGACACACTCTTTTTCTGGAATCTGCAAGTGGATATTTGGCTAGCTTTGGGGATTTCGCTGGAAGCGGGAATACATATAAAAAGCACACAGCAGCGTTCTGAGAAACTGCTTTCTGATGTTTGCATTCAAGTCAAAAGTTGAACACTCCCTTTCATAGAGCAGTCTTGAAACACCCCTTTTGTAGTATCTGGAACTGGACTTTTGGAGCGATTTCAGGGCTAAGGTGAAAAAGGAAATATCTTCCCATAAAAACTGGACAGAAGCATTCTCAGAAACTTGTTTATGCTGTATCTACTCAACTAACAAAGTTGAACCTTTCTTTTGATAGAGCAGTTTTGAAATGGTCTTTTTGTGGAATCTGCAAGTGGATATTTGGCTAGTTTTGAGGATTTCGTTGGAAGCGGGAATTCATACAAATTGCAGACTGCAGCGTTCTGAGAAACATCTTTGTGATGTTTGTATTCAGGACACAGAGTTGAACATTCCCTATCATAGAGCAGGTTGGAATCACTCCTTTTGTAGTATCTGGAAGTGGACATTTGGAGCGCTTTCAGGCCTATTTTGGAAAGGGAAATATCTTCCCGTAACAACTATGCAGAAGCATTCTCAGAAACTTGTTTGTGATGTGTGCCCTCTACTGACAGAGTTGAACCTTTCTTTTCATAGAGCAGTTTTGAAACACTCTTTTTGTAGAATCTGCAAGAGGATATTTGCATAGCTTTGAGGATTTCGTGGGAAACGGGATTGTCTTCAGGTAAAATCTAGACAGAAGCATTCTCAGAAACTTCTTTGGGATGTTTGCATTCAAGTCACAGAGTAGAACATTCCCTTTGGTAGAGCAGGTTTGAAACACTCTTTTTGTAGTATCTGGAAGTGGACATTTGGAGCGCTTTCAGGCCTATGTTGGAAAGGGAAATATCTTCCCGTAACAACTAGGCAGAAGCATTCTCAGAAACTTATTTGAGATGTGTGTACTCAACTAAGAGAATTGAACCACCGTTTTGAAGGAGCAGTTTTGAAACACTCTTTTTCTGGAATCTGCAAGAGGATATTTGCCTAGCCTTGAGGATTTCGTTGGAAACGGGATTGTCTTCAGATCAAATCTAGACAGAAGCATTCTCAGAAACTTCTTTGGGATGTTTGCATTCAAGTCACAGAGTAGAACATTCCCTTTGGTAGAGCAGGTTTGAAACACTCTTTTTTTAGTATATGGAAGTGGACATTTGGAGCGCTTTCAGGCCTACGTTGGAAAAGGAAATATCTTCCCATAACAACTAGACAGAAGCATTCTCAGAAACTAGTTTCTGATGTGTGTCCTCAACTAACACAGTTGAACATTTCTTTAGACAGAACAGTTTTGAAACTCTCTTTTTGTGGAATCTGCAAGTGGCTATTTGGCTAGATTTGAGGATTTCGTTGGAAACGGGATTACATATAAAAAGCAGACAGCAGCATTCTCAGAAAGTTCTTTGTGATGATTGCATTCAAGTCACAGAATTGAACATTCCCTTTCACAGAGCAGGTTTGAAACACTCTTTTTGTAGTGTGTGTAAGTGGACATTTGGAGCACTTTCCGGCCTAAGGTGAAAAAGGAAATATCTTCCCTTAAAAACTAGACAGAAGCATTCTCAGAAACTTACTCGTGATGTGTGTCCTCAACTAAAGGAGTAGAACCTTTCTTTTCATAGAGAAGTTTTGAAACGCTCTTTTTGTGGAATCTGCAAGTGGATATTTGGCTAGTTTGGAGGATTTCGTTGGAAGCGGGAATTCATACAAATTGCAGACTGCAGCGTTCTGAGAAACATCTTTGTGATGTTTGTATTCAGGACACAGAGTTGAACATTCCCTATCATAGAGCAGGTTGGAATCACTCCTTTTGTAGTATCTGGAAGTGGACATTTGGAGCGCTTTCAGGCCTATGTTGGAAAAGGAAATATCTTCCCATAACAACTAGACAGAAGCATTCTCAGAAACTTATTTGAGATGTGTGTACTCAACTAAGAGAATTGAACCACCGTTTTGAAGGAGCAGTTTTGAAACACTCTTTTTCTGGAATCTGCAAGTGGATATTTGGCTAGCTTTGGGGATTTCGCTGGAAGCGGGAATACATATAAAAAGCACACAGCAGCGTTCTGAGAAACTGCTTTCTGATGTTTGCATTCAAGTCAAAAGTTGAACACTCCCTTTCATAGAGCAGTCCTGAAACACTCCTTTTGTAGTATCTGGAACTGGACTTTTGGAGCGCTTTCAGGGCTAAGGTGAAAAAGGAAATATCTTCCCATAAAAACTGGACAGAAGCATTCTCAGAAACTTGTTTATGCTGTATCTACTCAACTAACAAAGTTGAACCTTTCTTTTGATAGAGCAGTTTTGAAATGCTCTTTTTGTGGAATCTGCAAGTGGATATTTGGCTAGTTTTGAGGATTTCGCTGGAAGCGGGAATTCATACAAATTGCAGACTGCAGCGTTCTGAGAAACATCTTTGTGATGTTTGTATTCAGGACAGAGAGTTGAACATTCCCTATCATAGAGCAGGTTGGAATCACTCCTTTTGTAGTATCTGGAAGTGGACATTTGGAGCGCTTTCAGGCCTATGTTGAAAAAGGAAATATCTTCCCATAACAACTAGACACAAGCATTCTCAGAAACTTGTTTGTGATGTGTGCCCTCTAGTGACAGAGTTGAACCTTTCTTTTCATAGAGCAGTTTTGAAACACTCTTTTTGTAGAATCTGCAAGAGGATATTTGAATAGCTTTGAGGATTTCGTGGGAAACGGGATTGTCTTCAGGTAAAATCTAGACAGAAGCATTCTCAGAAACTTCTTTGGGATGTTTGCATTCAAGTCACAGAGTAGAACATTCCCTTTGGTAGAGCAGGTTTGAAACACTCTTTTTGTAGTATCTGGAAGTGGACATTTGGAGCGCTTTCAGGCCCATGTTGGAAAGGGAAATATCTTCCCGTAACAACTAGGCAGAAGCATTCTCAGAAACTTATTTGAGATGTGTGTACTCAACTAAGAGAATTGAACCACCGTTTTGAAGGAGCAGTTTTGAAACACTCTTTTTCTGGAATCTGCAAGAGTATATTTGCCTAGCCTTGAGGATTTCGTTGGAAACGGGATTGTCTTCAGAGAAAATCTAGACAGAAGCATTCTCAGAAACTTCTTTGGGATGTTTGCATTCAAGTCACAGAGTAGAACATTCCCTTTGGTAGAGCAGGTTTGAAACACTCTTTTTGTAGTATCTGGAAGTGGACATTTGGAGCGCTTTCAGGCCTACGTTGGAAAAGGAAATATCTTCCCATAACAACTAGACAGAAGCATTCTCAGAAACTAGTTTCTGATGTGTGTCCTCAACTAACACAGTTGAACATTTCTTTAGACAGAACAGTTTTGAAACACTCTTTTTGTGGAATCTGCAAGTGGCTATTTGGCTAGATTTGAGGATTTCGTTGGAAACGGGATTACATATAAAAAGCAGTCAGCAGCATTCTCAGAAAGTTCTTTGTGATGATTGCATTCAAGTCACAGAATTGAACATTCCCTTTCACAGAGCAGGTTTGAAACACTCTTTTTGTAGTGTGTGTAAGTGGACATTTGGAGCACTTACCGGCCTAAGGTGAAAAAGGAAATATCTTCCCATAAAAACTAGACAGAAGCATTCTCAGAAACTTACTCGTGATGTGTGTCCTCAACTAAAGGAGTAGAACCTTTCTTTTCATAGAGAAGTTTTGAAACGCTCTTTTTGTGGAATCTGCAAGTGGATATTTGGCTAGTTTTGAGGATTTCGTTGGAAGCGGGAATTCATACAAATTGCAGACTGCAGCGTTCTGAGAAACATCTTTGTGATGTTTGTATTCAGGACACAGAGTTGAACATTCCCTATCATAGAGCAGGTTTGAATCACTCCTTTTGTAGTATCTGGAAGTGGACATTTGGAGCGCTTTCAGGCCTATGTTGGAAAAGGAAATATCTTCCCATAACAACTAGACAGAAGCATTCTCAGAAACTTATTTGAGATGTGTGTACTCAACTAAGAGAATTGAACCACCGTTTTGAAGGAGCAGTTTTGAAACTCTCTTTTTCTGGAATCTGCAAGTGGATATTTGGCTAGCTTTGGGGATTTCGCTGGAAGCGGGAATACATATAAAAAGCACACAGCAGCGTTCTGAGAAACTGCTTTCTGATGTTTGCATTCAAGTCAAAAGTTGAACACTCCCTTTCATAGAGCAGTCCTGAAACACCCCTTTTGTAGTATCTGGAACTGGACTTTTGGAGCGATTTCAGGGCTAAGGTGAAAAAGGAAATATCTTCCCATAAAAACTGGACAGAAGCATTCTCAGAAACTTGTTTATGCTGTATCTACTCAACTAACAAAGTTGAACCTTTCTTTTGATAGAGCAGTTTTGAAATGGTCTTTTTGTGGAATCTGCAAGTGGATATTTGGCTAGTTTTGAGGATTTCGTTGGAAGCGGGAATTCATACAAATTGCAGACTGCAGCGTTCTGAGAAACATCTTTGTGATGTTTGTATTCAGGACACAGAGTTGAACATTCCCTATCATAGAGCAGGTTGGAATCACTCCTTTTGTAGTATCTGGAAGTGGACATTTGGAGCGCTTTCAGGCCTATTTTGGAAAGGGAAATATCTTCCCGTAACAACTATGCAGAAGCATTCTCAGAAACTTGTTTGTGATGTGTGCCCTCTACTGACAGAGTTGAACCTTTCTTTTCATAGAGCAGTTTTGAAACACTCTTTTTGTAGAATCTGCAAGAGGATATTTGCATAGCTTTGAGGATTTCGTGGGAAACGGGATTGTCTTCAGGTAAAATCTAGACAGAAGCATTCTCAGAAACTTCTTTGGGATGTTTGCATTCAAGTCACAGAGTAGAACATTCCCTTTGGTAGAGCAGGTTTGAAACACTCTTTTTGTAGTATCTGGAAGTGGACATTTGGAGCGCTTTCAGGCCTATGTTGGAAAGGGAAATATCTTCCCGTAACAACTAGGCAGAAGCATTCTCAGAAACTTATTTGAGATGTGTGTACTCAACTAAGAGAATTGAACCACCGTTTTGAAGGAGCAGTTTTGAAACACTCTTTTTCTGGAATCTGCAAGAGGATATTTGCCTAGCCTTGAGGATTTCGTTGGAAACGGGATTGTCTTCAGATCAAATCTAGACAGAAGCATTCTCAGAAACTTCTTTGGGATGTTTGCATTCAAGTCACAGAGTAGAACATTCCCTTTGGTAGAGCAGGTTTGAAACACTCTTTTTGTAGTATCTGGAAGTGGACATTTGGAGCGCTTTCAGGCCTATGTTGGAAAGGGAAATATCTTCCCGTAACAACTAGGCAGAAGCATTCTCAGAAACTTATTTGAGATGTGTGTACTCAACTAAGAGAATTGAACCACCGTTTTGAAGGAGCAGTTTTGAAACACTCTTTTTCTGGAATCTGCAAGAGGATATTTGCCTAGCCTGAGGATTTCGTTGGAAACGGGATTGTCTTCAGATCAAATCTAGACAGAAGCATTCTCAGAAACTTCTTTGGGATGTTTGCATTCAAGTCACAGAGTAGAACATTCCCTTTGGTAGAGCAGGTTTGAAACACTCTTTTTTTACTATATGGAAGTGGACATTTGGACCGCTTTCAGGCCTACGTTGGAAAAGGAAATATCTTCACATAACAACTAGACAGAAGCATTCTCAGAAACTAGTTTCTGATGTGTGTCCTCAACTAACACAGTTGAACATTTCTTTAGACAGAACAGTTTTGAAACTCTCTTTCTGTGGAATCTGCAAGTGGCTATTTGGCTAGATTTGAGGATTTCGTTGGAAACGGGATTACATATAAAAAGCAGACAGCAGCATTCTCAGAACGTTCTTTGTGATGATTGCATTCAAGTCACAGAATTGAACATTCCCTTTCACAGAGCAGGTTTGAAACACTCTTTTTGTAGTGTGTGTAAGTGGACATTTGGAGCACTTTCCGGCCTAAGGTGAAAAAGGAAATATCTTCCCATAAAAACTAGACAGAAGCATTCTCAGAAACTTACTCGTGATGTGTGTCCTCAACTAAAGGAGTAGAACCTTTCTTTTCATAGAGAAGTTTTGAAACGCTCTTTTTGTGGAATCTGCAAGTGGATATTTGGCTAGTTTTGAGGATTTCGTTGGAAGTGGGAATTCATACAAATTGCAGACTGCAGCGTTCTGAGAAACATCTTTGTGATGTTTGTATTCAGGACACAGAGTTGAACATTCCCTATCATAGAGCAGGTTTGAATCATTCCTTTTGTAGTATCTGGAAGTGGACATTTGGAGCGCTTTCAGGCCTATGTTGGAAAAGGAAATATCTTCCCATAACAACTAGACAGAAGCATTCTCAGAAACTTATTTGAGATGTGTGTACTCAACTAAGAGAATTGAACCACCGTTTTGAAGGAGCAGTTTTGAAACACTCTTTTTCTGGAGTCTGCAAGTGGATATTTGGCTAGCTTTGGGGATTTCGCTGGAAGCGGGAATACATATAAAAAGCACACAGCAGCGTTCTGAGAAATTGATTTCTGATGTTTGCATTCAAGTCAAAAATTGAACACTCCCTTTCATAGAGCAGTCTTGAAACACCCCTTGTGTAGTATCTGGAACTGGACATTTGGAGCGCTTTCAGGGCTAAGGTGAAAAAGGAAATATCTTCCCATAAAAACTGGACAGAAGCATTCTCAGAAACTTGTTTATGCTGTATCTACTCAACTAACAAAGTTGAACCTTTCTTTTGATAGAGCAGTTTTGAAATGGTCTTTTTGTGGAATCTGCAAGTGGATATTTGGCTAGTTTTGAGGATTTCGTTGGAAGCGGGAATTCATACAAATTGCAGACTGCAGCGTTCTGAGAAACATCTTTGTGATGTTTGTATTCAGGACACAGAGTTGAACATTCCCTATCATAGAGCAGGTTGGAATCACTCCTTTTGTAGTATCTGGAAGTGGACATTTGGAGCGCTTTCAGGCCTATTTTGGAAAGGGAAATATCTTCCCGTAACAACTATGCAGAAGCATTCTCAGAAACTTGTTTGTGATGTTGTGCCCTCTACTGACAGAGTTGAACCTTTCTTTTCATAGAGCACTTTTGAAACACTCTTTTTGTAGAATCTGCAAGAGGATATTTGCATAGCTTTGAGGATTTCGTGGGAAACGGGATTGTCTTCAGGTAAAATCTAGACAGAAGCATTCTCAGAAACTTCTTTGGGATGTTTGCATTCAAGTCACAGAGTAGAACATTCCCTTTGGTAGAGCAGGTTTGAAACACTCTTTTTGTAGTATCTGGAAGTGGACATTTGGAGCGCTTTCAGGCCCATGTTGGAAAGGGAAATATCTTCCCGTAACAACTAGGCAGAAGCATTCTCAGAAACTTATTTGAGATGTGTGTACTCAACTAAGAGAATTGAACCACCGTTTTGAAGGAGCAGTTTTGAAACACTCTTTTTCTGGAATCTGCAAGAGGATATTTGCCTAGCCTTGAGGATTTCGTTGGAAACGGGATTGTCTTCAGAGAAAATCTAGACAGAAGCATTCTCAGAAACTTCTTTGGGATGCTTGCATTCAAGTCACAGAGTAGAACATTCCCTTTGGTAGAGCAGGTTTGAAACACTCTTTTCGTAGTATCTGGAAGTGGACATTTGGAGCGCTTTCAGGCCTACGTTGGAAAAGGAAATATCTTCCCATAACAACTAGACAGAAGCATTCTCAGAAACTAGTTTCTGATGTGTGTCCTCAACTAACACAGTTGAACATTTCTTTAGACAGAACAGTTTTGAAACACTCTTTTTGTGGAATCTGCAAGTGGCTATTTGGCTAGATTTGAGGATTTCGTTGGAAACGGGATTACATATAAAAAGCAGACAGCAAGCATTCTCAGAAAGTTCTTTGTGATGATTGTATTCAAGTCACAGAATTGAACATTCCCTTTCACAGAGCAGGTTTGAAACACATTTTTTGTAGTATGTGTAAGTGGACATTTGGAGCGCTTTCCGGCCTAAGGTGAAAAAGGAAATATCTTCCCATAAAAACTAGACAGAAGCATTCTCAGAAACTTACTCGTGATGTGTGTCCTCAACTAAAGGAGTAGAACCTTTCTTTTCATAGAGAAGTTTTGAAACGCTCTTTTTGTGGAATCTGCAAGTGGATATTTGGCTAGTTTTGAGGATTTCGTTGGAAGCGGGAATTCATACAAATTGCAGACTGCAGCGTTCTGAGAAACATCTTTGTGATGTTTGTATTCAGGACACAGAGTTGAACATTCCCTATCATAGAGCAGGTTTGAATCACTCCTTTTGTAGTATCTGGAAGTGGACATTTGGAGCGCTTTCAGGCCTATGTTGGAAAAGGAAATATCTTCCCATAACAACTAGACAGAAGCATTCTCAGAAACTTATTTGAGATGTGTGTACTCAACTAAGAGAATTGAACCACCGTTTTGAAGGAGCAGTTTTGAAACTCTCTTTTTCTGGAATCTGCAAGTGGATATTTGGCTAGCTTTGGGGATTTCGCTGGAAGCGGGAATACATATAAAAAGCACACAGCAGCGTTCTGAGAAACTGCTTTCTGATGTTTGCATTCAAGTCAAAAGTTGAACACTCCCTTTCATAGAGCAGTCTTGAAACACCCCTTTTGTAGTATCTGGAACTGGACTTTTGGAGCGATTTCAGGGCTAAGGTGAAAAAGGAAATATCTTCCCATAAAAACTGGACAGAAGCATTCTCAGAAACTTGTTTATGCTGTATCTACTCAACTAACAAAGTTGAACCTTTCTTTTGATAGAGCAGTTTTGAAATGGTCTTTTTGTGGAATCTGCAAGTGGATATTTGGCTAGTTTTGAGGATTTCGTTGGAAGCGGGAATTCATACAAATTGCAGACTGCAGCGTTCTGAGAAACATCTTTGTGATGTTTGTATTCAGGACACAGAGTTGAACATTCCCTATCATAGAGCAGGTTGGAATCACTCCTTTTGTAGTATCTGGAAGTGGACATTTGGAGCGCTTTCAGGCCTATTTTGGAAAGGGAAATATCTTCCCGTAACAACTATGCAGAAGCATTCTCAGAAACTTGTTTGTGATGTGTGCCCTCTACTGACAGAGTTGAACCTTTCTTTTCATAGAGCAGTTTTGAAACACTCTTTTTGTAGAATCTGCAAGAGGATATTTGCATAGCTTTGAGGATTTCGTGGGAAACGGGATTGTCTTCAGGTAAAATCTAGACAGAAGCATTCTCAGAAACTTCTTTGGGATGTTTGCATTCAAGTCACAGAGTAGAACATTCCCTTTGGTAGAGCAGGTTTGAAACACTCTTTTTGTAGTATCTGGAAGTGGACATTTGGAGCGCTTTCAGGCCCATGTTGGAAAGGGAAATATCTTCCCGTAACAACTAGGCAGAAGCATTCTCAGAAACTTATTTGAGATGTGTGTACTCAACTAAGAGAATTGAACCACCGTTTTGAAGGAGCAGTTTTGAAACACTCTTTTTCTGGAATCTGCAAGAGTATATTTGCCTAGCCTTGAGGATTTCGTTGGAAACGGGATTGTCTTCAGAGAAAATCTAGACAGAAGCATTCTCAGAAACTTCTTTGGGATGTTTGCATTCAAGTCACAGAGTAGAACATTCCCTTTGGTAGAGCAGGTTTGAAACACTCTTTTTTTAGTATATGGAAGTGGACATTTGGAGCGCTTTCAGGCCTACGTTGGAAAAGGAAATATCTTCCCATAACAACTAGACAGAAGCATTCTCAGAAACTAGTTTCTGATGTGTGTCCTCAACTAACACAGTTGAACATTTCTTTAGACAGAACAGTTTTGAAACACTCTTTTTGTGGAATCTGCAAGTGGCTATTTGGCTAGATTTGAGGATTTCGTTGGAAACGGGATTACATATAAAAAGCAGTCAGCAGCATTCTCAGAAAGTTCTTTGTGATGATTGCATTCAAGTCACAGAAATTGAACATTCCCTTTCACAGAGCAGGTTTGAAACACTCTTTTTGTAGTGTGTGTAAGTGGACATTTGGAGCGCTTTCCGGCCTAAGGTGAAAAAGGAAATATCTTCCCATAAAAACTAGACAGAAGCATTCTCAGCAAACTTACTCGTGATGTGTGTCCTCAACTAAAGGAGTAGAACCTTTCTTTTCATAGAGAAGTTTTGAAACGCTCTTTTTGTGGAATCTGCAAGTGGATATTTGGCTAGTTTTGAGGATTTTGTTGGAAGCGGGAATTCATACAAATTGCAGACTGCAGCGTTCTGAGAAACATCTTTGTGATGTTTGTATTCAGGACACAGAGTTGAACATTCCCTATCATAGAGCAGGTTTGAATCACTCCTTTTGTAGTATCTGGAAGTGGACATTTGGAGCGCTTTCAGGCCTATGTTGGAAAAGGAAATATCTTCCCATAACAACTAGACAGAAGCATTCTCAGAAACTTATTTGAGATGTGTGTACTCAACTAAGAGAATTGAACCACCGTTTTGAAGGAGCAGTTTTGAAACTCTCTTTTTCTGGAATCTGCAAGTGGATATTTGGCTAGCTTTGGGGATTTCGCTGGAAGTGGGAATACATATAAAAAGCACACAGCCAGCGTTCTGAGAAACTGCTTTCTGATGTTTGCATTCAAGTCAAAAGTTGAACACTCCCTTTCATAGAGCAGTCTTGAAACACCCCTTTTGTAGTATCTGGAACTGGACTTTTGGAGCGATTTCAGGGCTAAGGTGAAAAAGGAAATATCTTCCCATAAAAACTGGACAGAGCATTCTCAGAAACTTGTTTATGCTGTATCTACTCAACTAACAAAGTTGAACCTTTCTTTTGATAGAGCAGTTTTGAAATGGTCTTTTTGTGGAATCTGCAAGTGGATATTTGGCTAGTTTTGAGGATTTCGTTGGAAGCGGGAATTCATACAAATTGCAGACTGCAGCGTTCTGAGAAACATCTTTGTGATGTTTGTATTCAGGACACAGAGTTGAACATTCCCTATCATAGAGCAGGTTGGAATCACTCCTTTTGTAGTATCTGGAAGTGGACATTTGGAGCGCTTTCAGGCCTATTTTGGAAAGGGAAATATCTTCCCGTAACAACTATGCAGAAGCATTCTCAGAAACTTGTTTGTGATGTGTGCCCTCTACTGACAGAGTTGAACCTTTCTTTTCATAGAGCAGTTTTGAAACACTCTTTTTGTAGAATCTGCAAGAGGATATTTGCATAGCTTTGAGGATTTCGTGGGAAACGGGATTGTCTTCAGGTAAAATCTAGACAGAAGCATTCTCAGAAACTTCTTTGGGATGTTTGCATTCAAGTCACAGAGTAGAACATTCCCTTTGGTAGAGCAGGTTTGAAACACTCTTTTTGTAGTATCTGGAAGTGGACATTTGGAGCGCTTTCAGGCCCATGTTGGAAAGGGAAATATCTTCCCGTAACAACTAGGCAGAAGCATTCTCAGAAACTTATTTGAGATGTGTGTACTCAACTAAGAGAATTGAACCACCGTTTTGAAGGAGCAGTTTTGAAACACTCTTTTTCTGGAATCTGCAAGAGTATATTTGCCTAGCCTTGAGGATTTCGTTGGAAACGGGATTGTCTTCAGAGAAAATCTAGACAGAAGCATTCTCAGAAACTTCTTTGGGATGTTTGCATTCAAGTCACAGAGTAGAACATTCCCTTTGGTAGAGCAGGTTTGAAACACTCTTTTTTTAGTATATGGAAGTGGACATTTGGAGCGCTTTCAGGCCTACGTTGGAAAAGGAAATATCTTCCCATAACAACTAGACAGAAGCATTCTCAGAAACTAGTTTCTGATGTGTGTCCTCAACTAACACAGTTGAACATTTCTTTAGACAGAACAGTTTTGAAACTCTCTTTTTGTGGAATCTGCAAGTGGCTATTTGGCTAGATTTGAGGATTTCGTTGGAAACGGGATTACATATAAAAAGCAGACAGCAGCATTCTCAGAAAGTTCTTTGTGATGATTGCATTCAAGTCACAGAATTGAACATTCCCTTTCACAGAGCAGGTTTGAAACACTCTTTTTATAGTGTGTGTAAGTGGACATTTGGAGCACTTTCCGGCCTAAGGTGAAAAAGGAAATATCTTCCCATAAAAACTAGACAGAAGCATTCTCAGAAACTTACTCGTGATGTGTGTCCTCAACTAAAGGAGTAGAACCTTTGTTTTCATAGAGAAGTTTTGAAACAGCTCTTTTTGTGGAATCTGCAAGTGGATATTTGGCTAGTTTGGAGGATTTCGTTGGAAGCGGGAATTCATACAAATTGCAGACTGCAGCATTCTCAGAAACTTATTTGAGATGTGTGTACTCAACTAAGAGAATTGAACCACCGTTTTAAAGGAGCAGTTTTGAAACACTCTTTTTCTGGAATCTGCAAGTGGATATTTGGCTAGCTTTGGGGATTTCGCTGGAAGCGGGAATACATATAAAAAGCACACAGCAGCGTTCTGAGAAACTGCTTTCTGATGTTTGCATTCAAGTCAAAAGTTGAACACTCCCTTTCATAGAGCAGTCCTGAAACACTCCTTTTGTAGTATCTGGAACTGGACTTTTGGAGCGCTTTCAGGGCTAAGGTGAAAAAGGAAATATCTTCCCATAAAAACTGGACAGAAGCATTCTCAGAAACTTGTTTATGCTGTATCTACTCAACTAACAAAGTTGAACCTTTCTTTTGATAGAGCAGTTTTGAAATGCTCTTTTTGTGGAATCTGCAAGTGGATATTTGGCTAGTTTGGAGGATTTCGTTGGAAGCGGGAATTCATACAAATTGCAGACTGCAGCGTTCTGAGAAACATCTTTGTGATGTTTGTATTCAGGACAGAGAGTTGAACATTCCCTATCATAGAGCAGGTTGGAATCACTCCTTTTGTAGTATCTGGAAGTGGACATTTGGAGCGCTTTCAGGCCTATGTTGAAAAAGGAAATATCTTCCCATAACAACTAGACACAAGCATTCTCAGAAACTTGTTTGTGATGTGTGCCCTCTACTGACAGAGTTGAACCTTTCTTTTCATAGAGCAGTTTTGAAACACTCTTTTTGTAGAATCTGCAAGAGGATATTTGCATAGCTTTGAGGATTTCGTGGGAAACGGGATTGTCTTCAGGTAAAATCTAGACAGAAGCATTCTCAGAAACTTCCTTGGGATGTTTGCATTCAAGTCACAGAGTAGAACATTCCCCTTTGGTAGAGCAGGTTTGAAACACTCTTTTTGTAGTATCTGGAAGTGGACATTTGGAGCGCTTTCAGGCCTATGTTGGAAAGGGAAATATCTTCCCGTAACAACTAGGCAGAAGCATTCTCAGAAACTTATTTGAGATGTGTGTACTCAACTAAGAGAATTGAACCACCGTTTTGAAGGAGCAGTTTTGAAACACTCTTTTTCTGGAATCTGCAAGAGGATATTTGCCTAGCTTTGAGGATTTCGTTGGAAACGGGATTGTGTTCAGATCAAATCTAGACAGAAGCATTCTCAGAAACTTCTTTGGGATGTTTGCATTCAAGTCACAGAGTAGAACATTCCCTTTGGTAGAGCAGGTGTGAAACACTCTTTTTTTAGTATATGGAAGTGGACATTTGGAGCGCTTTCAGGCCTACGTTGGAAAAGGAAATATCTTCCCATAACAACTAGACAGAAGCATTCTCAGAAACTAGTTTCTGAAGTGTGTCCTCAACTAACACAGTTGAACATTTCTTTAGACAGAACAGTTTTGAAACTCTCTTTTTGTGGAATCTGCAAGTGGCTATTTGGCTAGATTTGAGGATTTCGTTGGAAACGGGATTACATATAAAAAGCAGACAGCAGCATTCTCAGAAAGTTCTTTGTGATGATTGCATTCAAGTCACAGAATTGAACATTCCCTTTCACAGAGCAGGTTTGAAACACTCTTTTTGTAGTGTGTGTAAGTGGACATTTGGAGCACTTTCCGGCCTAAGGTGAGAAAGGAAATATCTTCCCATAAAAACTAGACAGAAGTATTCTCAGAAACTTACTCTTGATGTGTGTCCTCAACTAAAGGAGTAGAACCTTTCTTTCATAGAGAAGTTTTGAAACGCTCTTTTTGTGGAATCTGCAAGTGGATATTTGGCTAGTTTGGAGGATTTCGTTGGAAGCGGGAATTCATACAAATTGCAGACTGCAGCGTTCTGAGAAACATCTTTGTGATGTTTGTATTCAGGACACAGAGTTGAACATTCCCTATCATAGAGCAGGTTGGAATCACTCCTTTTGTAGTATCTGGAAGTGGACATTTGGAGCGCTTTCAGGCCTATGTTGGAAAAGGAAATATCTTCCCATAACAACTAGACAGAAGCATTCTCAGAAACTTATTTCAGATGTGTGTACTCAACTAAGAGAATTGAACCACCGCTTTGAAGGAGCAGTTTTGAAACACTCTTTTTCTGGAATCTGCAAGTGGATATTTGGCTAGATTTGAGGATTTCGTTGGAAACGGGATTACATATAAAAAGCAGACAGCAGCATTCTCAGAAAGTTCTTTGTGATGATTGCATTCAAGTCACAGAATTGAACATTCCCTTTCACAGAGCAGGTTTGAAACACTCTTTATGTAGTGTGTGTAAGTGGACATTTGGAGCACTTACCGGCCTAAGGTGAACAAGGAAATATCTTCCCATAAAAACTAGACAGAAGCATTCTCAGAAACTTACTCGTGATGTGTGTCCTCAACTAAAGGTGTAGAACCTTTCTTTTCATAGAGAAGTTTTGAAACGCTCTTTTTGTGGAATCTGCAAGTGGATATTTGGCTAGTTTTGAGGATTTCGTTGGAAGCGGGAATTCATACAAATTGCAGACTGCAGCGTTCTGAGAAACATCTTTGTGATGTTTGTATTCAGGACACAGAGTTGAACATTCCCTATCATAGAGCAGGTTTGAATCACTCCTTTTGTAGTATCTGGAAGTGGACATTTGGAGCGCTTTCAGGCCTATGTTGGAAAAGGAAATATCTTCCCATAACAACTAGACAGAAGCATTCTCAGAAACTTATTTGAGATGTGTGTACTCAACTAAGAGAATTGAACCACCGTTTTGAAGGAGCAGTTTTGAAACACTCTTTTTCTGGAATCTGCAAGTGGATATTTGGCTAGCTTTGGGGATTTCGCTGGAAGCGGGAATACATATAAAAAGCACACAGCAGCGTTCTGAGAAACTGCTTTCTGATGTTTGCATTCAAGTCAAAAGTTGAACACTCCCTTTCATAGAGCAGTCTTGAAACACCCCTTTTGTAGTATCTGGAACTGGACTTTTGGAGCGATTTCAGGGCTAAGGTGAAAAAGGAAATATCTTCCCATAAAAACTGGACAGAAGCATTCTCAGAAACTTGTTTATGCTGTATCTACTCAACTAACAAAGTTGAACCTTTCTTTTGATAGAGCAGTTTTGAAATGGTCTTTTTGTGGAATCTGCAAGTGGATATTTGGCTAGTTTTGAGGATTTCGTTGGAAGCGGGAATTCATACAAATTGCAGACTGCAGCGTTCTGAGAAACATCTTTGTGATGTTTGTATTCAGGACACAGAGTTGAACATTCCCTATCATAGAGCAGGTTGGAATCACTCCTTTTGTAGTATCTGGAAGTGGACATTTGGAGCGCTTTCAGGCCTATTTTGGAAAGGGAAATATCTTCCCGTAACAACTATGCAGAAGCATTCTCAGAAACTTGTTTGTGATGTGTGCCCTCTACTGACAGAGTTGAACCTTTCTTTTCATAGAGCACTTTTGAAACACTCTTTTTGTAGAATCTGCAAGAGGATATTTGCATAGCTTTGAGGATTTCGTGGGAAACGGGATTGTCTTCAG
Organism: Homo sapiens; assembly: GCF_000001405.40. Lineage (NCBI taxonomy): Eukaryota > Metazoa > Chordata > Mammalia > Primates > Hominidae > Homo > Homo sapiens. The sequence goes on from NC_000018.10 coordinate 16,729,034, forward strand.
GTAAAATCTAGACAGAAGCATTCTCAGAAACTTCTTTGGGATGTTTGCATTCAAGTCACAGAGTAGAACATTCCCTTTGGTAGAGCAGGTTTGAAACACTCTTTTTGTAGTATCTGGAAGTGGACATTTGGAGCGCTTTCAGGCCCATGTTGGAAAGGGAAATATCTTCCCGTAACAACTAGGCAGAAGCATTCTCAGAAACTTATTTGAGATGTGTGTACTCAACTAAGAGAATTGAACCACCGTTTTGAAGGAGCAGTTTTGAAACACTCTTTTTCTGGAATCTGCAAGAGTATATTTGCCTAGCCTTGAGGATTTCGTTGGAAACGGGATTGTCTTCAGAGAAAATCTAGACAGAAGCATTCTCAGAAACTTCTTTGGGATGCTTGCATTCAAGTCACAGAGTAGAACATTCCCTTTGGTAGAGCAGGTTTGAAACACTCTTTTTGTAGTATCTGGAAGTGGACATTTGGAGCGCTTTCAGGCCTACGTTGGAAAAGGAAATATCTTCCCATAACAACTAGACAGAAGCATTCTCAGAAACTAGTTTCTGATGTGTGTCCTCAACTAACACAGTTGAACATTTCTTTAGACAGAACAGTTTTGAAACACTCTTTTTGTGGAATCTGCAAGTGGCTATTTGGCTAGATTTGAGGATTTCGTTGGAAACGGGATTACATATAAAAAGCAGTCAGCGGCATTCTCAGAAAGTTCTTTGTGATGATTGCATTCAAGTCACAGAATTGAACATTCCCTTTCACAGAGCAGGTTTGAAACACTCTTTTTGTAGTGTGTGTAAGTGGACATTTGGAGCACTTACCGGCCTAAGGTGAAAAAGGAAATATCTTCCCATAAAAACTAGACAGAAGCATTCTCAGAAACTTACTCGTGATGTGTGTCCTCAACTAAAGGAGTAGAACCTTTCTTTTCATAGAGAAGTTTTGAAACGCTCTTTTTGTGGAATCTGCAAGTGGATATTTGGCTAGTTTTGAGGATTTCGTTGGAAGCGGGAATTCATACAAATTGCAGACTGCAGCGTTCTGAGAAACATCTTTGTGATGTTTGTATTCAGGACACAGAGTTGAACATTCCCTATCATAGAGCAGGTTTGAATCACTCCTTTTGTAGTATCTGGAAGTGGACATTTGGAGCGCTTTCAGGCCTATGTTGGAAAAGGAAATATCTTCCCATAACAACTAGACAGAAGCATTCTCAGAAACTTATTTCAGATGTGTGTACTCAATTAAGAGAATTGAACCACCGTTTTGAAGGAGCAGTTTTGAAACACTCTTTTTGTAGAATCTGCACGTGGATATTTGGCTAGCTTTGGGGATTTCGCTGGAAGCGGGAATACATATAAAAAGCACACAGCAGCGTTCTGAGAAACTGCTTTCTGATGTTTGCATTCAAGTCAAAAGTTGAACACTCCCTTTCATAGAGCAGTCCTGAAACACTCCTTTTGTAGTATCTGGAACTGGACTTTTGGAGCGCTTTCAGGGCTAAGGTGAAAAAGGAAATATCTTCCCATAAAAACTGGACAGAATCATTCTCAGAAACTTGTTTATGCTGTATCTACTCAACTAACATAGTTGAACCTTTCTTTTGATAGAGCAGTTTTGAAATGCTCTTTTTGTGGAATCTGCAAGTGGATATTTGGCTAGTTTTGAGGATTTCGTTGGAAGCGGGAATTCATACAAATTGCAGACTGCAGCGTTCTGAGAAACATCTTTGTGATGTTTGTATTCAGGACAGAGAGTTGAACATTCCCTATCATAGAGCAGGTTGGAATCACTCCTTTTGTAGTATCTGGAAGTGGACATTTGGAGCGCTTTCAGGCCTATGTTGAAAAAGGAAATATCTTCCCATAACAACTAGACACAAGCATTCTCAGAAACTTGTTTGTGATGTGTGCCCTCTACTGACAGAGTTGAACCTTTCTTTTCATAGAGCAGTTTTGAAACACTCTTTTTGTAGAATCTGCAAGAGGATATTTGCATAGCTTTGAGGATTTCGTGGGAAACGGGATTGTCTTCAGGTAAAATCTAGACAGAAGCATTCTCAGAAACTTCTTTGGGATGTTTGCATTCAAGTCACAGAGTAGAACATTCCCTTTGGTAGAGCAGGTTTGAAACACTCTTTTTGTAGTATCTGGAAGTGGACATTTGGAGCGCTTTCAGGCCTATGTTGGAAAGGGAAATATCTTCCCGTAACAACTAGGCAGAAGCATTCTCAGAAACTTATTTGAGATGTGTGTACTCAACTAAGAGAATTGAACCACCGTTTTGAAGGAGCAGTTTTGAAACACTCTTTTTCTGGAATCTGCAAGAGGATATTTGCCTAGCCTTGACGATTTCGTTGGAAACGGGATTGTCTTCAGATCAAATCTAGACAGAAGCATTCTCAGAAACTTCTTTGGGATGTTTGCATTTAAGTCACAGAGTAGAACATTCCGTTTGGTAGAGCAGGTTTGAAACACTCTTTTTTTAGTATATGGAAGTGGACATTTGGAGCGCATTCAGGCCTACGTTGGAAAAGGAAATATCTTCCCATAACAACTAGACAGAAGCATTCTCAGAAACTAGTTTCTGATGTGTGTCCTCAACTAACACAGTTGCACATTTCTTTAGACAGAACAGTTTTGAAACACTCTTTTTGTGGAATCTGCAAGTGGCTATTTGGCTAGATTTGAGGATTTCGTTGGAAACGGGATTACATATAAAAAGCAGTCAGCAGCATTCTCAGAAAGTTCTTTGTGATGATTGCATTCAAGTCACAGAATTGAACATTCCCTTTCACAGAGCAGGTTTGAAATACTCTTTTTTAGTGTGTGTAATTGGACATTTGGAGCACTTTCCGGCCTAAGGTGAAAAAGGAAATATCTTCCCATAAAAACTAGACAGAAGCATTCTCAGAAACTTACTCGTGATGTGTGTCCTCCACTAAATGAGTAGAACCTTTCTTTTCATAGAGAAGTTTTGAAACGCTCTTTTTGTAGAATCTGCAAGAGGATATTTGCATAGCTTTGAGGATTTCGTGGGAAACGGGATTGTCTTCTGGTAAAATCTAGACAGAAGCATTCTGAGAAACTTCTTTGGGATGTTTGCATTCAAGTCACAGAGTAGAACATTCCCTTTGGTAGAGCAGGTTTGAAACACTCTTTTTGTATTATCTGGAAGTGGACATTTGGAGCGCTTTCAGGCCTATGTTGGAAAGGGAAATATCTTCCCGTAACAACTAGGCAGAAGCATTCTCAGAAACTTATTTGAGATGTGTGTACTCAACTAAGAGAATTGAACCACCGTTTTGAAGGAGCAGTTTTGAAACACTCTTTTTCTGGAATCTGCAAGAGGATATTTGCCTAGCCTTGAGGATTTCGTTGGAAACGGGATTGTCTTCAGATCAAATCTAGACAGAAGCATTCTCAGAAACTTCTTTGGGATGTTTGCATTCAAGTCACAGAGTAGAACATTCCCTTTGGTAGAGCAGGTTTGAAACACTCTTTTTTTAGTATATGGAAGTGGACATTTGGAGCGCTTTCAGGCCTACGTTGGAAAAGGAAATATCTTCCCATAACAACTAGACAGAAGCATTCTCAGAAACTAGTTTCTGATGTGTGTCCTCAACTAACACAGTTGAACATTTCTTTAGACAGAACAGTTTTGAAACACTCTTTTTGTGGAATCTGCAAGTGGCTATTTGGCTAGATTTGAGGATTTCGTTGGAAACGGGATTACATATAAAAAGCAGACAGCAGCATTCTCAGAAAGTTCTTTGTGATGATTGCATTCAAGTCACAGAATTGAACATTCCCTTTCACAGAGCAGGTTTGAAACACTCTTTTTGTAGTGTGTGTAAGTGGACATTTGGAGCACTTTCCGGCCTAAGGTGAAAAAGGGAATATCTTCCCATAAAAACTAGACAGAAGCATTCTCAGAAACTTACTCGTGATGTGTGTCCTCAACTAAAGGAGTAGAACCTTTGTTTTCATAGAGAAGTTTTGAAACGCTCTTTTTGTGGAATCTGCAAGTGGATATTTGGCTAGTTTGGAGGATTTCGTTGGAAGCGGGAATTCATACAAATTGCAGACTGCAGCGTTCTGAGAAACATCTTTGTGATGTTTGTATTCAGGACACAGAGTTGAACATTCCCTATCATAGAGCAGGTTGGAATCACTCCTTTTGTGGTATCTGGAAGTGGACATTTGGAGCGCTTTCAGGCCTATGTTGGAAAAGGAAATATCTTCCCATAACAACTAGACAGAAGCATTCTCAGAAACTTATTTGAGATGTGTGTACTCAACTAAGAGAATTGAACCACCGTTTTGAAGGAGCAGTTTTGAAACACCCTTTTTCTGGAATCTGCAAGTGGATATTTGGCTAGCTTTGGGGATTTCGCTGGAAGCGGGAATACATATAAAAAGCACACAGCAGCGTTCTGAGAAACTGCTTTCTGATGTTTGCATTCAAGTCAAAAGTTGAACACTCCCTTTCATAGAGCAGTCCTGAAACACTCCTTTTGTAGTATCTGGAACTGGACTTTTGGAGCGCTTTCAGGGCTAAGGTGAAAAAGGAAATATCTTCCCATAAAAACTGGACAGAAGCATTCTCAGAAACATGTTTATGCTGTATCTACTCTACTAAAAAAGTTGAACCTTTCTTTTGATAGAGCAGTTTTGAAATGCTCTTTTTGTGGAATCTGCAATTGGATATTTGGCTAGATTTGAGGATTTCGTTGGAAGCTGGAATACATACAAATTGCAGACTGCAGCGTTCTGAGAAACATCTTTGTGATGTTTGTATTCAGGACACAGAGTTGAACATTCCCTATCATAGAGCAGGTTGGAATCACTCCTTTTGTAGTATCTGGAAGTGGACATTTGGAGCGCTTTCAGGCCTATTTTGGAAAGGGAAATATCTTCCCGTAACAACTATGCAGAAGCATTCTCAGAAACTTGTTTGTGATGTGTGCCCTCTACTGACAGAGTTGAACCTTTCTTTTCATAGAGCAGTTTTGAAACACTCTTTTTGTAGAATCTGCAAGAGGATATTTGCATAGCTTTGAGGATTTCGTGGGAAACGGGATTGTCTTCAGGTAAAATCTAGACAGAAGCATTCTCAGAAACTTCTTTGGGATGTTTGCATTCAAGTCAAAGGGTAGAACATTCCCTTTGGTAGAGCAGGTTTCAAACACTCTTTTTGTAGTATCTGGAAGTGGACATTTGAAGCGCTTTCAGGCCTATCTTGGAAAGGGAAATATCTTCCCGTAACAACTAGGCAGAAGCATTCTCAGAAACTTATTTGAGATGTGTGTACTCAACTAAGAGAATTGAACCACCGTTTTGAAGGAGCAGTTTTGAAACACTCTTTTTCTGGAATCTGCAAGAGTATATTTGCCTAGCCTTGAGGATTTCGTTGGAAACGGGATTGTCTTCAGAGAAAATCTAGACAGAAGCATTCTCAGAAACTTCTTTGGGATGTTTGCATTCAAGTCACAGAGTAGAACATTCCCTTTGGTAGAGCAGGTTTGAAACACTCTTTTTTTAGTATATGGAAGTGGACATTTGGAGCGCTTTCAGGCCTACGTTGGAAAAGGAAATATCTTCCCATAACAACTAGACAGAAGCATTCTCAGAAACTAGTTTCTGATGTGTGTCCTCAACTAACACAGTTGAACTTTTCTTTAGACAGAACAGTTTTGGAACACTCTTTTTGTGGAATCTGCAAGTGGATAGTTGGCTAGATTTGAGGATTTCGTTGGAAACGGGATTACATATAAAAAGCAGTCAGCAGCATTCTCAGAAAGTTCTTTGTGATGATTGCATTCAAGTCACAGAATTGAACATTCCCTTTCACAGAGCAGGTTTGAAACACTCTTTTTGTAGTGTGTGTAAGTGGACATTTGGAGCACTTACCGGCCTAAGGTGAAAAAGGAAATATCTTCCCATAAAAACTAGACAGAAGCATTCTCAGAAACTTACTCGTGATGTGTGTCCTCAACTAAAGGAGTAGAACCTTTCTTTTCATAGAGAAGTTTTGAAACGCTCTTTTTGTGGAATCTGCAAGTGGATATTTGGCTAGTTTGGAGGATTTCGTTGGAAGCGGGAATTCATACAAATTGCAGACTGCAGCGTTCTGAGAAAACATCTTTGTGATGTTTGTATTCAGGACACAGAGTTGAACATTCCCTATCATAGAGCAGGTTTGAATCACTCCTTTTGTAGTATCTGGAAGTGGACATTTGGAGCGCTTTCAGGCCTATGTTGGAAAAGGAAATATCTTCCCATAACAACTAGACAGAAGCATTCTCAGAAACTTATTTGAGATGTGTGTACTCAACTAAGAGAATTGAACCACCGTTTTGAAGGAGCAGTTTTGAAACACTCTTTTTCTGGAATCTGCAAGTGGATATTTGGCTAGCTTTGGGGATTTCGCTGGAAGCGGGAATACATATAAAAAGCACACAGCAGCGTTCTGAGAAACTGCTTTCTGATGTTTGCATTCAAGTCAAAAGTTGAACCCTCCCTTTCATAGTGCAGTCCTGAAACACTCCTTTTGTAGTATCTGGAACTGGACTTTTGGAGCGCTTTCAGGGCTAAGGTGAAAAAGGAAATATCTTCCCATAAAAACTGGACAGAAGCATTCTCAGAAACTTGTTTATGCTGTATCTACTCAACTAACAAAGTTGAACCTTTCTTTTGATAGAGCAGTTTTGAAATGGTCTTTTTGTGGAATCTGCAAGTGGATATTTGGCTAGTTTTGAGGATTTCGTTGGAAGCGGGAATTCATACAAATTGCAGACTGCAGCGTTCTGAGAAACATCTTTGTGATGTTTGTATTCAGGACACAGAGTTGAACATTCCCTATCATAGAGCAGGTTGGAATCACTCCTTTTGTAGTATCTGGAAGTGGACATTTGGAGCGCTTTCAGGCCTATTTTGGAAAGGGAAATATCTTCCCGTAACAACTATGCAGAAGCATTCTCAGAAACTTGTTTGTGATGTGTGCCCTCTACTGACAGAGTTGAACCTTTCTTTTCATAGAGCAGTTTTGAAACACTCTTTTTGTAGAATCTGCAAGAGGATATTTGCATAGCTTTGAGGATTTCGTGGGAAACGGGATTGTCTTCAGGTAAAATCTAGACAGAAGCATTCTCAGAAACTTCTTTGGGATGTTTGCATTCAAGTCACAGAGTAGAACATTCCCTTTGGTAGAGCAGGTTTGAAACACTCTTTTTGTAGTATCTGGAAGTGGACATTTGGAGCGCTTTCAGGCCCATGTTGGAAAGGGAAATATCTTCCCGTAACAACTAGGCAGAAGCATTCTCTGAAACTTTTTTGAGATGTGTGTACTCAACTAAGAGAATTGAACCACCGTTTTGAAGGAGCAGTTTTGAAACACTCTTTTTCTGGAATCTGCTAGAGGATATTTGCCTAGCTTTGAGGATTTCGTTGGAAACCGGATTGTCTTCAGATAAAATCTAGACAGAAGCATTCTCAGAAACTTCTTTGGGATGTTTGTATTCAAGTCACAGAGTAGAACATTCCCTTTTGTAGAGCAGGTTTGAAACACTCTTTTTTTAGTATATGGAAATGGACATTTGGAGCGCTTTCAGGCCTACGTTGGAAAAGGAAATATCTTCCCATAACAACTAGACAGAAGCATTCTCAGAAACTAGTTTCTGATGTGTGTCCTCAACTAACACAGTTGAACTTTTCTTTAGACAGAACAGTTTTGAAACACTCTTTTTGTGGAATCTGCAAGTGGATATTTGGCTAGATTTGAGGATTTCGTTGGAAACGGGATTACATATAAAAAGCAGACAGCAGCATTCTCAGAAAGTTCTTTGTGATGATTGCATTCAAGTCACAGAATTGAACATTCCCTTTCACAGAGCAGGTTTGAAACACTCTTTTTGTAGTGTGTGTAAGTGGACATTTGGAGCGCTTTCCGGCCTAAGGTGAAAAAGGAAATATCTTCCCATAAAAACTAGACAGAAGCATTCTCAGAAACTTACTCGTGATGTGTGTCCTCAACTAAAGGAGTAGAACCTTTCTATTCATAGAGAAGTTTTCAAACGCTCTTTTTGTGGAATCTCCAAGTGGATATTTGGCTAGTTTTGAGGATTTCGTTGGAAGCGGGAATTCATACAAATTGCAGACTGCAGCGTTCTGAGAAACATCTTTGTGATGTTTGTATTCAGGACACAGAGATGAACATTCCCTATCATAGAGCAGGTTGGAATCACTCCTTTTGTAGTATCTGGAAGTGGACATTTGGAGCGCTTTCAGGCCTATGTTGAAAAAGGAAATATCTTCCCATAACAACTAGACACAAGCATTCTCAGAAACTTGTTTGTGATGTGTGACCTCTACTGACAGAGTTGAACCTTTCTTTTCATAGAGCAGTTTTGAAACACTCTTTTTGTAGAATCTGCAAGAGGATATTTGCATAGCTTTGAGGATTTCGTGGGAAACGGGATTGTCTTCAGGTAAAATCTAGACAGAAGCATTCTCAGAAACTTCTTTGGGATGTTTGCATTCAAGTCACAGAGTAGAACATTCCCTTTGGTAGAGCAGGTTTGAAACCCTCTTTTTGTAGTATCTGGAAGTGGACATTTGGAGCGCTTTCAGGCCCATGTTGGAAAGGGAAATATCTTCCCGTAACAACTAGGCAGAAGCATTCTCAGAAACTTATTTGAGATGTGTGTACTCAACTAAGAGAATTGAACCACCGTTTTGAAGGAGCAGTTTTGAAACACTCTTTTTCTGGAATCTGCAAGAGTATATTTGCCTAGCCTTGAGGATTTCGTTGGAAACGGGATTGTCTTCAGAGAAAATCTAGACAGAAGCATTCTCAGAAACTTCTTTGGGATGTTTGCATTCAAGTCACAGAGTAGAACATTCTCTTTGGTAGAGCAGGTTTGAAACACTCTTTTTTTAGTATCTGGAAGTGGACATTTGGAGCGCTTTCAGGCCTACGTTGGAAAAGGAAATATCTTCCCATAACAACTAGACAGAAGCATTCTCAGAAACTAGTTTCTGATGTGTGTCCTCAACTAACACAGTTGTACATTTCTTTAGGCAGAACAGTTTTGAAACACTCTTTTTGTGGAATCTGCAAGTGGATATTGGGCTAGATTTGAGGATTTCGTTGGAAACGGGATTACATATAAAAAGCAGTCAGCAGCATTCTCAGAAAGTTCTTTGTGATGATTGCATTCAAGTCACAGAATTGAACATTCCCTTTCACAGAGCAGGTTTGAAACACTCTTTTTGTAGTGTGTGTAAGTGGACATTTGGAGCGCTTTCCGGCCTAAGGTGAAAAAGGACATATCTTACCATAAAAACCAGACAGAAGCATTCTCAGAAACTTACTCGTGATGTGTGTCCTCAACTAAAGGAGTAGAAACTTTCTATTCATAGAGAAGTTTTGAAACGCTCTTTTTGTGGAATCTCCAAGTGGATATGTGGCTAGTTTTGAGGATTTCGTTGGAAGCGGGAATTCATACAAATTGCAGACTGCAGCATTCTCAGAAACTTATTTGAGATGTGTGTACTCAACTAAGAGAATTGAACCACCGTTTTGAAGGAGCAGTTTTGAAACTCTCTTTTTCTGGAATCTGCAAGTGGATATTTGGCTAGCTTTGGGGATTTCGCTGGAAGCGGGAATACATATAAAAAGCACACAGCAGCGTTCTGAGAAACTGCTTTCTGATGTTTGCATTCAAGTCAAAAGTTGAACACTCCCTTTCATAGAGCAGTCTTGAAACACCCCTTTTGTAGTATCTGGAACTGGACTTTTGGAGCGATTTCAGGGCTAAGGTGAAAAAGGAAATATCTTCCCATAAAAACTGGACAGAAGCATTCTCAGAAACTTGTTTATGCTGTATCTACTCAACTAACAAAGTTGAACCTTTCTTTTGATAGAGCAGTTTTGAAATGCTCTTTTTGTGGAATCTGCAAGTGGATATTTGGCTAGTTTTGAGGATTTCGTTGGAAGCGGGAATTCATACAAATTGCAGACTGCAGCGTTCTGAGAAACATCTTTGTGATGTTTGTATTCAGGACACAGAGTTGAACATTCCCTATCATAGAGCAGGTTGGAATCACTCCTTTTGTAGTATCTGGAAGTGGACATTTGGAGCGCTTTCAGGCCTATGTTGAAAAAGGAAATATCTTCCCATAACAAGTAGACACAAGCATTCTCAGCAAACTTGTTTGTGATGTGTGCCCTCTACTGACAGAGTTGAACCTTTCTTTTCATAGAGCAGTTTTGAAACACTCTTTTTGTAGAATCTGCAAGAGGATATTTGCATAGCTTTGAGGATTACGTGGGAAACGGGATTGTCTTCAGGTAAAATCTAGACAGAAGCATTCTCAGAAACTTCATTGTGATGTTTGCACTCAAGTCACAGAGTAGAACATTCCCTTTGGTAGAGCAGGTTTGAAACACTCTTTTTGTAGTATCTGGAAGTGGACATTTGGAGCGCTTTCAGGCCTATGTTGGAAAGGGAAATATCTTCCCGTAACAACTAGGCAGAAGCATTCTCAGAAACTTATTTGAGATGTGTGTACTCAACTAAGAGAATTGAACCACCGTTTTGAAGGAGCAGTTTTGAAACACTCTTTTTCTGGAATCTGCAAGAGGATATTTGCCTAGCCTTGAGGATTTCGTTGGAAACGGGATTGTCTTCAGATCAAATCTAGACAGAAGCATTCTCAGAAACTTCTTTGGGATGTTTGCATTCAAGTCACAGAGTAGAACATTCCCTTTGGTAGAGCAGGTTTGAAACACTCTTTTTTTAGTATATGGAAGTGGACATTTGGAGCGCTTTCAGGCCTACGTTGGAAAAGGAAATATCTTCCCATAACAACTAGACAGAAGCATTCTCAGAAACTAGTTTCTGATGTGTGTCCTCAACTAACACAGTTGAACATTTCTTTAGACAGAACAGTTTTGAAACTCTCTTTTCGTGGAATCTGCAAGTGGCTATTTGGCTAGATTTGAGGATTTCGTTGGAAACGGGATTACATATAAAAAGCAGACAGCAGCATTCTCAGAAAGTTCTTTGTGATGATTGCATTCAAGTCACAGAATTGAACATTCCCTTTCACAGAGCAGGTTTGAAAGACTCTTTTTGTAGTGTGTGTAAGTGGACATTTGGAGCACTTACCGGCCTAAGGTGAAAAAGGAAATATCTTCCCATAAAAACTAGACAGAAAGCATTCTCAGAAACTTACTCGTGATGTGTGTCCTCAACTAATAGGAGTAGAACCTTTCTTTCGTAGAGAAGTTTTGAAACGCTCTTTTTGTGGAATCTGCAAGTGGATATTTGGCTAGTTTGGAGGATTTCGTTGGAAGCGGGAATTCATACAAATTGCAGACTGCAGCGTTCTGAGAAACATCATTGTGATGTTTGTATTCAGGACACAGAGTTGAGCATTCCCTATCATAGAGCAGGTTTGAATCACTCCTTTTGTAGTATCTGGAAGTGGACATTTGCAGCGCTTTCAGGCCTATGTTGGAAAAGGAAATATCTTCCCATAACAACTAGACAGAAGCATTCTCAGAAACTTATTTGAGATGTGTGTACTCAACTAAGAGAATTGAACCACCGTTTTGAAGGAGCAGTTTTGAAACACTCTTTTTCTGGAATCTGCAAGTGGATATTTGGCTAGCTTTGGGGATTTCGCTGGAAGCGGGAATACATATAAAAAGCACACAGCAGCGTTCTGAGAAACTGCTTTCTGATGTTTGCATTCAAGTCAAAAGTTGAACACTCCCTTTCATAGAGCAGTCTTGAAACACCCCTTTTGTAGTATCTGGAACTGGACTTTTGGAGCGATTTCAGGGCTAAGGTGAAAAAGGAAATATCTTCCCATAAAAACTGGACAGAAGCATTCTCAGAAACTTGTTTATGCTGTATCTACTCAACTAACAAAGTTGAACCTTTCTTTTGATAGAGCAGTTTTGAAATGGTCTTTTTGTGGAATCTGCAAGTGGATATTTGGCTAGTTTTGAGGATTTCGTTGGAAGCGGGAATTCATACAAATTGCAGACTGCAGCGTTCTGAGAAACATCTTTGTGATGTTTGTATTCAGGACACAGAGTTGAACATTCCCTATCATAGAGCAGGTTGGAATCACTCCTTTTGTAGTATCTGGAAGTGGACATTTGGAGCGCTTTCAGGCCTATGTTGAAAAAGGAAATATCTTCCCATAACAACTAGACACAAGCATTCTCAGAAACTTGTTTGTGATGTGTGCCCTCTACTGACAGAGTTGAACCTTTCTTTTCATAGAGCAGTTTTGAAACACTCTTTTTGTAGAATCTGCAAGAGGATATTTGCATAGATTTGAGGATTTCGTGGGAAACGGGATTGTCTTCAGGTAAAATCTAGACAGAAGCATTCTCAGAAACTTCTTTGGGATGTTTGCATTCAAGTCACAGAGTAGAACATTCCCTTTGGTAGAGCAGGTTTGAAACACTCTTTTTGTAGTATCTGGAAGTGGACATTTGGAGCGCTTTCAGGCCCATGTTGGAAAGGGAAATATCTTCCCGTAACAACTAGGCAGAAGCATTCTCAGAAACTTATTTGAGATGTGTGTACTCAACTAAGAGAATTGAACCACCGTTTTGAAGGAGCAGTTTTGAAACACTCTTTTTCTGGAATCTGCAAGAGTATATTTGCCTAGCCTTGAGGATTTCGTTGGAAACGGGATTGTCTTCAGAGAAAATCTAGACAGAAGCATTCTCAGAAACTTCTTTGGGATGCTTGCATTCAAGTCACAGAGTAGAACATTCCCTTTGGTAGAGCAGGTTTGAAACACTCTTTTTGTAGTATCTGGAAGTGGACATTTGGAGCGCTTTCAGGCCTACGTTGGAAAAGGAAATATCTTCCCATAACAACTAGACAGAAGCATTCTCAGAAACTAGTTTCTGATGTGTGTCCTCAACTAACACAGTTGAACATTTCTTTAGACAGAACAGTTTTGAAACACTCTTTTTGTGGAATCTGCAAGTGGCTATTTGGCTAGATTTGAGGATTTCGTTGGAAACGGGATTACATATAAAAAGCAGTCAGCAGCATTCTCAGAAAGTTCTTTGTGATGATTGCATTCAAGTCACAGAATTGAACATTCCCTTTCACAGAGCAGGTTTGAAACACTCTTTTTGTAGTGTGTGTAAGTGGACATTTGGAGCACTTACCGGCCTAAGGTGAAAAAGGAAATAATCTTCCCATAAAAACTAGACAGAAGCATTCTCAGAAACTTACTCGTGATGTGTGTCCTCAACTAAAGGAGTAGAACCTTTCTTTTCATAGAGAAGTTTTGAAACGCTCTTTTTGTGGAATCTGCAAGTGGATATTTGGCTAGTTTTGAGGATTTCGTTGGAAGCGGGAATTCATACAAATTGCAGACTGCAGCGTTCTGAGAAACATCTTTGTGATGTTTGTATTCAGGACACAGCAGTTGAACATTCCCTATCATAGAGCAGGTTTGAATCACTCCTTTTGTAGTATCTGGAAGTGGACATTTGGAGCGCTTTCAGGCCTATGTTGGAAAAGGAAATATCTTCCCATAACAACTAGACAGAAGCATTCTCAGAAACTTATTTGAGATGTGTGTACTCAACTAAGAGAATTGAACCACCGTTTTGAAGGAGCAGTTTTGAAACTCTCTTTTTCTGGAATCTGCAAGTGGATATTTGGCTAGCTTTGGGGATTTCGCTGGAAGCGGGAATACATATAAAAAGCACACAGCAGCGTTCTGAGAAACTGCTTTCTGATGTTTGCATTCAAGTCAAAAGTTGAACACTCCCTTTCATAGAGCAGTCTTGAAACACCCGTTTTGTAGTATCTGGAACTGGACTTTTGGAGCGATTTCAGGGCTAAGGTGAAAAAGGAAATATCTTCCCATAAAAACTGGACAGAAGCATTCTCAGAAACTTGTTTATGCTGTATCTACTCAACTAACAAAGTTGAACCTTTCTTTTGATAGAGCAGTTTTGAAATGGTCTTTTTGTGGAATCTGCAAGTGGATATTTGGCTAGTTTTGAGGATTTCGTTGGAAGCGGGAATTCATACAAATTGCAGACTGCAGCGTTCTGAGAAACATCTTTGTGATGTTTGTATTCAGGACACAGAGTTGAACATTCCCTATCATAGAGCAGGTTGGAATCACTCCTTTTGTAGTATCTGGAAGTGGACATTTGGAGCGCTTTCAGGCCTATTTTGGAAAGGGAAATATCTTCCCGTAACAACTATGCAGAAGCATTCTCAGAAACTTGTTTGTGATGTGTGCCCTCTACTGACAGAGTTGAACCTTTCTTTTCATAGAGCAGTTTTGAAACACTCTTTCTGTAGAATCTGCAAGAGGATATTTGCATAGCTTTGAGGATTTCGTGGGAAACGGGATTGTCTTCAGGTAAAATCTAGACAGAAGCATTCTCAGAAACTTCTTTGGGATGTTTGCATTCAAGTCACAGAGTAGAACATTCCCTTTGGTAGAGCAGGTTTGAAACACTCTTTTTGTAGTATCTGGAAGTGGACATTTGGAGCGCTTTCAGGCCCATGTTGGAAAGGGAAATATCTTCCCGTAACAACTAGGCAGAAGCATTCTCAGAAACTTATTTGAGATGTGTGTACTCAACTAAGAGAATTGAACCACCGTTTTGAAGGAGCAGTTTTGAAACACTCTTTTTCTGGAATCTGCAAGAGTATATTTGCCTAGCCTTGAGGATTTCGTTGGAAACGGGATTGTCTTCAGAGAAAATCTAGACAGAAGCATTCTCAGAAACTTCTTTGGGATGTTTGCATTCAAGTCACAGAGTAGAACATTCCCTTTGGTAGAGCAGGTTTGAAACACTCTTTTTTTAGTATATGGAAGTGGACATTTGGATCGCTTTCAGGCCTACGTTGGAAAAGGAAATATCTTCCCATAACAACTAGACAGAAGCATTCTCAGAAACTAGTTTCTGATGTGTGTCCTCAACTAACACAGTTGAACATTTCTTTAGACAGAACAGTTTTGAAACACTCTTTTTGTGGAATCTGCAAGTGGCTATTTGGCTAGATTTGAGGATTTCGTTGGAAACGGGATTACATATAAAAAGCAGTCAGCAGCATTCTCAGAAAGTTCTTTGTGATGATTGCATTCAAGTCACAGAATTGAACATTCCCTTTCACAGAGCAGGTTTGAAACACTCTTTTTGTAGTGTGTGTAAGTGGACATTTGGAGCACTTACCGGCCTAAGGTGAAAAAGGAAATATCTTCCCATAAAAACTAGACAGAAGCATTCTCAGAAACTTACTCGTGATGTGTGTCCTCAACTAAAGGAGTAGAACCTTTCTTTTCATAGAGAAGTTTTGAAACGCTCTTTTTGTGGAATCTGCAAGTGGATATTTGGCTAGTTTTGAGGATTTCGTTGGAAGCGGGAATTCATACAAATTGCAGAACTGCAGCGTTCTGAGAAACATCTTTGTGATGTTTGTATTCAGGACAGAGAGTTGAACATTCCCTATCATAGAGCAGGTTGGAATCACTCCTTTTGTAGTATCTGGAAGTGGACATTTGGAGCGCTTTCAGGCCTATGTTGAAAAAGGAAATATCTTCCCATAACAACTAGACACAAGCATTCTCAGAAACTTATTTCAGATGTGTGTACTCAACTAAGAGAATTGAACCACCGTTTTGAAGGAGCAGTTTTGAAACACTCTTTTTCTGGAATCTGCAAGTGGATATTTGGTTAGATTTGAGGATTTCGTTGGAAACGGGATTACATATAAAAAGCAGACAGCAGCAGTCTCAGAAAGTTCTTTGTGATGATTGCATTCAAGTCACAGAATTGAACATTCCCTTTCACAGAGCAGGTTTGAAACACTCTTTTTGTAGTGTGTGTAAGTGGACATTTGGAGCGCTTTCCGGCCTAAGGTGAAAAAGGAAATATCTTCCCATAAAAACTTGACAGAACCATTCTCAGAAACTTACTCGTGATGTGTGTCCTCAACTAAAGGAGTAGAACCTTTCTATTCATAGAGAAGTTTTGAAACGCTCTTTTTGTGGAATCTCCAAGTGGATATTTGGCTAGTTTTGAGGATTTCGTTGGAAGCGGGAATTCATACAAATTGCAGACTGCAGCGTTCTGAGAAACATCTTTGTGATGTTTGTATTCAGGACACAGAGAGGAACATTTCCTATCATAGAGCAGGTTCGAATCACTCCTTTTGTAGTATCTGGAAGTGGACATTTGGAGCGCTTTCAGGCCTATGTTGAAAAAGGAAATATCTTCCCATAACAACTAGACACAAGCATTCTCAGAAACTTGTTTGTGATGTGTGCCCTCTACTGACAGAGTTGAACCTTTCTTTTCATAGAGCAGTTTTGAAACACTCTTTTTGTAGAATCTGCAAGAGGATATTTGCATAGCTTTGAGGATTTCGTGGGAAACGGGATTGTCTTCAGGTAAAATCTAGACAGAAGCATTCTCAGAAACTTCTTTGGGATGTTTGCATTCAAGTCACAGAGTAGAACATTCCCTTTGGTAGAGCAGGTTTGAAACACTGTTTTTGTAGTATCTGGAAGTGGACATTTGGAGCGCTTTCAGGCCTATGTTGGAAAGGGAAATATCTTCCCGTAACAACTAGGCAGAAGCATTCTCAGAAACTTATTTGAGATGTGTGTACTCAACTAAGAGAATTGAATCACCGTTTTGAAGGAGCAGTTTTGAAACACTCTTTTTCTGGAATCTGCAAGAGGATATTTGCCTAGCCTTGAGGATTTCGTTGGAAACGGGATTGTCTTCAGATCAAATCTAGACAGAAGCATTCTCAGAAACTTCTTTGGGATGTTTGCATTCAAGTCACAGAGTAGAACATTCCCTTTGGTAGAGCAGGTTTGAAACACTCTTTTTTTAGTATATGGAAGTGGACATTTGGAGCGCTTTCAGGCCTACGTTGGAAAAGGAAATATCTTCCCATAACAACTAGACAGAAGCATTCTCAGAAACTAGTTTCTGATGTGTGTCCTCAACTAACACAGTTGAACATTTCTTTAGACAGAACAGTTTTGAAACACTCTTTTTGTGGAATCTGCAAGTGGCTATTTGGCTAGATTTGAGGATTTCGTTGGAAACGGGATTACATATAAAAAGCAGTCAGCAGCATTCTCAGAAAGTTCTTTGTGATGATTGCATTCAAGTCACAGAATTGAACATTCCCTTTCACAGAGCAGGTTTGAAACACTCTTTTTGTAGTGTGTGTAAGTGGACATTTGGAGCACTTACCGGCCTAAGGTGAAAAAGGAAATATCTTCCCATAAAAACTAGACAGAAGCATTCTCAGAAACTTACTCGTGATGTGTGTCCTCAACTAAAGGAGTAGAACCTTTCTTTTCATAGAGAAGTTTTGAAACGCTCTTTTTGTGGAATCTGCAAGTGGATATTTGGCTAGTTTTGAGGATTTCGTTGGAAGCGGGAATTCATACAAATTGCAGACTGCAGCGTTCTGAGAAACATCTTTGTGATGTTTGTATTCAGGACACAGAGTTGAACATTCCCTATCATAGAGCAGGTTGGAATCACTCCTTTTGTAGTATCTGGAAGTGGACATTTGGAGCGCTTTCAGGCCTATGTTGGAAAAGGAAATATCTTCCCATAACAACTAGACAGAAGCATTCTCAGAAACTTATTTGAGATGTGTGTACTCAACTAAGAGAATTGAACCACCGTTTTGAAGGAGCAGTTTTGAAACTCTCTTTTTCTGGAATCTGCAAGTGGATATTTGGCTAGCTTTGGGGATTTCGCTGGAAGCGGGAATACATATAAAAAGCACACAGCAGCGTTCTGAGAAACTGCTTTCTGATGTTTGCATTCAAGTCAAAAGTTGAACACTCCCTTTCATAGAGCAGTCTTGAAACACCCGTTTTGTAGTATCTGGAACTGGACTTTTGGAGCGATTTCAGGGCTAAGGTGAAAAAGGAAATATCTTCCCATAAAAACTGGACAGAAGCATTCTCAGAAACTTGTTTATGCTGTAACTACTCAACTAACAAAGTTGAACCTTTCTTTTGATAGAGCAGTTTTGAAATGGTCTTTTTGTGGAATCTGCAAGTGGATATTTGGCTAGTTTTGAGGATTTCGTTGGAAGCGGGAATTCATACAAATTGCAGACTGCAGCGTTCTGAGAAACATCTTTGTGATGTTTGTATTCAGGACACAGAGTTGAACATTCCCTATCATAGAGCAGGTTGGAATCACTCCTTTTGTAGTATCTGGAAGTGGACATTTGGAGCGCTTTCAGGCCTATTTTGGAAAGGGAAATATCTTCCCGTAACAACTATGCAGAAGCATTCTCAGAAACTTGTTTGTGATGTGTGCCCTCTACTGACAGAGTTGAACCTTTCTTTTCATAGAGCAGTTTTGAAACACTCTTTTTGTAGAATCTGCAAGAGGATATTTGCATAGCTTTGAGGATTTCGTGGGAAACGGGATTGTCTTCAGGTAAAATCTAGACAGAAGCATTCTCAGAAACTTCTTTGGGATGTTTGCATTCAAGTCACAGAGTAGAACATTCCCTTTGGTAGAGCAGGTTTGAAACACTCTTTTTGTAGTATCTGGAAGTGGACATTTGGAGCGCTTTCAGGCCCATGTTGGAAAGGGAAATATCTTCCCGTAACAACTAGGCAGAAGCATTCTCAGAAACTTATTTGAGATGTGTGTACTCAACGAAGAGAATTGAACCACCGTTTTGAAGGAGCAGTTTTGAAACCCTCTTTTTCTGGAATCTGCAAGAGTATATTTGCCTAGCCTTGAGGATTTCGTTGGAAGCGGGATTGTCTTCAGATAAAATCTAGACAGAAGCATTCTCAGAAACTTCTTTGGGATGTTTGCATTCAAGTCACAGAGTAGAACATTCCCTTTGGTAGAGCAGGTTTGAAACACTCTTTTTTTAGTATATGGAAGTGGACATTTGGAGCGCTTTCAGGCCTACGTTGGAAAAGGAAATATCTTCCCATAACAACTAGACAGAAGCATTCTCAGAAACTAGTTTCTGATGTGTGTCCTCAACTAACACAGTTGAACATTTCTTTAGACAGAACAGTTTTGAAACACTCTTTTTGTGGAATCTGCAAGTGGCTATTTGGCTAGATTTGAGGATTTCGTTGGAAACGGGATTACATATAAAAAGCAGTCAGCAGCATTCTCAGAAAGTTCTTTGTGATGATTGCATCCAAGTCACAGAATTGAACATTCCCTTTCACAGAGCAGGTTTGAAACACTCTTTTTGTAGTGTGTGTAAGTGGACATTTGGAGCACTTACCGGCCTAAGGTGAAAAAGGAAATATCTTCCCTTAAAAACTAGACAGAAGCATTCTCAGAAACTTACTCGTGATGTGTGTCCTCAACTAAAGGAGTAGAACCTTTCTTTTCATAGAGAAGTTTTGAAACGCTCTTTTTGTGGAATCTGCAAGTGGATATTTGGCTAGTTTTGAGGATTTCGTTGGAAGCGGGAATTCATACAAATTGCAGACTGCAGCGTTCTGAGAAACATCTTTGTGATGTTTGTATTCAGGACACAGAGTTGAACATTCCCTATCATAGAGCAGGTTTGAATCATTCCTTTTGTAGTATCTGGAAGTGGACATTTGGAGCGCTTTCAGGCCTATGTTGGAAAAGGAAATATCTTCCCATAACAAGTAGACAGAAGCATTCTCAGAAACTTATTTGAGATGTGTGTACTCAACTAAGAGAATTGAATCACCGTTTTGAAGGAGCAGTTTTGAAACACTCTTTTTCTGGAATCTGCAAGTGGATATTTGGCTAGCTTTGGGGATTTCGCTGGAAGCGGGAATACATATAAAAAGCACACAGCAGCGTTCTGAGAAACTGCTTTCTGATGTTTGCATTCAAGTCAAAAGTTGAACACTCCCTTTCATAGTGCAGTCCTGAAACACTCCTTTTGTAGTATCTGGAACTGGACTTTTGGAGCGCTTTCAGGGCTAAGGTGAAAAAGGAAATATCTTCCCATAAAAACTGGACAGAAGCATTCTCAGAAACTTGTTTATGCTGTATCTACTCAACTAACAAAGTTGAACCTTTCTTTTGATAGAGCAGTTTTGAAATGCTCTTTTTGTGGAATCTGCAAGTGGATATTTGGCTAGTTTTGAGGATTTCGTTGGAAGCGGGAATTCATACAAATTGCAGACTGCAGCGTTCTGAGAAACATCTTTGTGATGTTTGTATTCAGGACAGAGAGTTGAACATTCCCTATCATAGAGCAGGTTGGAATCACTCCTTTTGTAGTATCTGGAAGTGGACATTTGGAGCGCTTTCAGGCCTATGTTGGAAAGGGAAATATCTTCCCGTAACAACTAGGCAGAAGCATTCTCAGAAACTTATTTGAGATGTGTGTACTCAACTAAGAGAATTGAACCACCGTTTTGAAGGAGCAGTTTTGAAACACTCTTTTTCTGTATTCTGCAAGTATATATTTGCCTAGCCTTGAGGATTTCGTTGGAAACGGGATTGTCTTCAGATCAAATCTAGACAGAAGCATTCTCAGAAACTTCTTTGGGATGTTTGCATTCAAGTCACAGAGTAGAACATTCCCTTTGGTAGAGCAGGTTTGAAACACTCTTTTTTTAGTATATGGAAGTGGACATTTGGAGCGCTTTCAGGCCTACGTTGGAAAAGGAAATATCTTCCCATAACAACTAGACAGAAGCATTCTCAGAAACTAGTTTCTGATGTGTGTCCTCAACTAACACAGTTGAACTTTTCTTTAGACAGAACAGTTTTGAAACACTCTTTTTGTGGAATCTGCAAGTGGATATTTGGCTAGATTTGAGGATTTCGTTGGAAACGGGATTACATATAAAAAGCAGACAGCAGCATTCTCAGAAAGTTCTTTGTGATGATTGCATTCAAGTCACAGAATTGAACATTCCCTTTCACAGAGCAGGTTTGAAACACTCTTTTTGTAGTGTGTGTAAGTGGACATTTGGAGCGCTTTCCGGCCTAAGGTGAAAAAGGACATATCTTACCATAAAAACCAGACAGAAGCATTCTCAGAAACTTACTCGTGATGTGTGTCCTCAACTAAAGGAGTAGAAACTTTCTATTCATAGAGAAGTTTTGAAACGCTCTTTTTGTGGAATCTCCAAGTGGATATTTGGCTAGTTTTGAGGATTTCGTTGGAAGCGGGAATTCATACAAATTGCAGACTGCAGCGTTCTGAGAAACATCTTTGTGATGTTTGTATTCAGGACACAGAGTTGAACATTCCCTATCATAGAGCAGGTTGGAATCACTCCTTTTGTAGTATCTGGAAGTGGACATTTGGAGCGCTTTCAGGCCTATGTTGGAAAAGGAAATATCTTCCCATAACAACTAGACAGAAGCATTCTCAGAAACTTATTTGAGATGTGTGTACTCAACTAAGAGAATTGAACCACCGTTTTGAAGGAGCAGTTTTGAAACACTCTTTTTCTGGAATCTGCAAGTGGATATTTGGCTAGCTTTGGGGATTTCGCTGGAAGCGGGAATACATATAAAAAG
The DNA here is from genome assembly GCF_000001405.40 of Homo sapiens. NCBI lineage: Eukaryota > Metazoa > Chordata > Mammalia > Primates > Hominidae > Homo > Homo sapiens. Next base: position 16,750,588 of record NC_000018.10, read on the forward strand.
CACACAGCAGCGTTCTGAGAAACTGCTTTCTGATGTTTGCATTCAAGTCAAAAGTTGAACACTCCCTTTCATAGAGCAGTCCTGAAACACTCCTTTTGTAGTATCTGGAACTGGACTTTTGGAGCGCTTCAGGGCTAAGGTGAAAAAGGAAATATCTTCCCATAAAAACTGGACAGAAGCATTCTCAGAAACTTGTTTATGCTGTATCTACTCAACTAACAAAGTTGAACCTTTCTTTTGATAGAGCAGTTTTGAAATGCTCTTTTTGTGGAATCTGCAAGTGGATATTTGGCTAGTTTTGAGGATTTCGTTGGAAGCGGGAATTCATACAAATTGCAGACTGCAGCGTTCTGAGAAACATCTTTGTGATGTTTGTATTCAGGACACAGAGTTGAACATTCCCTATCATAGAGCAGGTTGGAATCACTCCTTTTGTAGTATCTGGAAGTGGACATTTGGAGCGCTTTCAGGCCTATGTTGGAAAAGGAAATATCTTCCCATAACAACTAGACAGAAGCATTCTCAGAAACTTATTTGAGATGTGTGTACTCAACTAAGAGAATTGAACCACCGTTTTGAAGGAGCAGTTTTGAAACTCTCTTTTTCTGGAATCTGCAAGTGGATATTTGGCTAGCTTTGGAGATTTCGCTGGAAGCGGGAATACATATAAAAAGCACACAGCAGCGTTCTGAGAAACTGCTTTCTGATGTTTGCATTCAAGTCAAAAGTTGAACACTCCCTTTCATAGAGCAGTCTTGAAACACCCCTGTTGTAGTATCTGGAACTGGACTTTTGGAGCGATTTCAGGGCTAAGGTGAAAAAGGAAACATCTTCCCATAAAAACTGGACAGAAGCATTCTCAGAAACTTGTTTATGCTGTATCTACTCAACTAACAAAGTTGAACCTTTCTTTTGATAGAGCAGTTTTGAAATGGTCTTTTTGTGGAATCTGCAAGTGGATATTTGGCTAGTTTTGAGGATTTCGTTGGAAGCGGGAATTCATACAAATTGCAGACTGCAGCGTTCTGAGAAACATCTTTGTGATGTTTGTATTCAGGACACAGAGTTGAACATTCCCTATCATAGAGCAGGTTGGAATCACTCCTTTTGTAGTATCTGGAAGTGGACATTTGGAGCGCTTTCAGGCCTATTTTGGAAAGGGAAATATCTTCCCGTAACAACTATGCAGAAGCATTCTCAGAAACTTGTTTGTGATGTGTGCCCTCTACTGACAGAGTTGAACCTTTCTTTTCATAGAGCACTTTTGAAACACTCTTTTTGTAGAATCTGCAAGAGGATATTTGCATAGCTTTGAGGATTTCGTGGGAAACGGGATTGTCTTCAGGTAAAATCTAGACAGAAGCATTCTCAGAAACTTCTTTGGGATGTTTGCATTCAAGTCACAGAGTAGAACATTCCCTTTGGTAGAGCAGGTTTGAAACACTCTTTTTGTAGTATCTGGAAGTGGACATTTGGAGCGCTTTCAGGCCCATGTTGGAAAGGGAAATATCTTCCCGTAACAACTAGGCAGAAGCATTCTCAGAAACTTATTTGAGATGTGTGTACTCAACTAAGAGAATTGAACCACCGTTTTGAAGGAGCAGTTTTGAAACACTCTTTTTCTGGAATCTGCAAGAGTATATTTGCCTAGCCTTGAGGATTTCGTTGGAAACGGGATTGTCTTCAGAGAAAATCTAGACAGAAGCATTCTCAGAAACTTCTTTGGGATGTTTGCATTCAAGTCACAGAGTAGAACATTCCCTTTGGTAGAGCAGGTTTGAAACACTCTTTTTTTAGTATATGGAAGTGGACATTTGGATCGCTTTCAGGCCTACGTTGGAAAAGGAAATATCTTCCCATAACAACTAGACAGAAGCATTCTCAGAAACTAGTTTCTGATGTGTGTCCTCAACTAACACAGTTGAACATTTCTTTAGACAGAACAGTTTTGAAACACTCTTTTTGTGGAATCTGCAAGTGGCTATTTGGCTAGATTTGAGGATTTCGTTGGAAACGGGATTACATATAAAAAGCAGTCAGCAGCATTCTCAGAAAGTTCTTTGTGATGATTGCATTCAAGTCACAGAATTGAACATTCCCTTTCACAGAGCAGGTTTGAAACACTCTTTTTGTAGTGTGTGTAAGTGGACATTTGGAGCACTTACTGGCCTAAGGTGAAAAAGGAAATATCTTCCCATAAAAACTAGACAGAAGCATTCTCAGAAACTTACTCGTGATGTGTGTCCTCAACTAAAGGAGTAGAACCTTTCTTTTCATAGAGAAGTTTTGAAACGCTCTTTTTGTGGAATCTGCAAGTGGATATTTGGCTAGTTTTGAGGATTTCGTTGGAAGCGGGAATTCATACAAATTGCAGACTGCAGCGTTCTGAGAAACATCTTTGTGATGTTTGTATTCGGGACACAGAGTTGAACATTCCCTATCATAGAGCAGGTTTGAATCACTCCTTTTGTAGTATCTGGAAGTGGACATTTGGAGCGCTTTCAGGCCTATGTTGGAAAAGGAAATATCTTCCCATAACAACTAGACAGAAGCATTCTCAGAAACTTATTTGAGATGTGTGTACTCAACTAAGAGAATTGAACCACCGTTTTGAAGGAGCAGTTTTGAAACTCTCTTTTTCTGGAATCTGCAAGTGGATATTTGGCTAGCTTTGGGGATTTCGCTGGAAGCGGGAATACATATAAAAAGCACACAGCAGCGTTCTGAGAAACTGCTTTCTGATGTTTGCATTCAAGTCAAAAGTTGAACACTCCCTTTCATAGAGCAGTCCTGAAACACCCCTTTTGTAGTATCTGGAACTGGACTTTTGGAGCGATTTCAGGGCTAAGGTGAAAAAGGAAATATCTTCCCATAAAAACTGGACAGAAGCATTCTCAGAAACTTGTTTATGCTGTATCTACTCAACTAACAAAGTTGAACCTTTCTTTTGATAGAGCAGTTTTGAAATGGTCTTTTTGTGGAATCTGCAAGTGGATATTTGGCTAGTTTTGAGGATTTCGTTGGAAGCGGGAATTCATACAAATTGCAGACTGCAGCGTTCTGAGAAACATCTTTGTGATGTTTGTATTCAGGACACAGAGTTGAACATTCCCTATCATAGAGCAGGTTGGAATCACTCCTTTTGTAGTATCTGGAAGTGGACATTTGGAGCGCTTTCAGGCCTATTTTGGAAAGGGAAATATCTTCCCGTAACAACTATGCAGAAGCATTCTCAGAAACTTGTTTGTGATGTGTGCCCTCTACTGACAGAGTTGAACCTTTCTTTTCATAGAGCAGTTTTGAAACACTCTTTTTGTAGAATCTGCAAGAGGATATTTGCATAGCTTTGAGGATTTCGTGGGAAACGGGATTGTCTTCAGGTAAAATCTAGACAGAAGCATTCTCAGAAACTTCTTTGGGATGTTTGCATTCAAGTCACAGAGTAGAACATTCCCTTTGGTAGAGCAGGTTTGAAACACTCTTTTTGTAGTATCTGGAAGTGGACATTTGGAGCGCTTTCAGGCCCATGTTGGAAAGGGAAATATCTTCCCGTAACAACTAGGCAGAAGCATTCTCAGAAACTTATTTGAGATGTGTGTACTCAACTAAGAGAATTGAACCACCGTTTTGAAGGAGCAGTTTTGAAACCCTCTTTTTCTGGAATCTGCAAGAGTATATTTGCCTAGCCTTGAGGATTTCGCTGGGAACGGGATTGTCTTCAGATAAAATCTAGACAGAAGCATTCTCAGAAACTTCTTTGGGATGTTTGCATTCAAGTCACAGAGTAGAACATTCCCTTTGGAAGAGCAGGTTTGAAACACTCTTTTTTTAGTATATGGAAGTGGACATTTGGAGCGCTTTCACGCCTACGTTGGAAAAGGAAATATCTTCCCATAACAACTAGACAGAAGCATTCTCAGAAACTAGTTTCTGATGTGTGTCCTCAACTAACACAGTTGAACATTTCTATAGACAGAACAGTTTTGAAACACTCTTTTTGTGGAATCTGCAAGTGGCTATTTGGCTAGATTTGAGGATTTCGTTGGAAACGGGATTACATATAAAAAGCAGTCAGCAGCATTCTCAGAAAGTTCTTTGTGATGATTGCATTCAAGTCACAGAATTGAACATTCCCTTTCACAGAGCAGGTTTGAAACACTCTTTTTGTAGTGTGTGTAAGTGGACATTTGGAACCCTTACCGGCCTAAGGTGAAAAAGGAAATATCTTCCCATAAAAACTAGACAGAAGCATTCTCAGAAACTTACTCGTGATGTGTGTCCTCAACTAAAGGAGTAGAACCTTTCTTTTCATAGAGAAGTTTTGAAACGCTCTTTTTGTGGAATCTGCAAGTGGATATTTGGCTAGTTTTGAGGATTTCGTTGGAAGCGGGAATTCATACAAATTGCAGACTGCAGCGTTCTGAGAAACATCTTTGTGATGTTTGTATTCAGGACACAGAGTTGAACATTCCCTATCATAGAGCAGGTTGGAATCACTCCTTTTGTAGTATCTGGAAGTGGACATTTGGAGCGCTTTCAGGCCTATGTTGCAAAAGGAAATATCTTCCCATAACAACTAGACAGAAGCATTCTCAGAAACTTATTTGAGATGTGTGTACTCAACTAAGAGAATTGAACCACCGTTTTGAAGGAGCAGTTTTGAAACACTCTTTTTCTGGAATCTGCAAGTGGATATTTGGCTAGCTTTGGGGATTTCGCTGGAAGCGGGAATACATATAAAAAGCACACAGCAGCGTTCTGAGAAACTGCTTTCTGATGTTTGCATTCAAGTCAAAAGTTGAACACTCCCTTTCATAGAGCAGTCTTGAAACACCCCTTTTGTAGTATCTGGAACTGGACTTTTGGAGCGATTTCAGGGCTAAGGTGAAAAAGGAAATATCTTCCCATAAAAACTGGACAGAAGCATTCTCAGAAACTTGGTTATGCTGTATCTACTCAACTAACAAAGTTGAACCTTTCTTTTGATAGAGCAGTTTTGAAATGGTCTTTTTGTGGAATCTGCAAGTGGATATTTGGCTAGTTTTGAGGATTTCGTTGGAAGCGGGAATTCATACAAATTGCAGACTGCAGCGTTCTGAGAAACATCTTTGTGATGTTTGTATTCAGGACACAGAGTTGAACATTCCCTATCATAGAGCAGGTTGGAATCACTCCTTTTGTAGTATCTGGAAGTGGACATTTGGAGCGCTTTCAGGCCTATTTTGGAAAGGGAAATATCTTCCCGTAACAACTATGCAGAAGCATTCTCAGAAACTTGTTTGTGATGTGTGCCCTCTACTGACAGAGTTGAACCTTTCTTTTCATAGAGCAGTTTTGAAACACTCTTTTTGTAGAATCTGCAAGAGGATATTTGCATAGCTTTGAGGATTTCGTGGGAAACGGGATTGTCTTCAGGTAAAATCTAGACAGAAGCATTCTCAGAAACTTCTTTGGGATGTTTGCATTCAAGTCACAGAGTAGAACATTCCCTTTGGTAGAGCAGGTTTGAAACACTCTTTTTGTAGTATCTGGAAGTGGACATTTGGAGCGCTTTCAGGCCCATGTTGGAAAAGGAAATATCTTCCCGTAACAACTAGGCAGAAGCATTCTCAGAAACTTATTTGAGATGTGTGTACTCAACTAAGAGAATTGAACCACCGTTTTGAAGGAGCAGTTTTGAAACACTCTTTTTCTGGAATCTGCAAGAGTATATTTGCCTAGCCTTGAGGATTTCGTTGGAAACGGGATTGTCTTCAGAGAAAATCTAGACAGAAGCATTCTCAGAAACTTCTTTGGGATGTTTGCATTCAAGTCACAGAGTAGAACATTCCCTTTGGTAGAGCAGGTTTGAAACACTCTTTTTTTAGTATATGGAAGTGGACATTTTGATTGCTTTCAGGCCTACGTTGGAAAAGGAAATATCTTCCCATAACAACTAGACAGAAGCATTCTCAGAAACTAGTTTCTGATGTGTGTCCTCAACTAACACAGTTGAACATTTCTTTAGACAGAACAGTTTTGAAACACTCTTTTTGTGGAATCTGCAAGTGGCTATTTGGCTAGATTTGAGGATTTCGTTGGAAACGGGATTACATATAAAAAGCAGTCAGCGGCATTCTCAGAAAGTTCTTTGTGATGATTGCATTCAAGTCACAGAATTGAACATTCCCTTTCACAGAGCAGGTTTGAAACACTCTTTTTGTAGTGTGTGTAAGTGGACATTTGGAGCACTTACCGGCCTAAGGTGAAAAAGGAAATAATCTTCCCATAAAAACTAGACAGAAGCATTCTCAGAAACTTACTCGTGATGTGTGTCCTCAACTAAAGGAGTAGAACCTTTCTTTTCATAGAGAAGTTTTGAAACGCTCTTTTTGTGGAATCTGCAAGTGGATATTTGGCTAGTTTTGAGGATTTCGTTGGAAGCGGGAATTCATACAAATTGCAGACTGCAGCGTTCTGAGAAACATCTTTGTGATGTTTGTATTCAGGACACAGAGTTGAACATTCCCTATCATAGAGCAGGTTTGAATCACTCCTTTTGTAGTATCTGGAAGTGGACATTTGGAGCGCTTTCAGGCCTATGTTGGAAAAGGAAATATCTTCCCATAACAACTAGACAGAAGCATTCTCAGAAACTTATTTGAGATGTGTGTACTCAACTAAGAGAATTGAACCAACGTTTTGAAGGAGCAGTTTTGAAACACTCTTTTTTCTGGAATCTGCAAAAGGATATTTGCCTAGCTTTGAGGATTTCGTTGGAAACGGGATTGTCTTCAGATAAAATCTAGACAGAAGCATTCTCAGAAACTTCTTTGGGATGTTTGCATTCAAGTCACAGAGTAGAACATTCCCTTTGGTAGAGCAGGTTTGAAACACTCTTTTTTTAGTATATGGAAGTGGACATTTGGAGCGCTTTCAGGCCTACGTTGGAAAAGGAAATATCTTCCCATAACAACTAGACAGAAGCATTCTCAGAAACTAGTTTCTGATGTGTGTCCTCAACTAACACAGTTGAACATTTCTTTAGACAGAACAGTTTTGAAACACTCTCTTTGTGGAATCTGCAAGTGGATATTTGGCTAGATTTGAGGATTTCGTTGGAAACGGGATTACATATAAAAAGCAGACAGCAGCATTCTCAGAAACTTCTTTGTGATGATTGCATTCAAGTCACAGAATTGAACATTCCCTTTCACAGAGCAGGTTTGAAACACTCTTTTTGTAGTGTGTGTAAGTGGACATTTGGAGCGCTTTCCGGCCTAAGGTGAACAAGGAAATATCTTCCCATAAAAACTAGACAGAAGCATTCTCAGAAACTTACTCGTGATGTGTGTACTCAACTAAAGGAGTAGAAACTTTCTTTTCATAGAGAAGTTTTGAAACGCTCTTTTTGTGGAATCTGCAAGTGGATATTTGGCTAGTTTTGAGGATTTCGTTGGAAGCGGGAATTCATACAAATTGCAGACTGCAGCGTTCTGAGAAACATCTTTGTGATGTTTGTATTCAGGACACAGAGTTGAACGTTCCCTATCATAGAGCAGGTTTGAATCACTCCTTTTGTAGTATCTGGAAGTGGACATTTGGAGCGCTTTCCGGCCTCAGGTGAAAAAGGAAATATCTTCCCATAAAAACTAGACAGAAGCATTCTCAGAAACTTATTTGAGATGTGTGTACTCAACTAAGAGAATTGAACCACCGTTTTGAAGGAGCAGTTTTGAAACTCTCTTTTTCTGGAATCTGCAAGTGGATATTTGGCTAGCTTTGGGGATTTCGCTGGAAGCGGGAATACATATAAAAAGCACACAGCAGCGTTCTGAGAAACTGCTTTCTGATGTTTGCATTCAAGTCAAAAGTTGAACACTCCCTTTCATAGAGCAGTCCTGAAACACCCCTTTTGTAGTATCTGGAACTGGACTTTTGGAGCGATTTCAGGGCTAAGGTGAAAAAGGAAATATCTTCCCATAAAAACTGGACAGAAGCATTCTCAGAAACTTGGTTATGCTGTATCTACTCAACTAACAAAGTTGAACCTTTCTTTTGATAGAGCAGTTTTGAAATGGTCTTTTTGTGGAATCTGCAAGTGGATATTTGGCTAGTTTTGAGGATTTCGTTGGAAGCGGGAATTCATACAAATTGCAGACTGCAGCGTTCTGAGAAACATCTTTGTGATGTTTGTATTCAGGACACAGAGTTGAACATTCCCTATCATAGAGCAGGTTGGAATCACTCCTTTTGTAGTATCTGGAAGTGGACATTTGGAGCGCTTTCAGGCCTATGTTGGAAAAGGAAATATCTTCCCATAACAACTAGACAGAAGCATTCTCAGAAACTTATTTGAGATGTGTGTACTCAACTAAGAGAATTGAACCACCGTTTTGAAGGAGCAGTTTTGAAACACTCTTTTTCTGGAATCTGCAAGTGGATATTTGGCTAGCTTTGGGGATTTCGCTGGAAGCGGGAATACATATAAAAAGCACACAGCAGCGTTCTGAGAAACTGCTTTCTGATGTTTGCATTCAAGTCAAAAGTTGAACACTCCCTTTCATAGAGCAGTCCTGAAACACTCCTTTTGTAGTATCTGGAACTGGACTTTTGGAGCGCTTTCAGGGCTAAGGTGAAAAAGGAAATATCTTCCCATAAAAACTGGACAGAAGCATTCTCAGAAACTTGTTTATGCTGTATCTACTCAACTAACAAAGTTGAACCTTTCTTTTGATAGAGCAGTTTTGAAATGCTCTTTTTGTGGAATCTGCAAGTGGATATTTGGCTAGTTTTGAGGATTTCGTTGGAAGCGGGAATTCATACAAATTGCAGACTGCAGCGTTCTGAGAAACATCTTTGTGATGTTTGTATTCAGGACAGAGAGTTGAACATTCCCTATCATAGAGCAGGTTGGAATCACTCCTTTTGTAGTATCTGGAAGTGGACATTTGGAGCGCTTTCAGGCCTATGTTGAAAAAGGAAATATACTTCCCATAACAACTAGACACAAGCATTCTCAGAAACTTGTTTGTGATGTGTGCCCTCTACTGACAGAGTTGAACCTTTCTTTTCATAGAGCAGTTTTGAAACACTCTTTTTGTAGAATCCGCAAGAGGATATTTGCATAGCTTTGAGGATTTCGTGGGAAACGGGATTGTCTTCAGGTAAAATCTAGACAGAAGCATTCTCAGAAACTTCTTTGGGATGTTTGCATTCAAGTCACAGAGTAGAACATTCCCTTTGGTAGAGCAGGTTTGAAACACTCTTTTTGTAGTATCTGGAAGTGGACATTTGGAGCGCTTTCAGGCCCATGTTGGAAAGGGAAATATCTTCCCGTAACAACTAGGCAGAAGCATTCTCAGAAACTTATTGGAGATGTGTGTACTCAACTAAGAGAATTGAACCACCGTTTTGAAGGAGCAGTTTTGAAACCCTCTTTTTCTGGAATCTGCAAGAGTATATTTGCCTAGCCTTGAGGATTTCGTTGGAAACGGGATTGTCTTCAGATAAAATCTAGACAGAAGCATTCTCAGAAACTTCTTTGGGATGTTTGCATTCAAGTCACAGAGTAGAACATTCCCTTTGGTAGAGCAGGTTTGAAACGCTCTTTTTTTAGTATATGGAAGTGGACATTTGGAGCGCTTTCAGGCCTACGTTGGAAAAGGAAATCTCTTCCCATAACTAGACAGAAGCATTCTCAGAAACTAGTTTCTGATGTGTGTCCTCAACTAACACAGTTGAACATTTCTTTAGACAGAACAGTTTTGAAACACTCTCTTTGTGGAATCTGCAAGTGGATATTTGGCTAGATTTGAGGATTTCCGTTGGAAACGGGATTACATATAAAAAGCAGACAGCAGCATTCTCAGAAAGTTCTTTGTGATGATTGCATTCAAGTCACAGAATTGAACATTCCCTTTCACAGAGCAGGTTTGAAACACTCTTTTTGTAGTGTGTGTAAGTGGACATTTGGAGCGCTTTCCGGCCTAAGGTGAAAAAGGACATATCTTCCCATAAAAACTAGACAGAAGCATTCTCAGAAACTTACTCGTGATGTGTGTCCTCAACTAAAGGAGTAGAACCTTTCTATTCATAGAGAAGTTTTGAAACGCTCTTTTTGTGGAATCTCCAAGTGGATATTTGGCTAGTGTTGAGGATTTCGTAGGAAGCGGGAATTCATACAAATTGCAGACTGCAGCGTTCTGAGAAACATCTTTGTGATGTTTGTATTCAGGACACAGAGATGAACATTCCCTATCATAGAGCAGGTTGGAATCACTCCTTTTGTAGTATCTGGAAGTGGACATTTGGAGCGCTTTCAGGCCTATGTTGAAAAAGGAAATATCTTCCCATAACAACTAGACACAAGCATTCTCAGAAACTTGTTTGTGATGTGTGCCCTCTACTGACAGAGTTGAACCTTTCTTTTCATAGAGCAGTTTTGAAACACTCTTTTTGTAGAATCTGCAAGAGGATATTTGCATAGCTTTGAGGATTTCGTGGGAAACGGGATTGTCTTCAGGTAAAATCTAGACAGAAGCATTCTCAGAAACTTCTTTGGGATGTTTGCATTCAAGTCACAGAGTAGAACATTCCCTTTGGTAGAGCAGGTTTGAAACCCTCTTTTTGTAGTATCTGGAAGTGGACATTTGGAGCGCTTTCAGGCCCATGTTGGAAAGGGAAATATCTTCCCGTAACAACGAGGCAGAAGCATTCTCAGAAACTTATTTGAGATGTGTGTACTCAACTAAGAGAATTGAACCACCGTTTTGAAGGAGCAGTTTTGAAACCCTCTTTTTCTGGAATCTGCAAGAGTATATTTGCCTAGCCTTGAGGATTTCGTTGGAAACGGGATTGTCTTCAGATAAAATCTAGACAGAAGCATTCTCAGAAACTTCTTTGGGATGTTTGCATTCAAGTCACAGAGTAGAACATTCCCTTTGGTAGAGCAGGTTTGAAACACTCTTTTTTTAGTATATGGAAGTGGACATTTGGAGCGCTTTCAGGCCTACGTTGGAAAAGGAAATATCTTCCCATAACAACTAGACAGAAGCATTCTCAGAAACTAGTTTCTGATGTGTGTCCTCAACTAACACAGTTGTACATTTCTTTAGACAGAACAGTTTTGAAACACTCTTTTTGTGGAATCTGCAAGTGGATATTGGGCTAGATTTGAGGATTTCGTTGGAAACGGGATTACATATAAAAAGCAGACAGCAGCATTCTCAGAAAGTTCTTTGTGATGATTGCATTCAAGTCACAGAATTGAACATTCCCTTTCACAGAGCAGGTTTGAAACACTCTTTTTGTAGTGTGTGTAAGTGGACATTTGGAGCGCTTTCCGGCCTAAGGTGAAAAAGGAAATATCTTCCCATAAAAACTAGACAGAAGCATTCTCAGAAACTTACTCGTGATGTGTGTCCTCAACTAAAGGAGTAGAACCTTTCTATTCATAGAGAAGTTTTGAAACGCTCTTTTTGTGGAATCTCCAAGTGGATATTTGGCTAGTGTTGAGGATTTCGTTGGAAGCGGGAATTCATACAAATTGCAGACTGCAGCGTTCTGAGAAACATCTTTGTGATGTTTGTATTCAGGACACAGAGATGAACATTCCCTATCATAGAGCAGGTTGGAATCACTCCTTTTGTAGTATCTGGAAGTGGACATTTGGAGCGCTTTCAGGCCTATGTTGAAAAAGGAAATATCTTCCCATAACAACTAGACACAAGCATTCTCAGAAACTTGTTTGTGATGTGTGCCCTCTACTGACAGAGTAGAACCTTTCTTTTCATAGAGCAGTTTTGAAACACTCTTTTTGTAGAATCTGCAAGAGGATATTTGCATAGCTTTGAGGATTTCGTGGGAAACGGGATTGTCTTCAGGTAAAATCTAGACAGAAGCATTCTCAGAAACTTCTTTGGGATGTTTGCATTCAAGTCACAGAGTAGAACATTCCCTTTGGTAGAGTAGGTTTGAAACACTCTTTTTGTAGTATCTGGAAGTGGACATTTGGAGCGCTTTCAGGCCCATGTTGGAAAGGGAAATATCCTCCCGTAACAACTAGGCAGAAGCATTCTCAGAAACTTATTTGAGATGTGTGTACTCAACTAAGAGAATTGAACCACCCTTTTGAAGGAGCAGTTTTGAAACACTCTTTTTCTGGAATCTGCAAGAGTATATTTGCCTAGCCTTGAGGATTTCGTTGGAAACGGGATTGTCTTCAGATAAAATCTAGACAGAAGCATTCTCAGAAACTTCTTTGGGATGTTTGCATTCAAGTCACAGAGTAGAACATTCCCTTTGGTAGAGCAGGTTTGAAACACTCTTTTTTTAGTATATGGAAGTGGACATTTGGAGCGCTTTCAGGCCTACGTTGGAAAAGGAAATATCTTCCCATAACAACTAGACAGAAGCATTCTCAGAAACTAGTTTCTGATGTGTGTCCTCAACTAACACAGTTGAACATTTCTTTAGACAGAACAGTTTTGAAACACTCTTTTTGTGGAATCTTCAAGTGGCTATTTGGCTAGATTTGAGGATTTCGTTGGAAACGGGATTACATATAAAAAGCAGACAGCAGCATTCTCAGAAAGTTCTTTGTGATGATTGCATTCAAGTCACAGAATTGAACATTCCCTTTCACAGAGCAGGTTTGAAACACTCTTTTTGTAGTGTGTGTAAGTGGACATTTGGAGCACTTTCCGGCCTAAGGTGAAAAAGGAAATATCTTCCCTTAAAAACTAGACAGAAGCATTCTCAGAAACTTACTCGTGATGTGTGTCCTCAACTAAAGGAGTAGAACCTTTCTTTTCATAGAGAAGTTTTGAAACGCTCTTTTTGTGGAATCTGCAAGTGGATATTTGGCTAGTTTTGAGGATTTCGTTGGAAGCTGGAATTCATACAAATTGCAGACTGCAGCGTTCTGAGAAACATCTTTGTGATGTTTGTATTCAGGACAGAGAGTTGAACATTCCCTATCATAGAGCAGGTTGGAATCACTCCTTTTGTAGTATCTGGAAGTGGACATTTGGAGCGCTTTCAGGCCTATGTTGAAAAAGGAAATATCTTCCCATAACAACTAGACACAAGCATTCTCAGAAACTTGTTTGTGATGTGTGCCCACTACTGACAGAGTTGAACCTTTCTTTTCATAGAGCAGTTTTGAAACACTCTTTTTGTAGAATCTGCAAGAGGATATTTGCATAGCTTTGAGGATTTCGTGGGAAACGGGATTGTCTTCAGGTAAAATCTAGACAGAAGCATTCTCAGAAACTTCTTTGGGATGTTTGCATTCAAGTCACAGAGTAGAACATTCCCTTTGGTAGAGCAGGTTTGAAACACTCTTTTTGTAGTATCTGGAAGTGGACATTTGGAGCGCTTTCAGGCCTATGTTGGAAAGGGAAATATCTTCCCGTAACAACTAGGCAGAAGCATTCTCAGAAACTTATTTGAGATGTGTGTACTCAACTAAGAGAATTGAACCACCGTTTTGAAGGAGCAGTTTTGAAACACTCTTTTTCAGGAATCTGCAAGAGGACATTTGCCTAGCCTTGAGGATTTCGTTGGAAACGGGATTGTCTTCAGATAAAATCTAGACAGAAGCATTCTCAGAAACTTCTTTGGGATGTTTGCATTCAAGTCACAGAGTAGAACATTCCCTTTGGTAGAGCAGGTTTGAAACACTCTTTTTGTAGTATCTGGAAGTGGACATTTGGAGCGCTTTCAGGCCTATGTTGGAAAGGGAAATATCTTCCCGTAACAACTAGGCAGAAGCATTCTCAGAAACTTATTTGAGATGTGTGTACTCAACTAAGAGAATTGAACCACCGTTTTGAAGGAGCAGTTTTGAAACACTCTTTTTCTGGAATCTGCAAGAGGATATTTGCCTAGCCTTGAGGATTTCGTTGGAAACGGGATTGTCTTCAGATCAAATCTAGACAGAAGCATTCTCAGAAACTTCTTTGGGATGTTTGCATTCAAGTCACAGAGTAGAACATTCCCTTTGGTAGAGCAGGTTTGAAACACTCTTTTTGTAGTATCTGGAAGTGGACATTTGGAGCGCTTCAGGCCTACGTTGGAAAAGGAAATATCTTCCCATAACAACTAGACAGAAGCATTCTCAGAAACTAGTTTCTGATGTGTGTCCTCAACTAACACAGTTGAACTTTTCTTTAGACAGAACAGTTTTGAAACACTCTTTTTGTGGAATCTGCAAGTGGATATTGGGCTAGATTTGAGGATTTCTTTGGAAACGGGATTACATATAAAAAGCAGACAGCAGCATTCTCAGAAAGTTCTTTGTGATGATTGCATTCAAGTCACAGAATTGAACATTCCCTTTCACAGAGCAGGTTTGAAACACTCTTTTTGTAGTGTGTGTAAGTGGACATTTGGAGCACTTACCGGCCTAAGGTGAAAAAGGAAATAATCTTCCCATAAAAACTAGACAGAAGCATTCTCAGAAACTTACTCGTGATGTGTGTCCTCAACTAAAGGAGTAGAACCTTTCTTTTCATAGAGAAGTTTTGAAACGCTCTTTTTGTGGAATCTGCAAGTGGATATTTGGCTAGTTTTGAGGATTTCGTTGGAAGCGGGAATTCATACAAATTGCAGACTGCAGCGTTCTGAGAAACATCTTTGTGATGTTTGTATTCAGGACACAGAGTTGAACATTCCCTATCATAGAGCAGGTTTGAATCACTCCTTTTGTAGTATCTGGAAGTGGACATTTGGAGCGCTTTCAGGCCTATGTTGGAAAAGGAAATATCTTCCCATAACAACTAGACAGAAGCATTCTCAGAAACTTATTTGAGATGTGTGTACTCAACTAAGAGAATTGAACCACCGTTTTGAAGGAGCAGTTTTGAAACACTCTTTTTCTGGAATCTGCAAGTGGATATTTGGCTAGCTTTGGGGATTTCGCTGGAAGCGGGAATACATATAAAAAGCACACAGCAGCGTTCTGAGAAACTGCTTTCTGATGTTTGCATTCAAGTCAAAATTTGAACACTCCCTTTCATAGAGCAGTCCTGAAACACTCCTTTTGTAGTATCTGGAACTGGACATTTGGAGCGCTTTCAGGGCTAAGGTGAAAAAGGAAATATCTTCCCATAAAAACTGGACAGAAGCATTCTCAGAAACTTGTTTATGCTGTATCTACTCAACTAACAAAGTTGAACCTTTCTTTTGATAGAGCAGTTTTGAAATGCTTTTTTTGTGGAATCTGCAAGTGGATATTTGGCTAGTTTTGAGGATTTCGTTGGAAGCGGGAATTCATACAAATTGCAGACTGCAGCGTTCTGAGAAACATCTTTGTGATGTTTGTATTCAGGACAGAGAGTTGAACATTCCCTATCATAGAGCAGGTTGGAATCACTCCTTTTGTAGTATCTGGAAGTGGACATTTGGAGCGCTTTCAGGCCTATGTTGGAAAGGGAAATATCTTCCCGTAACAACTAGGCAGAAGCATTCTCAGAAACTTATTTGAGATGTGTGTACTCAACTAAGAGAATTGAACCACCGTTTTGAAGGAGCAGTTTTGAAACACTCTTTTTCTGTATTCTGCAAGTATATATTTGCCTAGCCTTGAGGATTTCGTTGGATACGGGATTGTCTTCAGATAAATTCTAGACAGAAGCATTCTCAGAAACTTCTTTGGGATGTTTCTATTCAAGTCACAGAGTAGAACATTCTCTTTGGAAGAGCAGGTTTGAAACACTCTTTTTTTAGTATATGGAAGTGGACATTTGGAGCGCTTTCAGGCCTATGTTGGAAAAGGAAATATCTTCCCATAACAACTAGACAGAAGCATTCTCAGAAACTAGTTTCTGATGTGTGTCCTCAACTAACACAGTTGAACATTTCTTTAGACAGAACAGTTTTGAAACACTCTTTTTGTGGAATCTGCAAGTGGCTATTTGGCTAGATTTAAGGATTTCGTTGGAAACGGGATTACATATAAAAAGCACTCAGCAGCATTGTCAGAAAGTTCTTTGTGATGATTGCATTCAAGTCACAGAATTGAACATTCCCTTTCACAGAGCAGGTTTGAAACACTCTTTTTGTAGTGTGTGTAAGTGGACATTTGGAGCACTTACCGGCCTAAGGTGAAAAAGGAAGTATCTTCCCATAAAAACTAGACAGAAGCTTTCTCAGAAACTTACTCGTGATGTGTGTCCTCAACTAAAGGAGTAGAACCTTTCTTTTCATAGAGAAGTTTTGAAACGCTCTTTTTGTGGAATCTGCAAGTGGATATTTGGCTAGTTTTGAGGATTTCGTTGGAAGCGGGAATTCATACAAATTGCAGACTGCAGCATTCTCAGAAACTTATTTGAGATGTGTCTACTCAACTAAGAGAATTGAACCACCGTTTTGAAGGAGCAGTTTTGAAACACTCTTTTTCTGGAATCTGCAAGTGGATATTTGGCTAGCTTTGGGGATTTCGCTGGAAGCGGGAATACATATAAAAAGCACACAGCAGCGTTCTGAGAAACTGCTTTCTGATGTTTGCATTCAAGTCAAAAGTTGAACACTCCCTTTCATAGAGCAGTCTTGAAACACCCCTTTTGTAGTATCTGGAACTGGACTTTTGGAGCGATTTTAGGGCTAAGGTGAAAAAGGAAATATCTTCCCATAAAAACTGGACAGAAGCATTCTCAGAAACTTGTTTATGCTGTATCTACTCAACTAACAAAGTTGAACCTTTCTTTTGATAGAGCAGTTTTGAAATGGTCTTTTTGTGGAATCTGCAAGTGGATATTTGGCTAGTTTTGAGGATTTCGTTGGAAGCGGGAATTCATACAAATTGCAGACTGCAGCGTTCTGAGAAACATCTTTGTGATGTTTGTATTCAGGACACAGAGTTGAACATTCCCTATCATAGAGCAGGTTGGAATCACTCCTTTTGTAGTATCTGGAAGTGGACATTTGGAGCGCTTTCAGGCCTATGTTGAAAAAGGAAATGTCTTCCCATAACAACTAGACACAAGCATTCTCAGAAACTTGTTTGTGATGTGTGCCCTCTACTGACAGAGTTGAACCTTTCTTTTCATAGAGCAGTTTTGAAACACTCTTTTTGTAGAATCTGCAAGAGGATATTTGCATAGCTTTGAGGATTTCGTGGGAAACGGGATTGTCTTCAGGTAAAATCTAGACAGAAGCATTCTCAGAAACTTCTTTGGGATGTTTGCATTCAAGTCACAGAGTAGAACATTCCCTTTGGTAGAGCAGGTTTCAAACACTCTTTTTGTAGTATCTGGAAGTGGACATTTGGAGCGCTTTCAGGCCTATGGTGGAAAGGGAAATATCTTCCGGTAACAACTAGGCAGAAGCATTCTCAGAAACTTATTTGAGATGTGTGTACTCAACTAAGAGAATTGAACCACCGTTTTGAAGGCGCAGTTTTGAAACACTCTTTTTCTGGAATCTGCAAGAGTATATTTGCCTAGCCTTGACGATTTCGTTGGAAACGTGGTTGTCTTCAGATAAAATCTAGACAGAAGCATTCTCAGAAACTTCTTTGGGATGTTTGCATTCAAGTCACAGAGTAGAACATTCCCTTTGGTAGAGCAGGTTTGAAACACTCTTTTTTTAGTATATGGAAGTGGACATTTTGATCGTTTTCAGGCCTACGTTGGAAAAGGAAATATCTTCCCATAACGACTAGACAGAAGCATTCTCAGAAACTAGTTTCTGATGTGTGTCCTCAACTAACACAGTTGAATATTTCTTTAGACAGAACAGTTTTGAAACTCTCTTTTTGTGGAATCTGCAAGTGGCTATTTGGCTAGATTTGAGGATTTCGTTGGAAACGGGATTACATATAAAAAGCAGACAGCAGCATTCTCAGAAAGTTCTTTGTGATGATTGCATTCAAGTCACAGAATTGAACATTCCCTTTCACAGAGCAGGTTTGAAACACTCTTTTTATAGTGTGTGTAAGTGGACATTTGGAGCACTTTCCGGCCTAAGGTGAAAAAGGAAATATCTTCCCATAAAAACTAGACAGAAGCATTCTCAGAAACTTACTCGTGATGTGTGTCCTCAACTAAAGGAGTAGAACCTTCCTTTTCATAGAGAAGTTTTGAAACGCTCTTTTTGTGGAATCTGCAAGTGGATATTTGGCTAGTTTTGAGGATTTCCGTTGGAAGCGGGAATTCATACAAATTGCAGACTGCAGCGTTCTGAGAAACATCTTTGTGATGTTTGTATTCAGGACACAGAGTTGAACATTCCCTATCATAGAGCAGGTTGGAATCACTCCTTTTGTAGTATCTGGAAGTGGACATTTGGAGCGCTTTCAGGCCTACGTTGGAAAAGGAAATATCTTCCCATAACAACTAGACAGAAGCATTCTCAGAAACTAGTTTCTGATGTGTGTCCTCAACTAACACAGTTGAACATTTCTTTAGACAGAACAGTTTTGAAACACTCTTTTTGTGGAATCTGCAAGTGGCTATTTGGCTAGATTTGAGGATTTCGTTGGAAACGGGATTACATATAAAAAGCAGACAGCAGCATTCTCAGAAAGTTCTTTGTGATGATTGCATTCAAGTCACAGAATTGAACATTCCCTTTCACAGAGCAGGTTTGAAACACTCTTTTTGTAGTGTGTGTAAGTGGACATTTGGAGCACTTTCCGGCCTAAGGTGAAAAAGGAAATATCTTCCCATAAAAACTAGACAGAAGCACCCTCAGAAACTTACTCGTGATGTGTGTCCTCAACTAAAGGAGTAGAACCTTTCTTTTCATAGAGAAGTTTTGAAACGCTCTTTTTGTGGAATCTGCAAGTGGATATTTGGCTAGTTTGGAGGATTTCGTTGGAAGCGGGAATTCATACAAATTGCAGACTGCAGCGTTCTGAGAAACATCTTTGTGATGTTTGTATTCAGGACACAGAGTTGAACATTCCCTATCATAGAGCAGGTTTGAATCACTCCTTTTGTAGTATCTGGAAGTGGACATTTGGAGCGCTTTCAGGCCTATGTTGGAAAAGGAAATATCTTCCCATAACAACTAGACAGAAGCATTCTCAGAAACTTATTTGAGATGTGTGTACTCAACTAAGAGAATTGAACCACCGTTTTGAAGGAGCAGTTTTGAAACACTCTTTTTCTGGAATCTGCAAGTGGATATTTGGCTAGCTTTGGGGATTTCGCTGGAAGCGGGAATACATATAAAAAGCACACAGC